>NC_000002.12:84139159-84444542 GCF_000001405.40 Homo sapiens
TTTCATTTGGGATATTTTATGTCTGAAATTTCTTTTAGATAGATAAGATACAGATTTCAAATGTTAGATACATGAGTCAGGAGTTCTGGAAAGAGATGTGGCATGGAGATAAAAACTGGAAGGCGATAGACAAAGACATAATATTTGAATGTATGGAAATGAATGACATGAATTTAAGAAAGCATGAAGCTTTGGAAGAGGCCCACAATGTGAGCCCTACAAAATAGGGCTTCTCTGTCCCAACATTAGGCATTGGGAGAGAGAAAAACAGACAAAGGAGAAAGAACAATCACTGCTAGAGGAGAAAGAAAAAACACAGGAGGCTGTGGCTTCATGGAGCCCAAAGGCAATTAGTCTAAGAAAGGAGAAAATGGCTAGCTGCCCCAAATGCTCCGGGGAGCTAGGGACTACTAGGACTAAGAAGAGTCCATTGAACCTGGCAAGGAAGAGGTCATTGGTGACATATACATATATATTTTAAAAAGGAGGTTCAGTGCAAAATCCAGATCAGAATGGGTGGAAGAGTGAATGGAAGGTGTCAATGGTGAATGTTACCTTATCCCTGTGATCCTGTGATCCTGTGATCAAGCAGCAAAGGATACGAAATCCTCTCACCCTTTGTGTTCCAGAAATGGCTTACTGCAAAGAACCATCCTTTTCCATGAGACTAAGACAACACTATGGTTTAACGTAATCCCACTTTTTATTTTTGCCTTTATTGTCTGGCCTTTTGAAGTTATATCCAAAAAATCATTGCCCAGACCAATGTCATGGAGCTTTTCCCCTATGCCTTATTAAAGCTACTTGCACAGCAAAGGAAAAAATCAACAGAATGACGAGATAACCTACAGAATGGGAACAAATATTTGCAAACTATACATTTCATAAGTGGTTAACATCTAAAGTGTGTAAGGTACTCAAACAATCCAATAGCAAAAAAAAACACATAACTTGATTTTAAAATGGGCAAAATGAATAGACATTTCTTAAAAGAAGACATACAAATGGCCAACAGGTATATGAAAAATGCTCAACATCATTAATCACCAGGGAAATGCAAATCGAAGCCACAATGAGATATCACTTCACTCCTGTTAAAATTGCTATTATCAAAAAGACAAAAGATAACAAATGTTGCAGAGGATGTGGGAAAAGGGGAACCCTTAGAGGCTGTTGGTAGAGATGTAAATTAGTACAGCCTTTATGGAAACCAGTATAAGGTTCTTCAAAATATTAAAAGTGAAAATACCATATGACCCAGCAATCCCACTGCTGAGTGTATACTCAAAGTTTATGTGTGTCCAAGAGATATATGTACTCCCATGTTTATTGCAGTACTATTTACAATAGTCAAGGTATGAAATCAACCTAAGTGTTCATCAGTGGATTAATGAATAAAGAAAATGTGGTATATATAACAATGGAATATTATTAAAGCATTAAAAAAGAATAAAATACTGATGTGTGTGACATGAATGGAAATGGAAGACATTATGTTAAGTGAAGTAAGCCAGGTCATTCATATGTGAAATCTAAAAAAGCTGATCTCATAGAGGTAGATAATACAATGGTGGCTACCAGAAGCAGGTTGTACATGATACATACATAAATTTTTATGTCAATTTTTTAAAATAAAAAAATATTTTTAAGTCTTAAAAACATTATTTTTTCAAATACAGTTTGTAAACCTTGATTGGATACTGCTTTAAATAAATCAACTGTAAAAGTATGTTCAGACTTGGGAAATGTGAACAAGTTAAATGATATTAAGAAATTATTATTAATTTAGTTCTGTGTAATATGCAGAATAAGTTATCTTTTATAGATATATACTGTAGTATTAGTGAGCAAAATGATATACTAATCTAAAACTTGCTTAAAGCCAACCCCAACACCCCTAACCCAAGTGATGGGATACAGTAGTTCCCCCTTATCTAGGAGGCATAGGTTTCAAGACCCCCAGTGGATGCCTAAAACCATGGATAGTACTAAACTCTATATATACAATCAGTCCTCTATACGCAGAAGATTGGTTTCAGGACCCCTGCATATACCGAAATCCACACATACTCAAGTCCTATAGTCTGCCCTGCTGAACTCACTTAGAGGAAAAGTCAGGCTCCACATATGTGTGTTTCACTCATCCAGAGAATACTGTATTTTGAATTCGCATATAAGTGGATCCACACAGTTTAAACCCATGGTGTTCGAGGGTCAACTGTACTGCTTTTTTTTGATCTGGTAATCCAGATGGCTGTGAAGTAAATCACAGACAGGGAGCGTACAAAGCACACCTACACTGGACAAAAGGACGATTCGTGTCAGCAGGACAGGAAGAGACTTCATCACACTATTCAGAATGGCATACAACTTAAAGTTTATAAATTGTTCTGGAACTTTCCATTTAATATTTTTGGACAGGGGTTGACAGCAGGTAACTGAAACCAAAGAGAGCAAAACAGTGGATAAAAGGGGGATAAGGCGGGGACTACTGTATATAAAACAAAATTAGCAAAAGTTGATAATTGAAGCTGAGTGATGAATATATCACTATCTTTGTGTGTGGTATATTTTTAAATTGTCCACAATAAATTGTTTAAAATAAAAATAAAACAACAGATTCACAGATATCTCCCTTATTTATCTATTGACAAAGCCAAATATAGCTCCTCTAAATTCCCATTATTTGTCTCACAAATGATTAGTTGAACCACTAGTCCCTCTGATCAATCAGTACAAAACACTCATAAACCACACTTTGGTTAATATTCTCTCCTTTCCCCAGCTCTCTGGCCTTTGGTCCAACCTCAACCTGAGCCAATATGTGGTTCCTCCTTAAGGGCCACCCCAGGAAAATAGGATGGCCTCATGGTCATCTGATCATGCCACCCTTTCTTCCCACTTCCCTGTACCCAGTTCTTTCTAGCCTTTTTACTCCTTTCTGTAAAAGAAAAGTTATTTTTGCCTATGCCTTGAGTTGTTTGCAGGTCTTATGACCATGAGTTCTCTTTATTGCAATAATCTCCCTGGCCCTATTGCAATAATGCTTCTGAATAAAGTCTCTACTTACTAAGTTTTTTTCTTTCTTATGTAATAAGGTGAGAAAATAGCATATGTAGGTAACTCTCAAAATCCCTTTCTGTGAAGTAGCATTTGAATGAAGATGCAAACCTGGGAGAATCTGGGTTGAAGAGGTGCTAAATTGAGCAGAAACCAGCAGGGTGGCAGAGCCTGGAAGAAAGGGACTAACGCATCCCCATCATCACAGACTCATATTGGGATTGGTAAGCAGAGGTGAGAGTGGATTGTGGAATAGATGAGAGCCAAGAACTTTGGCTTCTGTTTTCCTGCTGTCATTCAACAGCATTGAGGAAAAAATGGTGATATCTTACAGAAACCCAGCCAGGAGTTTGCCCAATCATGGCAGTCATGAGTAGCAGGAAGGAGGATACTATGCCAAGTTTAACCTGTCCTTGGCTCAGTGACATCTGGAAATCTGGCCAGACAGAAGTCCAGGCATACAGGGTTAGCCCACAGAGAGGCTGCCTCACCAGGCACAGGGAAAACACGGGGTGAAGACAACATTCCTTTTGGGGTGATCATATTGATGGATCTTTTGTTTATGATGTTGGGTGAGTCCAAGCCATTTGGTGACCAGTGAAAAAAACTAATGAATACTTACATGCATGGTTTATGAGCAAGTGCTAGAGCTACATAGACATAAAATCAATCAAAGGTGAACAAAAACAAATACACACACACACACACACACCCCCTACGGCCTGCCTGCTTTGCTGGCCTCAAGTTCTATAAGACACTCCTGCTACTATATAAGCTTCTTCTTTTAAAGTCCACTGCTACAAGTTCACAATGGATCCTATTAGTTACAACGAAGAGTCCTAGATCATGCACAATTCCAACAGTCAAAAAACACTTAGACTCTGAACAACATTGCCTTGGCATTTCTAAAGCAAAACATACCAGAAATATGAAGAAATTGATGGAAACATAATTGTATTGGGAACTTCAATACTTGTTGCTCCACGCTTGACTGATGAAGAACAAATAAATAAGGATATATGTTCCAAATACTAAAAATGATAAGGTACATTTGGGGAGATATATCATACTCTGTGCTCTACACAAGTCACTCTTCCATTAAACCTATTTTTAAGAGACTATTATATGTTGAAAATGTGCTATACAATGGGTTTTCTGAGGGACATAAATAAAGATGTTTCATTCATGGAGCTTCCAGCCTAGTAGAAAAGGTAGTTTTTGGACTTGTAACAAAGAAATATTCAACTATAAATTGGGTTAAGTGCTATAAAGGAATAGTATGGAGTGTGAGGAAATTGAATTTGGAGTGGGAGGGATAGATTCCCTTTAGGTCTGGAGGTCTGGGAAGGGCTTTCTGGAGACAGAGGCCTGTGGCAGGCAAAGGAGCCAGCCAGATGTAAACTAAAAATAAAATCTTAAGTCCCTCAGCCAACTGAACAGGCCCCTTCTTGGCCAAGGGGACCCCAGAGAAACCTTAAAAAGCTCTTAAGTTCAAAGGTGAGTTCTCTCAGCCACGATGGGACAGAAGGTCAGACACACCTCATTACACCCCCACTCTTTTGGAGCTTAGATGCAACAATTGACCAGCATTAATGTTAAAATAGAGATCATAAGATTGATTGAATGGACTCTGTGGCAATAAGATATCAGACCATACCAGGCAAGAGTTAAGTCACATATGCCTACACTTAAAGAATAAACTATGTTCTTGGTGAAACCCCATCTCTACTAAAAATACAAAAAAATTAGCTGAGTGTGGTGGTGCGTGCCTGTAGTCCCAGCTACTCGGGAGGCTGAGGCAGGAGAATCACTTGAACCTGGGAGGCAGAGATTGCAGTGAGCTGAGATCATGCCACTGCACTCCAGCCTGGTGACAGAGCAAGACTCCATCTCAAAAAAAGAAAAAAAGAAAAAAGAAGAAACTATGTTCTAACTGCCACTAGGTTTGTCTTTTTCTCTAGCAGCTAAACAAGCCCTGGCTTTGAGATAAGCAATGTTTAAACAATTGCAGCTCATTGCCAGATGCTAACTAACTGACCACCCCGCCCCTTCCACAAGCCATAACTACAGTTTTGATTGGACAAGGGACTGATTTCAGTAACTCTCTCTTGGTAAGAGACCACCAATCACGGACTGGTTCTCACCTGTTTACAGAGGCTGCGCACTGAGTTCCTTTGTGTCCCTTCTTCACCTTTTGGCACGTGGGTCCTAATTGTAATACATTTAAATGTTAAGTCCCCACCCCTAAATGAACTTAGGTTGTATGTAACATGCATGTTTTTCAGTATGCATGCATTCATGAATATCCATAACTTCTGCAATCTAATAAACATGTATACTTAGCCAACCCGTTCAGCATAAATCCTCATTCCATCCTCCCCTCCCCAGAAGGTTACTTTTGGATTTTTTGGCCAAGGCTACACTTTCTGCCTGCAGGTTGTAATTGCCTTATTTAGAAGTAAAGCTCTCCTTTCTACACTTAAAAATTGTGTGGTTTTTAAGTTAACACAGGCAAACACAGCAGAGACTGTTGCAGAAGGGAGACAGCATGTGCTGTGGGTCTGAGATGAAAAAGTGCTTGACATATTCAAGGACCAAATAGAAGGCTATCGCCTCTATGGCTATATCTCAGTAAGCACAGGAAAAGGGGGCCTGTGATCAAGTGAAGGAGAAGAAAAGGGGCCCAATTTTGCAGTGTGTTTAGGTCTCGGTTCTGTCCTTAGAGCAGAAGCAAATGGAGAGCATTCAGCCTCCTGGGGGGGGATGCAAGCTGGTTGATTTATTTAAATCACCTGGCTGGCCAGTGGAGCATGGTTTGGAAAGGACCAAAGTAGTGGTGAGGGGGCAATTCTGGTGGCTGCTTAAAAGAGGTGGGGGCAGCAGAGGTGGAAACAAAGAGGCTGATGTGAAATATATTTTTGGTAGATTTGGCAGGTTTTGGTAATAAGTTGGATTTAAGTAGTATTGGAAAGGGAACAATTGTAAACACCTTTAAGAGAAATAAATATTTTATTGAAGACTTTATGGAGCACTTACAAAACTGTATCATATATCCAGTCACTAAAGAAAACTCAATAAATTATCCCAATCAGAAATGCACAAGCCATGGTCTCCGACTACTCAATAAAATAAAAATAAATCACCACATGAATATATCAATTCTAATACACCATACAATAAAAACTTCATTCAGAGACAATATTATAAACATAAACGATTTCATTAATAAACCAAAAACAAGGAAAATAAATTAAATTATTCCTTGAATTCAAATTAAAAAAAGGACAACATTCTAGAGAAAGTAAGAGAGGAATTAATAATATCCAGGAAAGAAATGTAGACTGGATAAATAATTGAAGAAACTGATTCTTTGAAAACAAAAACTTAAAAAATAGACAGTTTTATAATGTCTAATCAAATGCAACAAAGAGAAAAGAGAACTACTAGAATTTACAATAACAAATGCTGGTGGGATCTGATACCTGAAGGCAGACAGTTCTTAGAGAGAATGAACTTTGGATCATACAGAATTCTGTTTTATTTCTTGCCAGGTGGTCCACATTAGGAATTCCTAGCATTGATTTCAGGCAGAGACCTCAGTTAGACTTGCAGAGATATTTTATACAATACTTCTGGGAGTTTAAGAGGAATCCAGCATATTATTAATATTTATTTTACAATACCTTATCTCTTAGGATGAAGAGGGGGGTGGAAGGATGGGATATTCTATGGACTGCATGTTCCTGTACTCCCAAAATTCATATATTGAAACCCTAGCCCCAGTAGTATATTTGGAGGTGGAGACTTTGGGAGATAATTAGGTCATGAGCCCCATGATGAGGTTAGTGTGCTTATAAGAAGAGCACTAGCCCACTCTCTTTCCACCTCCATGATGTGAGGATACAACCTCACAAGAGGGTCTTCACTGGAATCCAACCATGCTGGCACACTGATCTTGGGCTTCCAGCCTCCAGAACTATGGAAACAAATTTCTGTTGTTTATAAGCTCCCCAGCCTATGGTACTTTGTTACAGTGGCCCAAACTAAAACAGGCATCATCATCGTGATCAGAGCTTATACTTACTGATTCTCACTGATGGCTTGCTATGTGTGGAACACATTAAGGGCTCTACAGGTATCATGTCATTTAATCTTCGCTATGACACTGCAACATATATCTTGTTATCCCCACTTTAACAAATGAGGAAAATAATATTTTTGTGTTAGAAAGTATAAAAGAAATTTTAATAAACACTGAAGCAAACTGTGTTTTCGAATAAGATCATTGTAAGTAGTGATAATGTCAGTTCTCCCTCAAATTGATGCACAGGTCTAATAAAATTTCAATCAAAATCCTAATAGTATCTTTTAATCATAGGAAATTTACATTTTATACCGAAAAATAATGAGTGAATACAGCCAAGAATTTTTTTAATAAAAGAAAAACTAAAAGTATTTTTTCTCTAAAAAATATCAAATCAAGCCTGAAAGCCACCGAAAACCTAACGCAGGAAGAAAATACTCTGGGATAAATGAGATGTTAGCGTATAATAAAGGAGTTACTTCAAATCAATGTGAAAATGATGAATTGTTTAAAAATGGTGCTGGGGCAATTAGTTTTATGTTCTAGAAGACAAAGGAGCATGGATGACTGACCAAATGAACCAATAGATCAACATATTCTATCAGTTTGGAATGATTAGCTACCCTTGAAGGGGAGCATGTTCTGAAACACTGACTGACAGCATTAAATTATTTCAGATGTAATTATCCTTGTTTATTTATTTCTTCCTGAGTTGAAAGAAAGGGAAAAATGTGGAAATCTCAAGGTTTTATAACACATTTTACCTCACTGTCTCCCCTTTCCCTAATGAGGACTGGAAATTTTTTTGAGTATCTACTGACCCTTCAGCACCTTTGGAAATATGCCAAGCACATAAATGAAAACAATGGAGAAAAACAGAAAACAGAATTGTTAGCAACACATTCAGGAGAAGGCATAGCTCAGTAAGAGATGGACCGGCAGTAACAGAGGAATTGGAAATGTGCAGGATCTTTATATGCAGCAAAGAAAGAGAAGAGAGAGCATGCAGGAGGGAAGGGGTAGAAAGGAAGGAAGGAATGAGGGCAGAAAAGCAGAGGATGAATCTGAGAGACTGGAACACGGAGCACACCTAGGGGAGTAACAGAGAACAGTGAGATCGTGGTGAAGGGAAGAGAAGGCTTAACTGTGAGTCAGAGGGGTTAGATGTGCTAGGAGCCAGTGGGAGGTTTGGAAGAAGCGAGTAACCCAGCAAGATAGTGGCATTAAAGGAAGACATCCCTGGCATGATGATGGAGAGGGAGAGTGAGAAAATAAAATCCAGGGGCCTGGCATGAAGGCTAACGCTATAATCCACGTGTGAAGTGACAACCTTAAGGCAAAAGCCTGACAAATGTGGCAGGCACTTTGAAGTAGCCATCATGAGGACAGACTGGAGTGATGTCACAGTTCTGTTAAACACCAAGAGCAGCATCAAATGCAGGATCTAGGTTAGGATCCAGTAGACAGATGGTCTCTTTCCATCAGAGTGTCCCAATGCAGCTTTTTCCCAAAGGGAAAAATAAAAACCACTCCTCACCAGAGCCCTTCCTTCACCCACACCCCAGGATCGTTCTCATTTGGCTCATTGTCTTATCAAGGGGTCTTAATCCAATGTCCACCTTCATGTATCATAAAACAATAAATGTTATGTGTGTACTATTTTCCCAAGAAAGTTGAAAGTCTTAGACTGTTTATTTTTTTCCCACCATAATCAGAGGCAGCTTGGAAAAATAGAAGTAAATTAGGCTTGAATTCTCATGTTAGTTCTAACACTGAACACTTATGTACTTCTGAGAGAGTAACTTCTCTGGGTCTCAAGTTCTTCACCTGTAAAAAGGGATATTGTTTCCTGAATTTCAGGGTTACTATGAAATAAATGTGTGTGTGTGTGTCTATCTATCTGTCTATCTTGCCAAATTAGTGTCAAAACCTATACATACACAATAATAAATCAAGAGGTATATTATTAACAATTATAAACACTATGCTTTTGAAGGTTGGGACAATATTCTCCAAATAATAATGGTTTCCTTCTGAAAACCTGTTAATAAAAACAGCCCTTATAACAAATACATACAAACAATTGGTTACTGTTACCTTAATGTAGTGGGACTAAGGCCATACTTTTATTAAGTAAACGCCTCTCTAAGAGTGGCACTGCCAAGTACAACCACTCTCCAGGACAGTTTGATGAAATAGTTTGCTGTAATTAGTTTTCCCAGGGGAAAAATGAATTTAAAAATCTCATCAGGTGTTAGGGTTCTGCAGCTTCTCCAGCTGATTAAAATTCCATTATTTATTTTGTACATCTGGATGGTAAATGGAAGCATCCCTAGCATTGGTTTCTCCAAGCTGTCTCCAAACAGGTTCAATAAGAGGATTAGGAGTTTAAATAGGTTTCCAACTGTTAAAAGTAGTTTTCTCATTTTTCATGTTGACATTCTCAAAACCAATTTGTCTTCTTGATGTTCTGGCTTACCGCTCCCTCTGGAATGGAAGCCTATCTCCAATAGGAGGAAGAAGAGACTGTACTCTGTGACCTTCTGTGAAGGGACTCAGTGATCTCCAGTACATTGACCCACTGGATACTTAGTAAGTACCTACTATATGCTCAGAAATGGAATCAGCACTAAAGAGAATCCAAAGACGTGTGTTGTCATTTTGTTAGAGAAAGCAGAGTTCAGCGTGAAACACTGAGCTTTATTATAAGAAACAAAGTAAGAGAAATTTAAATGTTTTATGGTATATTGTAAGAGATAGAACAATGTTGCAGCAATTCAGAGGAGAAAAAGAAATGCTAAGATATAGAAAAATAGTTCCCAACACCAGTTACCCATTTGAATCATTCAGGAAGCTCTTAAAACTCCCAATACCCAGGCCATACACCAAACCAATTAAATCAGAAGCTCTAGCGATGGGATTCGGCTATATATATGCATTTTAAATCTACCAAGGTGATTCCAATGTGCAGGCAAAATTGAAAACCACTAATATAGGCAGAATAGTCTTCCCACTTCACACTTCCACCAACATTCTGTTCATAACCATTTAAGTAATTGCTAAAAATGGGGCTTTCCCTAAAGTTCTTATCTTCTGAGAACTCACAAGAATCATCCTCAATGCCTTTTTCATGGCAATACAGGCTTTTTCCAGCATTTACTTCAATCTGTTCCAGTCTCTGCCCATTATCAAGTTCCAAAGCTGCCTCCACATTGTTAGGTATTTGTTATAACGACGCCCACTTCTCTGGTACCAATTTCTGTTTTAGTCTCCTTCTGCTGTAGTGAAAGCGATAGAATATCACAGACTGGGTAATTCATAAAGAACAGAGATTTATTTCTTGCAGCTCTAGAGGGAGGCTGGGAAGTTCAAGGTCAAGGTGCTGCAGGTTTCTGCTTCCAAGATGGTGCCCTGAACGCTGCATCCTCCTGAAAGGAGCAATGCATCATCCTCACATAGCAGAAGGCAGAAAGACAAAAAAAGGAACAAAATCCCTCTGTCAAGCCCTTTTATAACAGCATTAATCCATTCATGAAGACTAAGCCCTTATGACATAAATCCCTGCCAAATATCCCCACCTCTCAACAGTGTTGCACTGGGGATTAAATTTCAACATAAATTTTTAGAGGGGACAAAAACATTCAAACCATAAAAGCACATCCCCATCTCCCCATTTTGCATGAGTTCCCTTACCCTGTGAACACCTATATAAAAAGTCCTTTCTTTAAACTTTTCAATAAGCCTGGGCCATTGTTTCCCATTAGCACCCTGACTACTGCAACTGCTAATCTCCATTTCACTTTGGGCCATATAGATCCTATGATGTCACTATACTTCTCATTATACTTCCCAGATAATAAAATTCTTCTCTTTATAATACAATTGATTCTTGACATGATACAGTAACCTTTTCATTTAGAATGCTAGTTCTACTCTGTTTATAAAAATTAGGAAAAATGCAGACATCTATAACTAACTTTCCAGCATATTTAGTGTAGTCTCTTGATCTTTTTTCTAAATACCTAAAGGGTCAACTACATAAGAAAAACTTAATTTTTTTTTAATTAAGCATTTGAAGCTTTTGTCCTCCAACTGAAAATTCTGTTAAATTTCTTAATGCAAGGACTCCAGGTAGAAAGGGGAATAATCAGTTGCATTCTTTTCCATGCTGGGAGGCTGTGAGCCTCCAGGAAGAGTGGAGCCTGCAAGAACTCCCAAGGCCATGACTTTCCCCTGCCCTTACCAAACTTCAGCCCCACTAGACTGTTTTGACTCCTCAGATGGGCTAATCTTTGTTTCAATTTTGGAATGAACTAGTTCTTCTGCACAAAATCCTCTTCACCCCAACCTCTAATCCCCTCAATTCAGTAACTCCTACCTATTTATTCTTCAGTTCTCAACTAAAAAAACAGAAGGTGAATGGATGAGCATTAATGATAGCTCCCTTCAATGATAGTCTCTTTTCCCAGCTACAGTATTGTATTTGTTTCAGGATAAAATGCTTTTGTTTATGTGTCTCACTTTATGCTAAAAATGCTTAAAGTTTATTAATTAAACTTAAATCATGACTGAATAATAATTGAAATATAATTACTTAGTTATAATATATTTAGTTTCTTTGGGCCTGTTATCTCTTTTGGGAACTGAGATCATATCTGGTTTTTTCTTCTCTCTCATAACATGATTAAGGTCAAGTGCCATGAAATATGCGTCAGCACTCTGTGAATATAATGGGCTTCAATAATCATTTTTTATTATCTAGACAGTATACTCTGACACGTCTCCAAAACCCAGCCTGACATTCCTAGGAGCTCAAAAACGTGAACTTGTAAATTAAGTACTTTCGGACTGTAAAAGGGCTTTCCTCCTCATGTATTCATTTATTAATTTACTAAGCAACTACTATGGAATAGTCTCTGTGAGAAATGCTGAAACTATTAAGTTCAAGTATGCTTGTGCTTGACAGCCCACCGTCTGGGAGAGACAGACATAAGCACAGGTAAGTGCTCTAAAGTTCTCCACTACAGAGAAGCATAGAGGGAGCTATGTCAGTGCACTCCATGAGGAGAGATGTGAGTAGAGTTTTTAATAATGGAAATATTTATAGAAATGTGGGCAGGGTTAAGAACATCTGCAGGGATGTTGAGGACCAACCGTTACCATGCTAAGTTTAAAGGATGAAGGAGAAAAAACAATATAACTGGAGCCCATTTGAGAGCTAGAGAAAGGAAGCTTCCTCTACAACTATGGCCTTTGTCAACTGGCCTTTCTTCCAAGAAGGAAGGATTTGAGACTCACCCTAATCCAGTATGACCTCATCATAATGAATTACATCTACAAAAACTGTTTCAATATTAGGCCCATGAAGAAAGGCCAATTGACAAAGGCCGTAGGAGGTCAGCATTTGGTTCAGGAGCTGCTGGCTGGCCAGAATTCTTAGTGGGAAAAGGTGAAGAAAACCTGATATCTCTGGGAGAGTGAGTCTGAGGTGGTCTGAGTGTTCAATTTGAGAGTAACTCAAATAGAAAGGACGTCATGAAGTCATTTTCAAAAGACAGAAAAGGATGGTGTTCCTAGGGGTCAAAGAGGGGTCCAGGTGAGGATGCCAGTCTAAAGAGGGCTAGTAAAGATAGATTTTTCCCTAAATAGATTAAATCTAGCCAGAAAAATTACCATCTGTCTGTAAGAAAGTAAGAAATAGGAGGACCCTCTGCCAGGAACTGCAGTTTTCAGAAGAACTCCGTAGTATCAATTTTCCTGGGCTTAGGAAAAATGCCCTGACTTTAAAATGTTGAACTATAGGCTAATATGCAGCAACCAGAAAAAAAAGAAGAGTCAGGGAGCACAGTGGGAAAACTGGCACATCCCAGAGCTCAGACAAGGACAACATCACCAGAGCGGGGTAAAGGGATCTCATCAAGCACAGACAGAGGTACAGATAGGTCTCCTTGGATTTTTTTCTCCCTTGTAACTAGCCAAACAGCCCCATTTGATACAATAGGGATCAAACAATATTATATTCATTGACTGCATTTCTCTAGCAATGCTTAGATGGAAAGTATGAGGTTGCATATAGACCAGAGTACATTTATTAGACTTACATGATAAATTCATTTCCCAGTATTTCATGCCTCCATAGCAAGAATGACATATAAGAAGTTCCAAACTGTATTCCTTGGAGCCTAGACCTTGCCCTGCGGGGTGGGGGACAGGGGGATAGAGGGCAATATTCAGGTAGGGTCGAAGTGAGGAATGGGTTTATATGTGAGATTTTCTGTTAATAAATGGTTCTGCAGTGACACATATTTTGAGATGCTAATCACAAAAGATAGTTCTAACACCACCTCTGCCTCTGGCAATTCTGTAACCACAGATGACTCATTTTACTTCTTTGTAAAACTCACATTTCATTTAGAAAAGGTGCAATAATTAAATAGTGATGAGAACACTTCATGAAGGTAACAGTATTACCTGAATACCAAGCAGTATTGCTAACATGAGCAGCAGCATCATTATCATCATCATCATCACCATTGATGATCACTTTGGCCTGCAAGGCTTATCTTTCTTTGGCAGCCCTTCGTAACCTCACTACTTTTATTTTTCCATTACTCCTTTTTCCAGACCTTCAGTTCCAGTTCACATAACTGTAGTCTATTCACATACCCACTTTCACATTTATTTGCTGGTTTACTTACTGTTTGTCACCAGACTGTAGTATCCAGAACCATGTCAGTTTTTCTCCTCTGCTGCATATTCAGTTTAGCTATGCCAAAACACAGTAGATGCTAAACAAGAATTTGCTGAATAAATTGATGAATGTATTATGATCTTGGAGTGGACACTTTAGTGCCAATTTCTAGGTTAGTGATCTTGAAACTCAAACCACAGAAAACATACTTGAATTTCTGATGCTCTGAATGACACTGTGACATTTTGAAAGACCTTCAGTTACCAAAATAAACCACCGTAACTGACTATCAAAAATAAGAATGGTCCACTGAATGGTTTTCCAGTATTCAATCTCTCCTCTAGTGCATTCTCCTGTCTGCCACTAAAGATAATCCCCTAAATGAAAAGGTTGACCTTGCCATTCTTAAAATCCTGTGTGCCAGGTACTCATTTATTTATTTATTCATCCATTTATTCCTCAAATATTTATTAGGAAAATGAATGAAAAACACGTAAGAAGAAAGAAGAAATGAGGGAGAAGAAGCCACAAAGACAAGCCCTGAAGTACAGTTTCTTAGAGTATTAGAGCTATATGGATGCAGACTTTCAGACTAACCAGCTTAGACAGGGTGTCACTAAGGTAAGACTTTAAGAAAAAAGCCATGAAATTAAATAAGTACATCTAGACAAGGCCATATGAGGTTACCTCTCCTGACAGTTAGATCAGCCAACTGAGCTATAGTCTGACTGCACAATGAACAGGAGCCCAGAAGGTATTTTTCATGAAGGACCATTACTTTTGGAATTTTCAAATTGTTGATATAAAGGAATTCAGATTTATCGCAGTCAGTTGAGACACTAGCCTTTATGTTTTACAATGAATGAATAATTAAATGCTGGTCCTGGTTAAAAAAAAAATACAGAGGATGAAGGGCTAATCAGAAGTGATCAGAGGTCAGGTCTAAAAATGGAAATCAAAGGGACATGAAATAAAAAGTTGTGTAAGGAAGGGGATAAAATAAAATGTGAAGCCAGCAGTTCTTACTTTTAGATCATTCACTTACTAATGGAATAACGTTGGATACATGGCTAAACCTGAAATTTGGGTTTCTCCTCTACACAGTGGAGGTCATCGCATGTCCCTAGCATACATTCTCCTGGTTGTTGGAGGAAAGGATGAGATAATGTATGTATAAAAGCCTTTTGTGAACAATAATTTTACCTTCGAGGCATACCTTTTATAACAGGTTTATTGAAATATCATGCACATATTATACAAATGACCTTTCTAATGTGCACAATGTAATAGTTTTTAGTACAAAGAGTTGTGCAGCCATTACCACAATTGATTTTAGAAGATTTCAACACTTAAAAAAGAAGTTCATAACCATTAGCAGACATTCTCCAACTCTTCCTGCAACACACACAAACACACACCACCCCATCTCCAGACCTAGGCAACACTAATCTGCTTCCTGTTACCAGAGATTAGCCTGACCTGAATATTTCATATAAATGGAGTCATACAATATATGGTCTTTTGTGACTAGCTCCTAGCATAGTTTTCAAAGTTCATTCATGTTTTAGCATGTATCAATACTTCATTCCTTTGGATTATCTAATAGTATTCTTTTGTATGGATATACTACATTTTCTTTAGCCATTCATCAGTGATAGACATTTGCTTTGTTTCCATGCACTCTTGGCTATTATGAATAATGCAGCTATGGATCTTTGTGTACAAGTTTTTGTGTGGACTTATATTTTAATTTCCCTTGAGTTTATACTTAGCAGTGATATTGCTGGGTCATATGCTAAATCTATGTTTAACATTTTGAAGAACTGCCAATCTCTTTTCCAAGCAACTTCTCTAATATAGTTTGGATATTTGTCCCTGCTGAAAACTCATATTGAATTTTAATTCCCAGTGCTGGAGGTGGGGCCTTATGGGAGGTGTTTGGGTCATGGGGGTGGATCCTTCATGGCTTGGTGAGGTCTTTGTGATAGTGAGTTCTCTGGAGATGTGGTCATTTAAAAGTGTGTGGCACCTCCCCTCCCATTCTCTCTCTCTTGCTTCTGCTCTGGCCATGTGACGTGCCTTCTCCCCCTTCGCCCTCCACCATGATTGTAAGCTTCCTAAGGCTCCCTAGAAGCCAAGCAGATACCAGCACCATGCTTTCTGTAAAGCCTGCAAAACTGTGAGCCAATTAAACCTCTTCTGTTTATAAATTACAAAGTCTCAGGGATTTCTTTATAGCAATGTAAAAAGGGCCTAATACATGCACCTTACATTCACACACCAGCATGTAAGAGGGATTCCATTCTTTCACATCCTTACCAACAATTTTTACTACCTTTATTTTTTGTTATGATCATCTTAGTTTGTATGCAGTGTTACGTTATGATGGTTTTTATTCGCATTTCAGAACTACTAACTGCCCGTAACATCTTTTCATGTGTCTATTGACCATTTGTAAACCTTCTTTGGAGAAATATCTACTCAAATGTCCTACCCATTTTTTAATTGAGTTATTCATCTTCTAAAAATTCTTCACATAATTTAAATACTAGACCATATATGATTTGAAAATTTTTTCCCATTTTGTGGATTATGTTTGAACTTTATTGATGGTGTCCTTGGAAGCATAAAAGTTTCTAATTTTGAGGAAGTCTAATCCATCTATTTTCTTTGTTTGGTCAGTTGTAATTTTGGTGTCATATAAGAAGGCTTTGCCAAACCTGAGCATGAAGATATTTTCTTCTAAGATTTTTATAATTTTAGCTCTTACATTTAGGTCTTTGATTCATTTTGAGTTAAGTTTTGAGTATAGAGTGAAGAAGGGGTCCAACTTCATTCTTTTACATGTGAATAGTTGGTTGTCCTAGCCTCATCTGTTGAAAAAAAATATTCTTTCTCCAGTTAATTGTTTTGGCAACTTTGTCGAAACGTGATACATTGTAATAGCCAAGATTTGGAAAGAACCTAAATATTTATTGATGGGTGAATGGACTTTTTAAAATGTGGCATATCAATATAATGGAATATTATTCAGCATCAGAAAAGAAAACCCCGCAATATGTAACAACATGGATGAACCTTGAAGACATTATGCTAAATAAAATATTCCAGTTACACAAGGACAAATACTGTCTGATTCTACTCATATGAGACACCTAGGAGACTCAAATTCATAGAAGTAGAGAGTAGAATAGTGGTTTTCAGGGATGTTATTAATAACAGGGAGTTGTGAGTCAATAGGTATAAAGTTTGAGTTATATAAGATTAATAAATTCTAGAGATCCCCTGGGTATCATGCCTATAATTAACAATACTGTACCATACACATAAAAATTTGTTTAAATGGTAGATTTCATGTTAAATGTTGTCACTACAATTTATAAAATGTGATCAATCCATTTGTAGGAGTTTACTCCTGGATTCTCAGTTTTACTCTATTGATCTCCCTGTCTATTTTTATGTCAATCCCACACTGTCTTTATTACTATAGCTTTGTAGTAAGTTTTGAAATTGGAAAATGTTAGTCTTCCAACTTCATACTTCTTTTTCAACATTGCTTTGGCTATTCTAGGTCCCTTATTCCATATAAATTTTATAATCAGCTCATTAATTTCTGCAAAAATGATAGCTAGGACTTTGATAGGGATTGTATTGAATCTGTGGATCAATTTAGGGAGGATTGCTATCTTAACAATATTAAGTGTTTGATCCATGAACATAAGAAGCTGTAGCCTTTACGTAGGCTTCTTTAATTTTATATAATAGTGGTTTGTAGTTTTCAGAGTACAAGTCTTACACTTGTTTTATTAAATTTGTTCTTAAGTATTTAATTCTTATGCTATTATAAATTGAATTATTTTTAAATTTTTATTAAGAGTATTCATTGCAAGTGTATACAAATACAGTTGATCTTTGTATATTGATCTTGTATGCTACCACATTGTTGAACTTGTTAGATTACTTTGTAGTTTAAGATTACTAGTAGTTTAGATTACTTAGGATTTTCTGTGTACAAGACTGTGTCATCCTCAAACAGTGATAATTTTCCTCCTTCCTTTCCAGTCTATATGCTTTTCTTTCCTTTTTCTTGCCTAAATGCTCTGTCTAGAAACTCCAGTACAAAGTTAAATAGGAGTGATAAGAAATGACATTATTATCTTCTTCCTAATTTTAAGATAAATGCATCTAGTCTTTCACAAGAATCATGTAAGCTGTAGGGTTCTTTTTGTAGATGCCTTTTATCAGGTTGAGGACATTCCCTTCTATTCCTAGCTTTTTGAGTGTCTTATTATAAAAAGGTATTGAACTTTGTCAAAGCTTTTTCTATGGCTTTTGAGATGACTATGTTGGTTTTGTCTTTTATTCTATTAGTAAGGTTTATTACATTTTTTTATTTTTAAATGTTAAATACCCTTGCATTCTTGGGATAAATTCCACTTAGTAATGGTGGAATTATAATCATGTTTATATATTGCTAGATTCTGTTTGCTAGTAATTTGTTGAGCATTTTATTAGTATATTTTTAAGAGATATTGGTCTGTAGTTTTATTTTCTTGCAATTTCTTTGTCTGGTTTTTGTATCACAATACAACATCTCATAGAATGGGTTGAGAAATTTTGCAACCTCTTCTATCTTTGGGAAAACCATGTGAATAATTGGCATTAATTATTATTCAAATGTTTGTTAGAATTTACCAATAAAGCCATTTTGGCCTAGGTCTGTCTTTGTGAAAGATGATTTTTAGGTGAATATTTTTGTCCATCTGTCATGTATTTTGATGTATGCATATTACAGGATAGTTATCCATTCTTGTTCCTAACTAGTTCTCTTAATTCCACTGATTGAAATGAGTCATATGATTCTACTGGCCCTAAATAAGAATTATGCCATTTTTGATATGTTCTGAATTGATAGTTAGAATTTGTCTCTTCTAGGATTTTTTCTTTTATTCAGCTTATTGATTCCATGCTCTTTTCATTATTTTATCTTTAAAATAAATTTTAATGCCTTATGTCTCCCCTCATTTTTCATCTAACAAATATTTATTGAGTGTCGATTATTAGCTAAGCACGTGCAATGAAAACTCAGCAGTAAACAGAACTGGTAAAACCCCTTGCCCCGAATGAGTTTACAAAAATAAAATATAATAGTATGCTGAAACTATGGTAATGACTACAGAGAAAAATAGTGATTGATGTCTGAGGGAAGAGGCTTGAAATATTATATAGGATATACAAGAAATAGCTCACTGAAAAGATAATATATGGGGTAAATAAAAAAAGATGTCAGAAGGTAAACTACATAGATATTTGGAGTCAAAGCATTCCAGGAAGCAATAACAGCAAGTGCAAAGGCGCTGAGGCTGGAATGTACAGGGTGCCTGTGGAGAGCACCCAGGAAAACAGTGTTTCTACATTAAGTACATTAAGTGAGCGGTGGAGGAGCAGGAGATGAGGAAGTATCATAACAAGGTTCAGATCATGTAGGTCACTGAAGGCCATCACGATAATTTTGCCTTTACTTGCTAAAAGGTAGAAAGCCATTGAAAGATTTTGATTAGGAGGGTGACATGATCTAGCTTGCATTTTGATAGGAATACATTGGAAGCTGTGCTGAGAACAGATTGAAAGGAGAAAGGATCAAAGTATAAGGTTTATTACAAGGCTACTGCAATGATCCACATGAGGAACCTTGAGCGCTTGGACCAAAGAAGGTGGAAATAAGTGACTGGATCTTGAGTATGTTTAGAATGTAGTATCTCATTACTCCAAATGAAACTGAGAATTGTTTTAGAACTTCCTCTATACCACATCTAAAATGTGATTGAGATTTTTACTAGTAGTCTACTAATGTACCAAATTGGAAGTAAGCCACTGAGTTTATAGATTAACTTCCAGGACATCTGTTACAATATGGTTTCTCTTGCATGAGCATTTGTCCCCGTCTTCTTTTATGCACCATGGTGAAAGTTTGCTGTTTTACTTATGCAGGTCCTATACACTTTTTTAAGATCATTTTTAGCAGAAGGGTGTATGTGTGTATTTGTTAACCGGTTATGGTTTATCTAGAGAAAAACTATTGACTTTCGTGTATTTATTTTATAACAGACCATTTAATTCAATTATTTTATCAGTTGTAATGATTTTCCAAAGTTTTTCAGTTTAATCTTCATATACTGAGACATGTATTTACTAAATATTTACATCTATTTACTAAAGATGACTTTAAAGATGACTTTAAAGATGACTAAATATTAGTCATCTTAGTTCTCTACCTGGGTGGTGAGTTTTGCTTGGTAAAAGTGATTTTGAATGAATCTTAACATGGGCAGTGGAGGGTGGATCTCAGTGTTGCATGTCAGTGGGACTCCAGGTGTTGAGCAGCAGCTTGCAAACACCAGGTACTCATGATGTGGGCGTGGGTATGAGGGCATGTGTGGGGAAGAGGGAGGGATGGAACAGAAGTAAGTGATAATGAAGGGTGATGACATGAGAACTTAGAAAGACACTTAAAGCAAGCTTGGGTTCACTTGGGTTGACTTATAAAGGAACTTGGAATTTACCTAGGCTGACAGCCATACTTCGTCTATGAGGAAAATAAGGTCCAAAGAACAGAAGAGAATTTTCCAAGGCCACACAGTAAATAGCTCAGCCTGGGCTAGAATATAACCCAGGTCTCTTCACACTCTCACTTCACTGAATGGGGACAAACCTCACAGGGGAGGAGCCAAGTTAGCAAAAAGTCAAGAAGCAATAGAATGTCATTGGCCCCACTCCATCACCTTTAGTTGAGGAGGGAATAGAACACCTTATGTTCCCCACATCTCCACAGGGTGTTGGATCGGAGACAGGAAGAGATTAAGGACAGTATACTAAGCCATCAAGTACTTACCTTTCTCCAAGTAAATTATTGGACTTTGGAGAAATCCACTTATTTCCTGTGCTTCAGCTATTATCACCTTAAAATATATAGGGCCCATTTAGATTGTAGGCTATATCCAGCCCACAGATGTGCTTTGATTTTTCTGTGTTTGAAAACAACTTTAATTGTTTGATAGCATTTAGAAGTCAAAAAATTTACATAAAATCTGGATTTCTGGCTTTTCCTAAAAACTGTGAAGATCTTGCAACACTGGCCCAACTTACTGCATGGTACCAATTGTGTGTGTGGAGAAGTACCACCCACTGTCTGCCGTTATCCCCACTTACTCACTTATTTAGGTGGCCCACCTTGCCCCTGTGAGCTTCTCTAACATGATCTCACAATCTTCCTAGCTCTGATGTTCTGTGAGTCTGTTAAGTTCTGATTCTTGGCATGGTCTTGGCAAACACATCTCAAGCAAAATTAATCCACATGTCTGTCCCTTCAAATACCTTCTCCTCTAAGTTGTCTCAGACTCAGCTGATTTCTCCATTTCCCTATTGTACACCTTTGTACACCTCCTTTTCTGAAAGCCTGGGTGCTGGGTCTTGGCAGTATAGTTCCAGACCCTATGCCTGTCATGTGGATGTTCTCTATTTCTGCCCTAAGCTAAGTGGCCTGGATTCTGCCCAGCATGGCTTAGGAAGGAGGATGTGACAGACCCAGGTTCCCTGGCTCTCTTCCAGAACAAATGCCTCTGTTCTCTCTTTATACATTCATTTCACAAACTCCAAGGCAATAAATGAATCCACAACAAATGGTGGCCATTGTGTATCTAAAGAAAGAGGCAGGTGTTGACATTGGCTGCTCTGCTAGTTAGCGGCTCTTGCAGTGGCAGAGAAAAAATAAGCAAATAGAAGCCAGTATAAATTGACAGCACCCCAGGAACAGTCTGTCCAGGGTGCAGCTGGGGGAAAGTGAGATGACTTAGAAGTAGGAAGGCAGGAAGAAGTCATGCTGAAACCAATATTAGAGTCCCAAGAGCATTGTCAATTATTACAAACAGTCTGAAAAGGTGTAAGAGTCTTAGGAGCAGCCAGGCCAAAGCAGGAGAGCAGAAAACACATCCATCAAAGCACTTTTCACAGTGAGAGGGAATATGGTTATTGAATAGAGTCTACAATGATGTAACAGACTATGAGAAGCAAAGGTCAGTCATAAAGCTAAGACACATGAAGTAGGCACAACTTAGGGCCACCTAAAAAACAGGTTGGGCTCTCAACTAAAGCCCCAGGGTCACAGGTCCTCTATGGGAAACTGACAGAGGTGCCAAATGGCCTAATCCTCCCAAAAATCTAAATCCAGCTAGAAGAATGGTTGGTTAGGCAGACTCAATGGGCCTGGGCACATGGGCAGAGTTAGAGCCTGCTGTCATCAACCCAGAGCTCCTCACCTCCAAGTCTTTGATCATTAGGGACAGAGTATCCACGACTAGACTTTGTGTGGGCACAACTTGCTGCGGCTGAGCAAGTTGTTGCTACCATCAGAGTCCAAATGGGTTTTCTTTGGTTTGGGAATTTAGTGGGCTTCTCTGTGAGTGATCTTCATGGGCAGCCAGGAGGAGCTGGGGAAAACTGGAGTTCACAGCTGGTAGTTTGCTAAGTTTCCAAGTCCAAGTTCTACAAGGGGGAGCCTACCATCTAAGCTGTAAATCGTAGAGATTGCATCTGTGCCTCCTTAGTCCAGGTTCAGAGAGACACCTTGTATGGTACATGTGAGTTCTCTGGCTCCCTCTGCTCCTGATGGTTCTGTCACCTGTGTGTGCCTGCTAAGCATGGAGCACCAGGAAACAGGAAGCAGGGGAATGAATCATGTTGAACTTGAAGAACGTTGTTTTCAACCCTAATGTTTGTCTTAGGAACCCTCCCACCCTCTAAGAAACAGGCTTGAGCTCTGTTCCTCCCTGATTCATTTCCCAGGGGTAGAGCTACCAGGTAAATGAGCAAAATCAAGGTATAATTTCATAACCCCTTACTTGGAAAACTATGGCCCCATCCTATGTGACAATAGGATGCCAGGTAAGAAAAGATTCAAGGAAAGAAGAGAACTGCCTGAAAGAGGATAAATTCAACAGAATTTATTGAGTGCCCTTTAGGTGTCAGACCCTGTTAGGAGCTTAGGTTACAAAGGTGAATAAGATATGGATTTCCCTTGCCCTTGGGGAGCTCTCAAGGTGTCAGGACAGACAGACATGTGCACATATAATAACAATTTAGTATGATAAGGGCTAAAGGGGAGGTAAGACTTAGCTCTTCCAAGGCAGCGAGGATGGAAGTGAAGGGGAGGCAAAGTGGGAGGTAGAAGCTTTCACAGAGAAAGCTCCATTTGAGATGATCCTTATAATTGAAGGATAAGCTTCTCTGGGAATGACGGAAAAAGAGGAGCATTAGGCATTCCAGGTTAGATGCAAATTCATGTCCAAAGGATCAGAAGTCTGAAAACAGCCCTATGCCAGAGTAAAAAATAGATTATATTTTGTGTGCTGATTGTTGGCAGTTTGATGGCATGGCTAAGCTTCAACTTTGCACAAATTCAGTGACTTCTTTTCTCAAATGTATTATATTCCTAAACGGATTTGATACACATTCCCCTCCAAAACTGTTCATGTCACTGGGCTCTCCTCATGAATAGCAGCACAATCCTCCAATTGCCTAAACGGAACCTGGTTTACCCCTACATCCCCACTTATTTACCGTCATACCCCCAAGTTGTACAATTTTTACCTGCTTCTATCAAGCCTTCCCCTCCTCCTCACAGTCTCTACTGTTATAAATTAAGCTCTGAGCTGCATCTTTACTTGTGTGAATCCCTCCAATAACTTTCTAACTCAACTATGTGTCCAGAGTCTGTGCCAAACTTAATTTTCCCTCTTCATAGAAGCCTGAGTGATGTTCATGAGTTGAAAATCTAGTGTGTCATTCCTAGGCTTAAAATCTTCCTGATCTCACTCTAGTTTTTAGGAGAGATAAACTACAACTCTTCATCACAAAATACCATTCACCATCTGATCTTTCCTCTTTTTCAGCCATCCTCCCCAATTCCTTTTAATGGTAAAAAAAAAAAAAAAAAAATGCTGGAAATGTGATACTCTTTTCATTGTTGTGCCTCCATCTGAAATGCCTTCTATCTTTCATCCTTCAGATAACTCCTAACCCTCCTTCAAAAAGCATCTCAGGTTTCTCCATCTCTAAGAAATCATTCCTGAAAGTACAGCATGCATTGGATATCTTTAGTGCTTGGCCACATTATCCTGCAGTTGATGACTTCATTACTAGACTGTCTTCCCTACAAGGATAGAAGTTGCAGGTCAAGTCCAATCACTTATCAAACTGGATGTCTTCTATACCTGACATGGTGCCTGGACACAGAAGAGCCTAATTGTTGAATGAATGAATAAAATGCTTAAATAAACAAATGGCTCAATCACTTCATCATCAGTCAATCTACTGCTCCCCAAGGTCTCTGACTAAATTCTCTGTTAGTGGAAACTTACCCTGGGACATTTATAAGGAACTTGGAGAGCCAGCTGAATCAAATACAATCAAATTACTAATCAATTAATTCACTTCTCTGTTCTCTAAAATTAGGAGCATGTGAATGAATATGTATGAACATGTGTAATTATAGACACTTATGCACATAAATTACTGGCAGGGCTCCTCGTGTTATGTTCACAGGAGCAAGATGTTTATTTTCACCTGTCTTCATTGTAGAGCTGCTTCTGGAGCATCCTACTCGAAAGCAAAGTGGCTAAACACCCCCCCAATTTTATGACTTATTCATTGCTTGTTCTTTGATATTCTGCTCTAAAAAACATCAGAATTCTCCAGTGACATTCCTAGGTGGGATAGACTTATGGGATAAGAGGAGATGAAATGTGATATTGCTGGCTTTGAAAGTTTTTTCATATCCCCAGGAAGTTTAGTGTTCCTCTCATCGGTCTTCTTTTCAAAGGATTAGTTGGTGGTACTTACCAAGTTCTCCATTCCTTTGGTTTTTAAAAAGAAGAAAGACATTTTTTTCCTTGTGTTATCATGTGGAGAGGCTGAAATTAGTCAATTCTATTTCTAAAAAAGCTCTCAAGACACTCACATCATGTGTTAAACCTCAATGTGGGTCGTTCACTGTGGTTCTGCGTTCATGTTTGTTGTAGTCCCCTGACCACGAGCAAGATTATAGGCAAATCTATCAGACTGATGGTAAGAGTCTCTGCAAACTCTATGTCTTAAATGTCGGGGAAGGATGTCTGTAAAACCTTTGTGGGAAACAATAATGTGAAAAGAACAAGCTTTTGAAACTAAAAAAAAAAGAAAATACTTGTTCAAATATCAGCTCCAATATTTACTAGTTGTATAAACTTGAGCAAATTAATTAATTTTCTGAGCCTCTGCCTTCTAATCTATAATAAGTAATAAGTATTTCATAAACTGGCTAAAAGATTAAACACAATAGCACAAGTAAAACATGCTTTTGCTTTTAAAGATCTAGCAAAATGCCTGATATTTAGTGAGCAACTAGTGATTGTCTTTTCCTCTATCTCAGGTGATGGCTATACTAATAGGGAGTTGTTCAATGGGTACAAAGTTCAAGTTATGCTAGATAAATAAATTATAGACACATTATGCATTATGGTGCCTGTAGTTAATATAGTATTGTAATCATCAAAAATTGTTAGAAAATAGATTTCATATTGTATTTTTAACACACACAGAAAAAGAAATTCTAGAAGGTGATGGACATGTTTATTGTCTTGATTGTTATTATGGTATCACAGGTATTTGCATATGTTTAAACTCAAAAAAAAATATGCACATTAAATATGTGAAGTTTTTATATCAATTATACCTCAATAAAGCTATTTTAAAAAAGAAAATATATCTTTAGTAAGTATTTTATTAAGTCCTCAAATTCTCAATTCCTGGAATTAAGTGAACTGTTGAGAGAGAATAAGATCTATTTTATACAAAAATGTAGTCTCATACAAATACCAAACCTTCCACATAAAAATCAAGCACTAATAAGCATCAGGCAATTAGTCTACAAGAGAACTTATGACATGCTCTTTCTTGGTTGTGAGCTTTCTTCAGTTCACAATGATACAATTTCTTTCATTGTGTAAATGGTGGGCAATCCCATAGTAGACTCATCTCATGTTTGCAAAGGTGAAGGTGACTTACAACTGACTACTGACCTCCTATGTTAGTTAAAGGTCAATAGAAATTCAAAGGAAAACTATGGTAGTACATGAGTTTATTAGGGACTGTAATTCAGTATTCTGCTAAGTCTTTCTGCTCTGCAATTATTGGCAATTCTGTGAAAATCCCTAATGTCAATATATGCTTGGAGATCTTTGATAATAAAATAAGACAAGATTGTCAATGTATCATCAATGTTGTCTTCAGTAGGTTATGGTTTTCATTTGCTTACATTGCTTTTTAATTTTGAAACACTATGAACTTTATCATTATCGATTATTTTATTGGGGGTTATTTTCTAAATGTACCTTGCATAGTGATATATATGTTTATCAAAATATTTTGCTGATTATTCAAATAAATAGGCTTGATATATATTTTTAGGTAAAAGATGATGTATCACTCCTGCTTACCACCATTGCTACAAGACGGATACATAATTCCCCCCAAAATTTTCATCTACAGTAAAATCTCTTTACAATTAAACAAAAAAACCTCATTTTGAAACTGAGCAAAATTAAAAGGTCATTATTATATTCTGCCTTGTATACAATCCTCTGATGAAAAGTTTAAGAGCTGCTGGCCAATAGGGTTCCCATTATCTTTGGAAATGTCTAGGAAATTGGCCAATTTATATTTTCTTCAGCATGAGAGTTAATTTCTCATGGGCTCCTAATGAGTTTACTTTACTATTCAGGGAGCAATTATGCCATTCAGTGATTTACAGAATCCTGCCTGAGAACCTGAAAGAGAATAGGCTATCTATGATTATGAACTCATAAAGGATTTTACTCCCACAGTATCAATCTAGTTATATTTATGGTTCATCAGGGGATCATTTAAACCCCCAGCAAGAGGCAACAGAACTATTTGATTAGCTACTGTCCCAAAATAAACTTGAAAAATGGTGGTTCTATGTCAGTCAACCCCAGAAAAGGAAGCTATGGGGTCAAACACCTGTTCAACTCAAATGTCCTTTAGGATCTTGTGTAAGTGTGAACTGAGATGTAACTTTTCAGTAACAAACTGCTCTCTCACATACCACAGGATATATTGATTTCCCATTAGTAACCCCATAGCATAAAAGAAAGACCTACAGGATACTTTTACAAAGAGTTAAGGCTACTATTTTGTCACAGAATCATAGGCTGTTACAGTTATAAGAAGCCTTAGAGTTTATTTAATCTAAGCTTCTTTTATATTAAAAAAAAAAAAACCTGGAGAAACACAACCCAGAGAAGTAAGGCAACCCAGCTAGCTCATAATATAAATTAGTAAATTACCCAATCACCTATTCCATTTATTGTTTAATGTACAAGACCTTATCTTGCCAGGAGTATAGCTCATACCTGTAATCCCAGAACTTTGGGAGGCCAAGGCAGGAGGACTGCTTGAGTCCAGGAGTTTGAGACAAGCCCAGGCAACACAGTGAGACCCTCCCTGTCTCTAAAAAAAAAAAAAAAAAAAAAAAAAAAAAAAAATTAAATATTTGCCAGGTATAGTGGTGCATGCCTATGGTCCCAGCTATTTGGAAAGCTGAGGCACTGGAGCTCAGGAGATTGACACTGCAGTGAGCTGTTTCCAGCCTAGGCAACACAATGAGACCATATCTCGAAGGAAAAAAAATATTATCCTAAGGTCTCTGCTTAACTCTCATGTCCATTGTGTCTTCTTTTTTGATTCCCTTATTATTATATGCTTTAATCAAGGCCCAAATACTGAAATGCTAATTCTGGCATTTCATACCTTAGAATTTTTCTACTTTATATTCTTTCATCTGGAATATCCTTACATCATTCTTTCCTCCTAGTGAATTCCTATTCCTCCTTCAAAATCCAATTTATAAATAAGTTCTTCTAAAAGATCATCTTTGAACACCTGTATCAGCCCAACATTGTTGTAGAAAGAAAAATGTCTACATCTAATTGGCATACAACAATGACCATTTATTTCTTGCTGATAAGTTTGGAACTTGGCTGATCTAAACTTAATTTAGAGAGGTAATTCTGCTTCAAGCTATAGATCTGTGGGTCTACATCCTGTGTCTACAAGTCTCTCATCTTCCTGCAAGAACAATTCAGTTAGCAGGACATGTTCTTCTCAGGGCTCAGCAGAAGTGCAAGGGCAGCATGCCCAATTCTACAAGTGCAGTTTGAGCCTCTCTTTTCCTCATGTTTGCTAATATCAAAGATGAATAGCATGATTGACCGAATAAAGGGACAAGAAAGTATAATTTTCCTTTGGAGACAGGGTGAACTGCATTAAGTCATATGGCAAAGGCCATGGACACAGAAGGAGTCACAAATTGGTACCAATAATTTAATCTTTCAGTTTAACTATATTCCCAGGCCTTTTCTTTGCTAACTCTGTATCTTGTATGTGTGTCTACAGCCACATTTAATCATGATATATTGTAACTATTTTGACAGTTAGTTTCCCCAGTTAACTATACTTTAAAAATAATAGCATTTTAGTGGGTGTGCTAGGTACCAGGAAGTGCATTAAAATTTTTATGGGTAAAACCCTAGGTTTGATTTTAAACAGCCCTAAGTACTGCAGTTATCCTGAATTTACATATAAGGAGAGTTACACTGAGGTATTACATCGCTTGTCCAAGTGATATGGTTTGGCTCTGTCCCCACTCAAATCTCATCTTGAATTCCCAAGTATTGTGGGAGGGACTCAGTGGGAGGGGAGGTAACTGAACCATGGAGGCAGGTTTTTCCCAGGCTGTTTCTTGTGATAGTGAGTAAGTCTCACAAGATCTAATGGTTCTATAAGGGGGAGTCTCCCTGCACAAGCTCTTTCTTTGCCTGCTACCATCCATGTAAGATATGACTTGCTCCTCCTTGCCCTCTGCCATGATTGTGAGTCTTCTCCAGTTATGTGGAACGGTAAGTCCATTAAACCTCTTTCTTTTGTAAATTGTCCAGCCTCAGGATGTCTTCATCAGCAGCATGAAAACAGACTAATACAGTAAATTGGTACCAGTAAAGTGGGGTGCTGCTGAAAAGATACCTGAAGATGTGGAAGTGACTTTGGAATTGGGTAACAGACAGAGGTTGGAACAGTTTAGAGGGCTCAGAAGAAGACAGGAAAATGTGGGAAAGTTTGGAACTCCCCAGAGACTTGTTGAATGTCTTTGAGCAAAATGCTGATAATGACATGAACAGTGAAATCCAGGCTGAGGTGGTCTCAGATGGAGATGAGAAACTTCTTGGGAACTGGAGTAAAGGTGACAGTTGCTATGGTTTAGCAAAGAGACTGGCGGCATTTTGCCCTTGCCCTAGAGATTTGTGGAACTTCGAACTTGAGAGAGATGATTTAGGGTATTTAGAAGAAGAAATTTCTAAGCAGCAAAGCATTCAAGATGTGACTTGGGTGCTGTTAAAGGTATTCAGTTTTAAAAGAGAAACAGAGCATAAAAGTTTGGAAAATTTGCAGCCTGACAATGAGATAGAAAAGAAAATCCCATTTTCTGAGGAGAAATTCAAGGTGGCTGGAGAAATTTGCATAAGTAACAAGGAGCCAAATGTTAATCCCCAAGACAATGGGGAAAATGTCTCCAGGGCATGTCACAGGTCTTCACAGCAGCCCCTCCCATCACAGGGCCAGAGGCCTAGAAGGAAGAAGTGGTTTCGTGGGCTGGGCCCAGGGTCCCCATGCTGTGTACAGTCTAGGGACTTGGTGCCCTGTTTCCCAGCCACTCCAGCCATGTCTGAAAGGGGCCAATACAGAGTTTCCACCATGGCTTCAGAGGATGAAAGCCTCAAGCCTTAGCAGCTTCCACATGGTGTTGAGCCTGCCAGCACAAAGAAGTCAAGAATTGGCACTTGGGTACCTCCACCTAGATTTCAGAGGATGTATGGAAACACTTGGATGTCCAGACAGAAGTTTGCTGCAGGGGCGGGGCTGTCATGGAGAACCTCTGCTAGGGCAGTGTAGAAGGCAAATGTGGGGTCAGAGCTCCCACACAGAGTCTCTACTGAGACACTGCCTAATGGAGCTGTGAGAAGAAGGCCACTTTCCCCCAGACCCCAGAATGGTAGATCCACTGACAGCTTGCACCATGTACCTGGAAAGGCCGCAGACACTGAATGCCAGCCCATGAATGCAGCCAGGAGGGAGGCTGTACCCCACAAAGCCACAGGAAGGGAGCTGCCCAAGACCATGGGAACACACCTCTTGCATCAGCATGACCTGGATTTGAGACATGGAGTAAAAGGGGATCATTTTGGAGGTTTAAGATATGACTGCCCCATTTGGATTTTGGACTTGCATGGGGCCTGTAGCCCCTTTGCTCTGAACAATTTCTCCCATTTGGAATGGTTGTATTCACCCAATGCCTGTACCCCCATTGTACCTAGGAAGTAACTAACTTGCTTTTGATTTTATAGGCTCATAGGCAGAAGAGACTTGCCTTGTCTCAGGTAAGACTTTAGACTATGGACTTTTGAGTTAATGCTGAAATGAGATAAGACTTTGGGGGACTGTTGGGAAGGCATGATTGGTTTTGGTATGTGAGGATGTGAGATTTGGGAGGGGCCAGGGGCAGATTAATTTGGTCTGGCTGTTGCCACCAAAATCTCATCTTGAATTCCCACGTGTTGTAGGAGGGAGCCAGTGGGAGGTAACTGAATCATGGGGCCAGGTTTTTCCCAGGCTGTTCTCATGATAGTGAATAAGTCTCATAAGATCTGATGGTTCTATAAGGGAGAGTTTCCCTGCACAAGCTTTCTTTGCCTGCTACTATCTATGTAAGACATGACTTGCTCCTCCTTGCCTTCCACCATGATTGTCAGGCTTCCCCAGCCATGTGGAACGGTAAGTCCATTAAACCTCTTTCTTTTGTAAATCTCCCCAGTCTCCGGTATGTCTTTATCAGCAGCATGAAAATGGACTAATACAACAAGCTCACAAAATTAGAGTTGAGACTCAAACCCAAAGCTAACTCCAAATAATCTTATTTTCTTCACTATCCTATAATCTTTCTTATTTAATTAGGAGCTCAAGCAAGACCTTTATCTGATTTGCCTGCCATTAGCCCATAACTAGGGCAGTGCCTGGTATGTAGTAAGAACTCAATACTCATTTACTGAATTGAATTACTCCAAGTCTAACTTGTCTTTCCATCCCTATCTCTCACCACTCTAGATAAACTCTCCACTCAGGATGACCAATGAGTGCTAAAATATCATATGCCTCTGCCCTTCTTCCTGCCATTTCTAATTCTCAATTATTCAAGCACTGATACCCTATCACTCATCTAAAACATTCACCCCTATATTATATAGACAAAACCTAGGAGGCTAGCTTGTGAAATACATTGTTGTACTTGACTCTGTGTATGGCTGGAGTGAGCTGGACCATGATATCTGTGCTTCCACTGGGTGCCCAGAGGCTTTTATTGAATTCCTCTTTTCTATTAAATGAAAAGGGATGATCTAGAGTGAAAATCATGTTTTATTTATATCATAATCATTCTTTCCAGGATGGTAGTCATAAGGACTAGAATGACACACCATATTTCATAAATATGGAAGTTATGCTATAATAGAAAAATTCCTGTATTAAATTAAAAATCTGAACTCTGTGCTAACTCATTCATTATCTCAACATTGCCTCCTCTCACTAATCACCTCCCCTCTCAGTTGTATCATCTGTTAAACTGAGGAGTTGTATGCTCCCCAATGGAGAGAATTAAATTCTCTATGTCAAAGAAGGTATTAGTAGTAAGCAAATATATTTGGAAAATGTAAAACTCACTAGTTATTAAAGAAACACAAATTATATGTGTCTTCATATTTATAAAGAGGTTAAATATAATGTATAATATATTTATATACTGTTTTTTATAAAGCATTATTTAATATCAAATAAATTTTAAAAGGACAAATAAATTTTTAATTTTAAAACTCATATTCTCATAATGGCAAAGGAGAGCACAAACTGAACATGACTGTAAAAAAAATTTGGTAACATAATTCAAAAGAAACGTGTCCTATGAATGAAGATATTTCCTAAAGAAGAAAGCATAAGAATAATCTATACAATATGTGAAAATTAATTATGTTAACTCAGCATATCATTTAACATAGACCATTACCCAGGCATAAAAATTATAACTCTATGGCACATGGAAAACTATACAGTATACAGCAACTATATCCAGCAATTTCAAATGTAAAACAAGTAAAACAAAAAATTATAACTACTTATACAATTAGGTAAAATGTATGCATTATGGTTGGCTAAGTGCTATAAAATTATTCTGAAATTGAAGTGGCTGAAATGAATAAAGGTTAATTTCTCACTCATATCATAGTCTAAGGTCAGCAAGGAATTCTGGGTGTTCTCTGCTCCACACAGTGATTTAGGAACCCCAGATTCTTCCAACTAGTGGCTCTACCACTTCCTAGTACCTCATCTTCTAGATCCTCCTCCTTTGGAAGGCAGATACAGAAAGTGAGAGGGTGAAGAGGCTTAAGTGCTCTTAACTTCCCCCACCTATAATGATAAACATGGCTTCTGCTCATGGACATTCCCAAAAACAAGTCACATGTCCCCTGGCCCCAACCTGATAAAGGGAACTATAAGATATATGTGCGTGCCCAGGAAGAAGTGAAAGTGGGTCTGGTGAGTTTATGGACAGTCTGTGCCACAATATGTAAATAAATGGATATGGAAAAAATGTAAAAATGAAAAAGAGTTCATAAAGAGATAGGTTTACTTGCTAAGTAAAAGCTTAATTTACTTAAATAGGCAATTTAGGCCGGGGATGATGGCTCATACCTGTAATTCCAGTACTTTGGGAGGCTGAAGTGGGTGCATTGCTTGAGGCCAGGAGTTCTAGACCAGCCTGGCCAAAATAGTGAAACCCCATCTCTACTAAAAATATTAGCCAGGCATGGTGGTGCATGCCTGTAATCCCAGCTACTTGGGAGGCTGAGACAAGAGAATTGCTTGAACCTGGGGGGTGGAAGTTGCAGTGAGCCAAGATCATGCCACTGCACTCCAGCCTGGGAGTATGTAAAAGATATAAATGTATAAAATAAAAATCAGCTTAAAATACTAGAATTAGGTTAAATAATGCTTAAGTCCAATTCCATCTCTAATATCCAACAATTGGTAATTGCAGCATATTGAGATTTTATAATCCAATCTCATCTTTGTCCATACTTTCTCATGTCTTCTAAAAATCTAGACCTCAAGAAATATGGTCTAAATTTTGCAGAGTATTTAATGGGCAATCTAAAGCCTGGGCACTCACTAATAGGATAGAAAATTTTAATTAAGCTCCATATGCAATTATAACTTTGCTGGTTATTCAGAATGATGAGAAGAATTATAAAGCTATGATCACTGGCAGTGCTATTAATGGGTTTCTTGATGACATAACATTTGTTTAATGGAAGTGTTTCCTTTTATGTACAAGTGCCATCCGAGGGCAATTTGTCATTATTATTAATTTAAGATCATTTGATCTGTCACTCAATCCTGCATCTAATTAAAAAGGGGAGGATGGCATAAGCCTCCACCTCAGATCCCTGCCAGGCAGAGAAATTTAATAATGAAAATAAAATTGGGACAAACATCAAAGTATTTTTAAAGGGTCAGGCCCCTAAAATGACACAAAAGACCAGAAGTATAGTACAAAGAGAAAACTGATTTTTTTTTCCTTCCAGAAAGATGATATGTATGCAGTTTGGGTCATTAGAGATAAAATTCTTTGCATGTAAATTAAGGTGATTATTTCTTTCTTATAATGAAATGATGAGAGTTACTGAATGTTTTTCATGTGGGTGCTGCTGCCAAGCAGTAATGAACACACTGGAACAATCACATTTGAATAGGTTTTGTAGCACAAAGGTGATTATATCCGTTTTCTGGGGCTGGCATAAGAAAATGGCACAGACTAGATAGCTCAAGCCACAGAAGTTTATTTTCTCACAGTTCTGGGGGCTGGAAGTCCAATATCAAGGTGTTGGCAGTTTTTATTTATCCTGAGCCCTATCTCCTTGGCTTGCCTTCATACTGTGCCCTCATGTGGCTTTTTCTTTCATCCCTGCTGGCTCTATTTCTTTTTTAGGGACATTGGTCATATCAGATTAGGACTCTACCATTATGACGTCATTTAACCATAATTACCTCTTTCAAGGTCCTGTATTCCAAATACAGTCACCTTGGGGATTAGGGCTCCAACATATGAATTGGGAAGTGGGAAGAAACAATTCAGTCCATAACAGTGATCATATTCACTTTTTAATTCCAAACACAGATGAAATGAAACACATCTCCAAACTCCAGGCTTCCATTTCACACTGAATCAAGAGGGAAAAACAGGCAAAATAAATATGTCCTCTCTCTCCTGCAAAAAAGTGTATCCCCTGTAATAATGACCGCTTTTCCACCACACTTTTTCAGCTTGTGCCTCCCTTCAGAGTCTTAACATTATCCCCATTTTGCAGATGAAAGGATCTAGGAGAGAGGTTTGTTAACCTCTCCAAAGTCACACAGCCACTACATTTCGATTCAAATTCTTCTTATTCCTGTTACCATAGTCCTATACTATAGTATATATTATGATCCTTGTACTATAATCCACAAGATTTAGGACTGTGGTAAGCACAGAGGTACTCAGAAGACAGAGAGGGATTATGAGAGAGAGCGTGGAGGCCAGCTGTATGTGCCCTGTAGCCACATCCCTGACTAAGGAGGCAGTAAAACAGTTCCCAGATGAAAAGTGCAAGTCAAGTGCGAAAGCCCCATGGATGCTGATGCAGTTAACCAGGCCCCTGACACAGGAGAAGAGGTAGATGTAAGGGCAGGCAGAGGAGTGCAATTCTCACACATTGAGATACCCATGGTTGAACCAGAAAGAAATGCTGAGGTTATGAGATTAAATGGGGACCCAGTAAGCTGTGTGCATTACTGACAGGGATCTAAAAGTAAAAGACAAGGTGAAAGAATCAAAGAAGACAGTGGAGAGGGTGAAGAAGAAGGGGCAGTATACCAAGAAAAAGTTTTTGAGTTCCTCCTCTTACTACCTTACACAAAAGGCAGTATGGCATAAATTTAAGAACATAGTATCAGATCCGTACCACATAGGCCAAGTTCTGGTTCACCCACGTCCTGGTTGGGTGAGTCTGGGAAAATTAACATCTGTGACTTTGACTCCTTTTTATCTTTCTCCTGTGCCTTCCTTCTTTAAAAAAGGACCAATAATAGTATGTCTTCATAGTATTGTTAAAAGGATTCAGAGAAATAATACAGAGAAATCAGTCAGTAAATGCTCAGTAAATGTTTCCTACTTATTACGAGCTTCCTAGCATTGGGCACGTGCTTTCAACCCTGTTTCAAGTTCTTCATCGTAAAATGGAAAAAATAGTACTTTTTCAAAAGGTTGTTGTGGTAAATATTTTTGCTTATATAACTTTATTCATATATTTATTTAGTAAAAGTGTATAAATAAAATTACAAATAATTTACATATAAGCATAATGTTAACATTATAGAGTATGCACTATATATAATTTTGGATAATTTTATTTGAATGCTTATATATATAAGCATATATACCTCAAATTTATCATTTGCTGATATACTTAGAAGAAACAGCGGTAACATACCAAGAGGTAGCTACCAAAGGGGAAAGGATGGGAGTGGTCCTCCCCAGGTGTTCATAATAATGGGGTGCATTGTTTGCAGAGAATTCTAACAGTAATAAAACCAAACAAGAGTTAATTTATATTCTGTTATCACCATGTCCTGTGTATTAGTCTGTTCTCACACTGCTAATAAAGACATACCCAAGACTGGGTAATTTATAAAGGAAAGAGGTTTAATTGACTCACAGTTTCACATGGCCTCACAATCATGGCAGAAGGTGAATGAGGAGCAAAGTCATGTCTTACATGGCAGCAGGCAAGAGAGCTTGTGCAGGGGAACTCCCATTTAAAAAACCATGAGACTTCATGAGACTTATTCATTACCACGAGAACAGTGTGGTGGAAACCACCCCCATGATTCCATTATCTCCACTTGGTCCCACCCTTGACACATGGGGATTATTACAAATCAAGGTGAGATTTGGGTGTGGACACAGCCAAACCATATTACCCTAGCAATTCTAAACAATATCACTGATAAAATACTTCTCTCCACTGTAGCAGACCACTTCCAGAACCCCATCTTCTCCCCCAGCCTTCCCACCCCTGCCCCTGCTTCAGAGATGCTCTGTATATATCTGATACTCTGGTCAGTAGAATGAACTGAGTAGACCCTAGACAAGGACAAGCTTAACATATATCCAGTGGTAAAAACAGTCACTTGATTGAGAATTTCTTATATGTGTGAAGTGCTTACTTTTGGAATGCCCACAGGAACAGTCACTAATTTGCTATTGTCAAGGTTGAGTCACCCTGATTGAGATGTGACTCGAGTTCACTGTGTGCCTGCTCTCAATGAGCTATCAGCCCTGGCTGCCATGAGAATCACCCAGGGAGCTGTAAAAAGCATCCATACCCATGCCCCACTTTAGGCCTTTTAAAGTGGAATTTCTGAGGGGGTGATGCCTGGTCACTGGTACCTTTGAAAATCTGCTCAAGTAATTTTACCATGTAGCAAGGCATGGGAAGGGCTGAGCCAGGTGATATGGCATGACGATCCTGGCATTAAACTCAACTCACAGGTCTAATGGGGTCACCTCTCTGTGTCTCATTTTCTCATCTATAAAAAGAGAATAAAAGAACCCATCTCAAAATGTTATTGTGAGGGATGAAAGAGATAATCTATATAAGGCATTTAGAACAGTGCTTGGTGCCCAACAGGAATTTAATAAATGCAGGCTGTTATAATCATAACAGCATTTTTGCACACGGCCCTGTCAGGGAGCTCTCACTGTCCATTACAGACATAAGCAAACAGGTTCAAAAAACTTAGTTGTTTGTCCAATCACAGATCTTGTAAGTGAAAAAGCAAGAAATTGATTATAAACTTAGTGCTCAACAGTAATTTGTATGATACTCAGATACTTTGGTCTTTATTAAGCACCTACTGAATACAGTTTGGTATTTAAGTGCCTACTGAATACAGAATTTGACATATGCCTCTAAAGTCTTCTATCACAATTATTAGCCATTACTTGCCTATCACATATTTCTCGTCCGTACCACACTTCACACCCAGGCCAATAGGATCCTGCCTTGGCCCCCAACTCAGGGCCCTTTCATGCTTTGGAGAACCTTTTAAAATATTTTCTAAGACTTCCCTCTGAGAGGGCCAGATCTGGACAGCTAGATGGGGCACGCTGAGCCCAACTAGCTCCTGAGTGGACTCCTGTTCCAACTTGGAGCCCATCACTTCCACTGTCTTGTTTGGTTTTCATTCAGTGGGATTGCATAAGATTGGGTTGCCAGCCTACAAAATGGGAGAAAATTTTCGCAACCTACTCATCTGACAAAGGGCTAATATCCAGAATGAGCCAACATGCTGATTTGGGGTGACTCAAATTTTTTATATATTTAAGAATCCCACAAAAATATTTGTTTGTTCATATACACTCTAGAGGCATCCCTAAAATGTACTGTACCTAAAATATACAGTGGTCAAAAATGGTACATTTTCAACTTGAACAAGCAAATGTTTTCATGGGAGCCATTGATTAGTTAATTTTCCTAAGTCTACAGGTTTTCTATTTACATAAGTCAAAGAAAACAATTCAACAAACATTATGGATATTCAGGAACAGGGTCATAGTGCCACGTGGAAAGAATAAGAGGCAAACTAGTGAATACAAAAAGATATTCGTGAATCTCATTAAAAAAACACATTCCTGCATTCTATGACCTCCTAGGCCAGGAGGTAGACAAGTAGAGAGTATCTGGGTTTATACGCCATATCTGCACCCACTTACTCTCTAAAACTCAGTTTTCTCATCTGTAAAATAAGGCTAATAACAGTACCCACTAGATAGAATTGTTGAGGGGAATATATGAGATAAATAGGTAGTCAATAGCCCAATGCAGTGTAACTTAGTAACATTATAATACTAATTGTACTAATAGTTACATTAGTAACATTGTCAACAGTCCTTAAATGTTGGCCTCAAAGCAGTTTATAATCAGTGCCAGGAGAAAGCTACAAACAGTCTATGCAAGGAAAAACTAGGGGAGAAAAACAATTCCCTGGGAAAATATGGAATTGAAAGAGTTGTTCCCTGCCTGACCTTAGAATGAAAAGTGTAGCTCTCCCAAATCATGAATGAGAATTTGGGGGAGGGGATGAGGGAAGAGAAAAGAGAAAGTCCACATGGACTACCAGGAGCCATGAGGGATGGAGTTGTAGGTGGCATAGCTGAGTGAAGGTTTTAAGGGGTAGGCTAGTGATAAGCCTTAAAACCTATCCCAGAAATCCACAGACAAGTCCTTCAATCTTTCCTGACAAGTCTTCAATAACCACTGCTGGCATGATGATTGGCTAATGAATTTTGACAGCTGCCATGTATGTAAGCAGCAGAGAAATTACATTTGCAACACCGAAGACAGGCATCACTGACCAAAAAGCAGTCCAGCCTCTAGGTGACAGGTGAACCACTTAATAACTAGACAAGAGGTAAAGGAAGGAAGAAAGGCATCACCTTAGTCCAGGCCTGAAAGCTGATGAAATTCTAGGCTGTATCTGCACTCCACGGCCTCACTTTTCTCACCTTTTGGTGCCTTCTCCAGCTCCTATTGTTGGTCCCACTGGTGCCCCTCAGCAGCAGGCCTGGCCCTGGCCTTGTTTACAAGCCAGTTCTGTCACAGTGTGCTTAGCAGCAGCAGTGGCAGCAGGATCTGATGGAGCTTAGAGTCAAGTCAAAGTCCTACCGTCAGATGTGGAATGTCAGCCCAGCCCTTGAGGTTCTATGTGGATGCCTGGCTTAAAGTGCCAGGTATGTCCTGGATAGCCTCTTGTGAGGTATCCTCACCCGCCCCCCTGCCGTCTCGCCTTCTGAGTCCACAGCTTCTGCGCAGTTCCCCTTTCCACTCTGCCAGTTCCCCTCTTAAATGGAGGTGTTCCCCTGATCTCTGTTTGGACTCTGGGTTTGAAGCCCCACCAACTCTGGGCAGCTGTCCTCCCACCTAGTAAGTGGGGACAATCATATACGGACAGATACCACATACTCATGACTGCATAGCCTAACTCTTCTGCTGTCCTCTGGATAAAAGTAGAAAAAGAACTCAAGAGAGGACCTGTTTGTACGGCTAAAGAGACCACCTCTGTTATAAACTATTCAGTCCTACTTGGTCTGTGGGTGAGGATTAAACAAGAGTTGTGGGAATTTTACCCATTATTGCCTGATATAGCAAGAATATCTGATTCTCTAACATGCTCAGGAGGAGAATTCATCCCAAGTAGAGCTAAAAATCAGGATGCTTCTCAGCCTCTTATTTCCTATTCTAGCTGAGATCTTTATTCAGCAGCTCCTGCCACGGGATTAAATCAGGATCAATGACTGTCCACTTTGACTGTACATTAGAATCCCCTGTGAACTTTTGAAACCTGTATATTCAGACCAATTATAGTAGACTCTGTTGGGGTAGGTGGATAGGGCCCCAAGGCTCAGTAGCTGAATAAGCTCCCCAGGTGATTTAAGTGCAGCCAAGACTAAAGACCCCTGTCTGAGGCAGAGCAGACAGCAACCTCTGGAAGTGGCATCCTGTTCCAACACCCAATACCCCTGACCACAGATTGTAAGCCCATCCTCCCGTAACTTGGGGGTGTGGTGGAGTGAACCCCTACCAACATAATTAATAAATAATAATGCTCTTGAGAAAAGCAATCAAATGAATACCACTCTGCTCAAGGATGTGAGCAAAGTCTCTGGTAGCAAAGAATGTACCGGGTTGTAGGGCTCTGAAGGGCAGACTCAGGCAGTGACATGGGGGAGGGTCATAGGGAAGCAACACCAACTTTGCTTGTTTCATACGGAGCCAAACGTTTCTAGAGAAGGCAGCCAGAGTTTTCAGAGAATCAGCTCAGTATTGGAGGAAGCTCCTCACTGGGAGTCCACAACCCTAGCTTGTCAATAATTTTCATCTTGTGTGTATCTTAAAAAGCATATATATTGACATAGAACACATTCACAGAAAATACACAAATCACAAGTGCTTTGTGTACTCTAGGCATGCCATATCTCGATATCACCATTCAACATATTAGATGTCAATTGATTATCACAAACTGAGAACACCCATATAACCACAGTGCAGATCACCCATATAACCACAGTGCAGATCACCCATATAACCACAGTGCAGATCACGCATATAACCACGCTGCAGATCACCCATATAACCACACTGCAGATCACCCATATAACCACACTGCAGATCACCCATATAACCACAGTGCAGAACACCCATATAACCACAGTGCAGATCACCCATATAACCACAGTACAGATCAAGAAACGGAACATTGGCCAAGTCACTTTTAATATATTCTGAGCCTTTCTTTTGTGCTGAGGAGTTGTGAAAAGCTGCACATGCAAAGATAATGATGCAGAAGCTTTCAGCCCTAGAATAACTCACAGCCTGGGGGGAAACCAGTAGACAACTATTTAGCCCCACAATTTTACAATAAATTTCCTTCAGAAAATAAATAATGTACAGTGGGCAAAAAAAAAAAAAAAAGCTTTATTTAAAGAGTTGCCATAAGAGAATTGTCCACGTTTAGGTTTATTCTATACAGTGTCAGAATTGTGCTTAGGGAAGCTCCTCTGAGTGTAGTAGTTGGGGCCATGGTTTAGAAGATGACTTTGGAGCAAACTGATAAATAGCTTTACACGACAAATGAACAGGAATTGGAGGAAGTTGGGAAGAAGAAAGAAGGGGAGATGGAAAGAAAAAGGGGAAACAGCAAAGAAATATGGCAGGAGGTAGGTGCAATAGGAAAGTGGCCAGTAAGAAATTCTCAGTGACTGAGTGACTGAAGGACATGTAAGAACAGGGATAGCTAATATCCCAATTAGAATTATTAATGTTGCTATAGATCAGCTTGTCTCCTCCCCAATCCTCCCGTAAAACCTGCTACATTTTTAAATGCTTTCTGTAGTGGTTTGGGGGAAAAGGAGGAGAAAGTGCCAATTTCTCCAGCCAGATAAGTATAGAGCAGAGGGACTGGAACAGTCATAGGAAATGAGATTAAAGGAGAGACAGGCACTAATCAGAAGTGCCCATGAGAGGGGAAGCCCCAGGGAATCACACAGATTTGGGGGGAGACATAAAATTTCCTACCAGATGTTCAATGTGGGGCTAAGACAATTTTACTCACGCCTCAAAGCTCAGAGTGATAACAGCTGACAACTGCATGAATATGGTATATTGTCATTGGATTGTGTATGTGCCCTCTCCGGCAGTCCTGAATATATCTGAAATGCATGCCATGCACTGTAACTACCATCAGTTTCAAATACACAAAATGCTATATATACATCTATTTCAAGGCATGCTTGTGATGTAAATAGATCACCTCAGCCTCTGGTTCATAACTAGCCGTTCACCCCATTCTACACAAACATGGAGGTTTGTGCTTGTTCCCTTTGAGGATCCCTGGTTTTCTGCCATCCCAGAATGCTTCTGCATGGGCAGATGTGGGAGCATTGTGAGGCCCACACTGGTCATATGATCTAGGTGAATTCCTCACAACCTCCCCTCACACCACAGCATGCTCTACTTTTGAAAGGTGAACCGAAATCCCACTCAGCTCAGCTGAACGTGTTCTTTCCAGTGCACTGAGGTTTCTGGGTGTCTACGATCTGCATCCACTGTGTTACCATGACACATAGGCTGCAGAGCTCCCCATCAGAAATATGCATTTAAAAAATGGCAAAGGCATATGTGAAGGAAGAAAAGGTTTAAGAAGGGCAGTTTTTGCCTGTTTGAGAGAGAGGTCATGATCTGAAGCTCAGCTGACTGAAACATGCTGTATTCCAGCAAAGAAAAAAAACAGCAAAACAGAAAATAGAATAATAAGAAAAAAGAGCTGTTAGAATTGCCTATTCTATATAGTGCCACAACTGAGACTAATGGAAAGCAGATTTGGGCTCAATTTGACTAAGATTATGGTAATGGCTGCATCTGACTGTAGTGAAAAGGCTTTCTTTATGGAGTGGTAGAAGCTGGAAACTCAAGAAAACAGTCTTAACTGCCAGTTGCCAGATCCTCTCCAGGGAGGGATTGGGCAGTACCAGAGGCAAATCAGACATGCATGGGAGTCTCTCAAACACACCATGAAGCATCTCCAGCTTCCTCCACACACGACTCCAATCCAAGTCAACAGGATGGGCCCCAGGCACTGGATAAATCAAGGTGTTCTGTAGCTGTTTTAAAAGAGAAAACTAAACGAACTATGAACAGATTGTTCACAAATTATACTGGGGAGAAAACTATGAGATACACAGTTGACTAGATTCTAGAGCTCTATAAGCAGCTGTTCGATTAATTCTTCATTTCCTTAGTGGATGCAGGCACAAGGTGGAGGTTAGAATGTTGTTTGTTGGACCAAGAAGTGACTAAGAGGAGAGTGGTGGGCAAATTTCTAAAGATGACCTCCCCCAAATTCCTGCTCCCTGAGTATTCGATCAAACAGTAACCTAGGCACTGCTGTGAACAGATTTTGCAGTTGTAATTAAATTCTCAATTCAGTTGACATTAAAATTTTAACATTTTTCTGAATAGAGCTAGCCTAATCACATTAGCCTTTAAAAGCATAAAGTTTTCTTCAGCTGCTGAGAGAAGAGAAAGACATAAAGAGAAGTCAGAGAGATCTGAAACGTGAGAAGGACTCAATGCACTATTGCTGCTTTGAGGATGGAAGGAGCCACATGAGAAGGAATGTGCACAAGCCTTGAAGAGCCAAAGGCAACCCCAGATGACAGCTAGCAAGGAAACAGGGGCTTCAGGCCTACAATTGGAAGGGACTGACTCAACAACCCGAGGCAGCTTGGAAGGGGACTCTTCACAGGTCCTCCAGATAAGAGACCAGCACAGCCAACAACTTGACTTTGGTCCCCTGAGACCTTAAGTAAAGAACCCAGCCAAGCCCAGCTGGACTTCTGACCTACAGAACTGTGGAATAACAAGTGGATGTTGTTTAAACTACTAAGTTGGAGTCATTTGTTACAAGGCAACAGGAAAGTAATTCAAGGAGTCACTGTTCCCCATAAGAGAAGAGCATGATGGTTCTCCTAGTACAGGCCCTACATGAGCATCCCTAATATCCCTGATGAAATGTTCACCCTGCTCAATATTGTAAGGTGAGTGAGTTTGTCTTCTGGGCCTGAAGATTCCAAATTCTGCACCACCACCCCCTCCGACACTTGCCCAGTTTTGGTGACTCTCATGTGACTCTATTTCTTTCCCTTAATCAGAGTTTCAGACAGGATACAGTGTAAATAACTTAGCATAACCCTGCCAAGGAATTTGTACTTTAACTGAGATGAAAGTTCAGCTAGAGAGTTGGAGTTTAAGAGGGGAGAGGAGTCATCATTTTCCTAGCACCCTTGGAAACACAAAGCATTGGCAGGCCCTGACTACATAAGTGGCACAGGCAATAACTATATCTCCATGCAAATGATATGTGAGGAAGAAATAAGGCTTAACCTGGCAGCCAATAACAGAGTGACAATAAAAATCTAGGCAGGCCATATCCCAATGTCACCCTTCAACATCTTAGATGTCAAATTTGTCACATGTTAACTTTAAATGTTTTTAAGTTAAATACACAGAAAGAGCCAAACTAGGAGAGGTAATAAGCCAGGGGAAAAATAGCCTCTTAATTAGATTCCTTTCATTCAATAGACGTACCCTATTTTACCCTATTAACTTCACTGATTTTACTTTTAGAAAAGAAACAAAGACCCCCAAATATCTAAAATACTTTTTACTTGATTAAAAAGAAAAGATAAAACTGCAGAGAAAAATATATCCAAAAAGAAGATTGATTGTGTTTTCCTTAGTCTACGTGAAATCCATTAGCATTAACTTGAGGAAAGGTTCCAAGAAGGAGACACTTTCTGAAACCTTAGTGATGTCCACTGGATTGTGTTTGCCAGTACTCCAGATGAGTGCACGTTATCCGCCGTCTTACCTTGAAAGAAAAGTCCCCAGATGTTTGCATACTTTAAGGAAGAAAAAGAATGTGGTACAATATCTATTTATTCATTAATTTACTCATTCATTCAATACATACATGCTAAGCAACACTGGATGCCTTCCGTCAGTCTTCTGTGAGGCATCTTTGTTAGATGGGGAAATAAACTTAGAACCAGTCTTGACCCACAATTTTTGGATTTTACAACCAATAGACCATTGGACTTTACAACCCAAAATAGAAGGCTTGTGAAGAACACAGGTTTTGTCATCAGAATGACCTATGTTCAAGCCGTGACACATCTTGATGAGCTGGGACAAATAACTTGAACACTCTAAGATTCCACATTTATAAAATGAGGCAATAATGCTAAGCAGCACATAGAATTCCTGTGCAGATAAATGAGATAATGCATATAATATACTCAGCATAGTGCCAGGTATATATTAATGGCTCAAGCAATATTAACTATTGGGAGTATAATTATTTTAATAATGAGAAATGGAGTTCCTCTGGCTGCTGTGGATCTGAATGAGGTTTGGTAGCAGCACCTACTGGCATCAGCACAGCTCTCCTGAACTGGAGTATTTCTTCAACCAAGTATTTCCCCACATTTTTACAAGTTCCTAGCCACTTTCATCAAATGCATGGATAACATTAGGCAGAAAAGGAAATTAATTTTTTATAATCCAGTTTCAAATGGATCTCAACAGGCTAGGGTGATGAACTGAATCTTATACGATGTCATTTCTCTGAAGATAAATGTAAATCCTACACTTGAATCTACACAGTCAATTGCACAAAGAAGCTGGAGTATGCATATGGCTGAGCAGAAGTTTTAGGGGACAAAGAGCTCATTGTGGAATGTGTCTGTCACCTTCAATGGCACCAGTGAAAACATGATATTGAAAATTGGGAAATAATTTTTCTGTTTTATTTTTAGCTAACATTTATTTGACCACATGTGATGTAGAGTTGTCTCTTGGTATCTGTAGGAGGTTGGTTCTAGGACTCTTATAGATGCAAATTCCAAGGATGCTCAAGCCTCTTATATAAAAGGACATAGTATTTGTATATAATATATGCATATACTCCCATATATTTTAAATCATTGCTAGATTACTTATAATGCATAATACAATGTATGTGCTATGTAAATACTTGTCATAATATATCGTTTTTATTCTTGAATTATTCCTATGGTTTTTTCCTGAATATTTTGGATGCATCACTAGTTGAAGCCATGGATGTGAAATCCTTATATTCAAAAGGCCCACTGTATTGTGTCAAAATTTGAGCATCACACTTCAAGAAGGAAATCAACAAGTTGGAACACATTCAGAAAAAGATATTTAGGGCTGAAGAAACATCAGGTTATACACTTACAAGAAGAATCGATAGAGGAGACAGCATGTGAACTGGATTTGTGAGATTGGATAGAAAAACCGGAAAAATGTCTTGGGATCAGGGGTGAATAAAGTGTGCTCTGCAGACTGTAAGTCTAGTTGGAGTGGATATTTAAAAAGTAATTATATATAATATATATTCTTTTCTGTGGATATGCAACTGATTATGCTTCTAACACTTTCTGCCCCATTCCTAGACCCACTGAGATCACAAAACAACTAACGATTTGTGAACCAACATGTGTGGCAACTCACTGAGTAATGAAAAGATAAGAAGGGAATCATTCTTCTGGGAAACGAAGAATCATTGTGTCACACAATCCTACCTAAGTTGTTTCATGAAGCAGAAACTCCTCCACTTGGATGGGCTGCTAATGAAAGGAACTTTCATAGGTAATCCTAGATCTGCCTCCTTCCCACCAGATTTCTTCCTAATCACATGAGATGACTGATTGAAGGTTTTGCAGGGCCTCTGTGTTAGTCCATTCTCATGCTATTATGAATAAATACCCAAGACCATATAATTTATAAAGGAAAGAGTTTTAACTGACTCAGTTTTGCATGGCTGGGAAGACCTCAGGAAATTTACAATCATGGCCAAAGGGGAAGCAAACATGTCCTTCTTCACATAATGGCAACAAGGAGAAGTGCCGAGCAAAAGGGTGAAAATTCCCTTATAAAACCATCAGATCTCGTGAGAACTCACTATCACAAGAACAGCATGAGGATAACCAGCTCCATGATTAAATTACCTCCAACCTGGTCCCTCCCATGACATGTGGGGATTCTGGGAACTACAATTTAAGATGAGATTTGGGTGGGGACACAGCTAAACCATATCAGCCTCTTATATGGATTTGTGTACATCCAGGGCAAATCCAAGATAACAATGTGAGATCAAGATTGTCAATTAGGATCTGTAATGCTTTTCTAAGCTCCCTTTACCCTTTTGTAATTTCTTCCCTCAACCAGAGCACCACCACCTCCAACAGGAACAAGCACAGACTGTGTTGCATGCACCTTCTTTGGTTCTCCAGGGTCCTCAGTTATGGCAGGACATACCCTTCCTTCCTAGGCAGTTCCTGGACCTCTCCTGGCTTCTGTCCCTTTGTCAGAAGTGGCTTGCCCTGATAAAATACTTACAGCGAGTAAATGTTATAAACTAATCCATGACTAAGGTGTTCATAGCCGAATAATTGCTTAATGTATTTTACAACTTATTTTCATCTAAGTTGGAAGGGTCTTTTATCCAAAACCCTGGGTTGGGAAGCACTGCTCCATCTGCCTATTGAAATGCATCCCTGAGTTTGGACACTGGTTCTTTTGGCCCTTCTATCTCTGGGCACATGAAAGGTAAAAGCCTTCCAGACTTTGTCCAAATCATCACGCGAAACAGGACTCTCACACAGCTTTGGCTTCAGACAAATATAGAGTAGTCAGAAACATAGCTGAAGCTATAAACTCTGGGCTTAAACTTGTCAGGAAATGTTCACTTGTTTTCATCAGGCCATACCAAGAAGAAAAGAAAGATCATATGACCAAACAGATAAACAAAAATGTCAAACCAAAGAGCCAAAGGGTACTAAAAACAGAGGCTGAGATTTTTGCAAAGCCCATAAGCTCACCTTATGGAGCAAAGCCTATCAAAACAGATGACACCAACATAAACCCCAACATAAAGGAGCAGAAAACTAAGATTAAGCCAAGACTACTAATGGGCACTTAGGGACCCCTAGGTCTCATGAAAGGCAGAAGTCAGGCTGGTTTCCCCAGCTGCCTACCAGAAAAAGTTGTATTTTGGCTAAGTTCAAAAAGTCAGTCCAGACTTTTCTCCTCTCTCCCAGTAAGAAAGACTCTGCAGTGAACGTTAAATATTTACCCCAAGCCCTGCCTTGCTTATTTTTTGAGAGTTACCTTGTAAATAAAACAACTCTAGTATCCAAAAACTTAGAAGTATTAGGAGGATGCTAATTGTATGAGATACTCATATAGGGCACTGAAGCCTTCTTCCAGCAATCCCTGGGGTATCCTACAATTGCTGGGAGGGATTAGAGGACAGTCCTGTATACTTCTGCCTCATCCTTGATATAACAATAACAAAATACAGACATCATTTCCAACAACAATAGTACAATAACAAAAACTAGAAAAAACATCACGTCCAGCTACAATACAACCCTACCACCAAAAACAGTGACTAATACTTAATATGTACCCAACACCATTTTCCTCTTGTTAAATGTAACATCTTATTTAAACTCCACAAGAATTCCATTTTGCAGATGACAAAACTGAGGCACAGAAAGGGAAATATGACTAATAAATGAAGGAGCCAGTGCTATTCTTAGCCATGGAACTTTACTGGCTCCCTAAGAGCCATACTAGTTGATCCCAGTACAAACCCCTTCTTGTAGCCTCTTTCTCTAAGCCATACTTCCTCTTCTCCAATATTCCATGTTCCCCTAATGTCCCATTTCTCCCCCAGTATTTCAGGACATTTTCTTGAGCCCTCCTGCCATTTATTTGCCCTAAGTGACGTCGGGTTGTCCCACAGTGCTTGACCTTATTATTTTCAGATACATCAGGAAAGTGTCCGTAAATCGTCTGACCTCTACCCACCCAGTCCCTAATCTGCCTTGCCTATGGTGACCCTTTCTTGCCACCACAAGCCACATCCCACACCTTCCTCTCACTCACTATTCCAACTGATAGCCTCCCCTCTGGATGACAAATGTGTTTCTGTTCACCATGCCTATTCCTGCACACCAGCTTTGCTCACTTCCCACAGCCTATTAACCCCCTGCTGTTTATATCACAAACAGCCACGTCAACACCGCCTGCATTAGCCAGGGTGCTCTCTTTTAACCTATTGCTATGCCTCTTTATCAAGCCACAGTGCTTCTCACAGCCTCATCTCACCACAATGTAATCTCAGTCTATGTTTATTCGACCCTGACATTGCTCAGTTAACTAAAATTTCCACCTAATGTATTTTTAATTGAGATATGATGCCACCATCCTATTTATGGTGAATAAATATTTGTAAAAGATAACACACTATGTTAGTGCAGTTATGGTGAAACAGTGCTTTCACATACTGCTGGTTAGGATTTAAAAAATGATATAGCCTTCTGGATTGTACATGTAAGTCAAGTCCTAGTAAAATCACCACTATGTAAATTTGTGTCTGTAAATCATTTCCTATTAAAATTTATACCATTTTACGTGATAATTTGATTTTCATGATTCCATACTAAGCAAATAATCAGACAATCCCCAGAAGGGCTGACCCTTCCCCTCTATACCCACCCAAATCTACACATTTATTAAGGCCACGGATTTTCTCCACCTCTGAGAAACTTTAAGGCCAGAATGAGCTCTCTCTCCTCTGAATTTCTAATATCCTTAGTGTCTTTGCATCTGATGCCTGGCATTACTGGTAATTAATTTATTCAAACTTAACAAGCTTTGATGATACCCGCAATAAACTGGGAGTTATGTTAACACTGGAGAGACAAATGATATGAGACACAGCCTGTGATCTTGACAGGTCATCTCCTACCCTTTCTCCTTAACTGGGTTAGGGTCCCCTTGAAAGTAAGGACCAAAGCTTATTTATTTTTATATCTGAAGTACTTCACACAAAACATAGACAAAATATAGCAGATACTGAGCTAATTACTAAACATTTTGGTGAGATTCATTTAATGATACGAGGCTGGGCATGCTGGCTCATGCCTGTAATCCCAGCACTTTGGGAGGCTGAGGTGGGCGGATCATTTGAGGTCAGGAGTTTGAGACCAGCCTGACCAACATGGTGAAACCCCGTCTCTACTAAAAATACAAAAATTAGCCAGGCATGGTGGCATGAGCCTGTAATCCCAGCTACTTGGGAGGCTGAGGCAGGCGGATCACTTGAACCTGGGAGGCAGAGGTTGCGGTGAGCCAAGATCATGCCACTGCACTCCAGCCTTGGCGACAGAGCCAGACTCTGTCTCGAAAAACAAACAAACAACAACAAAAAAGTCATTTAATGATAAAATGTGGTGTTATCAGTTTCAAAATCCTTAATCCAAAAGGTTTCTTATGGCAGGCTAACATCAACTGAGACTGTCTCAGCCTTGGATAGTTTGACCTTGACTGATGGATAATTTGGGATGAACTTAATTTCCAAGGTGAATATTAATTAGCCCATACTTCCTCTTATCTATAAAACAAAAACAAAGCACCCCTCAAAATTTTTTTTGGCTAGGAAAAATGTTCCAAGAATATATTTATGTATTTTTGGAAAATACATTTCTATGCCATTAAACTCCAAATAATGAAATAAGGATACTTATTAAGGGCCTGTGGCAACGTTATCTGCATTTTAGAGATGAGGTTACTGAGCCTCCGAGAGGTCAACAGATGCTAAAACTAGTAAGCAGTGAATCACCAATTTATTCCAGGCCTCCTCCAAGTGCACTGTTCTATTTCCCTAATAAACATATGTAAGTGTTTTAGAAATAGATGTTCCTAGGGGAAATTCTGTGTACCTCAAAATACCTCAAAATTAAAGTCACTCAATGACGAGAAACAGAAAGACGTCTTGTTAGTGGATTCTGCCCATGTTCACCCCTCCTTCATCATTCACGTCACATTTACTTTTTCTAACACACATTTTGCCTGTGTTTTCTTACTTAGGTCACTATGCTCATTTTTAATTTGAAAAATGTCTATGAGTGGTGAGGATAAGCCATGAGACAGTTACGTGCATGGAACATGGGCCTTCCAAGGTACATAAACTCTTTAAGGATACCAATAGAAAACAGGGTCCCAGTAGGAAACAAAGGCCACACTCAGATTAGAATAATTCAAGGAGAATTTAATAAAGAGATTGTTTACAAATCATGTGTTTCCTTAGTACATCAGATTTTTTTTTTTTTTTTTTTTTTTTTTTGGTAAATAGCTGTTACTGCCCTTAGACTTGAAGGGACAAGGAGAAGGAGAAGATGCAGGAAGAAAAGGAAGTTCTCTGTAACAGTAGCAGCAGAGCCAGCCCAAAATAACTTCAAGGAGATGGAGTCTGGGAGTCAACATGCTGGCCTCACTCTCTTTCAGCCCTCTGATTCCCTGCCAGGGATTCCCCATGGGTCAAAGCCAATGGGATGCCTCCTTCTGAAGCCACAGGAGCCTGCTGATAGAGTTCAGAGAGGACATCCTCCCCAGGCAGAGAACAGCGTAGAAAAGTGAAGAATGGATCAGTTGGAGCAAGTCTGAAGTATCTGGCACAGGTAAGTGAGAGTCAGCCCAAAGATTGGCCAAGTAGCACATCTTTCACATAGAAAATAGAACTATCAAATAGTCAAAGGTTGGTACTACGAAGGAATAGTCTACTCAAAATGAGAAGTGTCTAATATATATAGAATGTCCTAAAAAATCTATATGCATTTTGTTAGTAAGATATTAGAATGTATACTAGCACAAAGGCTAAAATGATTATTTACCAGTCTTTACATTGATTTCTTCATAATTAAAAAAGTAAAATATGCTCAACATCATGAAGAAGGCACTGTCAGCAATGGTATCTACAAGAGCAGCATATATTTTGTATTATTAAGATCTTGAAAGAGCTTGTATTTTGTTGGAGGACTTTGTAGTGTGTTTATAGATGCAGAGCCACAAGGTGTGATGAGAACAGCACACCAGACCTTGGAAGTGGAAAACCGGCTGTCACATCATGAACTTCAGAATCCTCACCAATGAAATATCTCCTCTACTCACCCAGCGAGTATGGTTATAATGGACACATGAAAGTCCCTAATATATCATAAAATATTGCACACCATATGCCTTTCTATATATCTCTTTATGTATGTATGTCAGAGCTTCCTAGTCAACTGAAAGCTTCTTTGGAATAGATGGTGCTCGTTTTCCAGAGAATCTACCACACAGCCTGAAATATAGTAGATGCTCAATCAATTTTTTCGTGATACATAGATACAAGTCAGCACTTTCTCAGTATTTAATGAGACTCAGTCAGGCCATCCTCCTTAATAGGGATTTTAGATGGAGAAACAAAGACATAGAGTCAGGGAATTTCCACAAAATATGATTGTTATTAGTGTGTGCCAAAGCATGTTACAAAGCAAGTGCTTTGCGGCAAATTCATCAGAAACGAAGAGTCAGAGGAGGGGCAGGTGTGTGGACCAAGAAAGAGAATATATATGTCCAGGTCCCAAGAGGAAGTAGCACCGTTGCCAGCCCAGGCACTCCCAGCAGAAGCACAGGTACAGGTATAGGTATGCCCTAAGCACAGCCTCCCTCCAGAGATCTTTTCTCCCCAACCAGCCATGCCCTTGCAAGATTTCCTGACATTATCCCTCGCAGCCAGGGCTCTTTTGTTGCTGGCTGTTAAAAAGTGAAATCTTTTATGGTGTATATAAGCCAGAGGTGACACAATTAAATGAAACTATTTGTCACATAAAATTTACATCAGCAGGAATTAAATGTCAAATAATTTAGGATTGACAGCCTCCACTGAGTCATAAAGACTCTGAATTAGTCTTGTGAAGGGTATTCTCATACAGTCCCTAATAAACTCCACTCCACCTAAGACTGACTTTCCAAAGTACCAAAAGAGGAATGTCAATAGTGAGATTGCCTTATTCCTCACAAAAAGTTGAATGGAGATTAAAAAGTCATCTTTTACTGACTATGCAGCTTTCTTAATGCAGGAAAAAACAGGGTAGAGAATACGGCCCACAGGAAAGTGTACCCCGAAGAAGCTTTGCACATCCTCTCCTTGACCAGATATAGCTGTGTGACCTTGGGCCGATCACACCACTTCTCTGATTTACAGGTAATGCCATCCTCTCCTTTTAACTGCTACATTAAACTATTTTTTCCTAATTACTAGAATTTATTTTTAGAATAATTTTATGAAAAAAATAGACAGTACAGAGTTCTTATATACCCTTCTGCTCCTCCATTCTCCCAGTTTCTCCTAGGATTAACATCCTGCATTAGTGTGGCACATCTGTCACAAATGATGAACCACACTGATACATTATTAAAGTCCACAGTATTATATTAGTGCTCACTCCATGTTTATAGTCCTAAGGGTTTTGACAAATGTTTAATGTCATATATCTGCCATTACAGTGTCATACACAATAGTTTCACTGTTCTAAAAAAATCTGCTCATGCAAATCCCATTCATTCATCTATTCAACATAATACTAAGTACTGGAGACACAAAGATAAATAGCACACTGCTTGTACCTAGTAGGCACTGGGAAATATGCACATCGATGGAGTCATGGATGATGATCATCATCATAGTAGAGATCCCCGAAGCATGAATATAAACAGTTAACATGCATTAAGTATTAAACTGTACCAGCCAGAGTTAGATATTTTATATAATTTTATGTGATTACACCCTCCCAGCCACCTATGTGGTAGATGCTATTATCATACCTTTCACATATGAGGGCCTGAGAGAGGTCCAGTGGCCTCCTCTATTGGGAACACATATGAACTCCAGAAAAGTTAGAATTGAGTCAAGTTTCTAAAACAATTGGGTTCCCTGAGTGCCTAGTAGGAAAAGGGGCATGCAGAACAGGAGGAACATTGGCACAGTGAAGTCACAGTGCATACATGCGCTCAGATGCCTAAGTGAATCAATGTGTTGGTTTAAACAGGGCAAATAGGAGGTTGCAAGAGACGATGCTGAAGAGGACAAAAGCCAATTCCTGCAAAGTCTTATGTGTGCTGTTCAGGAGTTAGATCTTTATTCTATAGACAGGGAGTGCAAGGGAGGCTTAATATGATTTAGTTAGCATTTTGGAAAGATTATTCTAGAGAAGGATTTAGAACAGTTTGGAAAGCTGAAGGAAAACTAATTATGAGACTCAGTTGAGTGGATGACACTTGGTGAACACATACTATGTACCCACACTGTACGGAGGGCTTTGCATGAAGTGTCTCACTTTTTCATCGCCTCATTTGAGGCCAAGTAGGAGATGATGGGAATCTACACCAGTGGGCATGGGGATGATGAGATATATTTTAGAGATGTTAAGGAGACCAAAGGCATAAAGCTTGGAGACCATTTAGAGGTTTGGTCAGAAAAAATGACAGAAAAATGTTCGGTCTAAGATTTCTGACTTGAGTAGGGAGATTGCAGATGATCTCATGTATTGAGAATAGTAACAAAGGAAAATTATCGGGTGTATAGCGAAAGTCAGAGCATTCAGATTTAGTTGTGTTGCTGTGGACTTGCCTGTTGACTACCCAGATGGTTGAATACTCAAGTCTATTGCATGGCAGAGATGACGAGGTTAAACACACACACACACACAAACACACACACACACACACACACACTTAGAAATGATCAGCAAATAGTAGCTGCATCAAGCTAACCTGGGAGAAGATAAAACCTATCTAGGGAGAACATGTGGAATGAGAAGAGAAGTAGGCTAAAAGGTAAGTCTTGCCAAGGACAGAACTCACAAGGGAAAACTCATAAGGGATTTCTGGGGCGTGAGAAGGAATCACAAAAGGTGATAATTAGAGAGGAATAATTAGATGGATAAGAGGAGAAACAGAAGGGGAAGAGGATCATAGAAATTAAGAAAGGAAAAAGATTCACAAATAATGGAGTGGTTGACAGTGTCAAATGCCTCAGGGAGGTTGAATATGATGAGGACTGAAAGGAGTCAATTAGATTTGGCATTAGGACATTACTGATGATCCTGGTAGAAGAGCTTCACTTGAGTGGTAAGTACAGAAGCCAGATGGTCGAGTGATGAACAGGGAGTGAACGATGTGGAAGTACAGACAGCATGTGTAGATTATGCCTTCAAGAAATTGGACTGTGAAGGAGGCAAGAAGATTGAAAATGACACTTAGACAGAGAATTTCTTTTTAAGATGGGACATTTGGGTCTGTTTATCAACCATAGGAAAGCAGCCAATGGAAAAGCAGGAGAATTGAAAACAGTAAAGAAAGGAAAAATTTGATGGAGCAAGGTCTTGAAGAGTGAAGGGGTGGATGCGACTAGAAAGGGGAATAATTCTTCTTTGAAAATTGAGGAAAGGTAGAAATCTAAGCTCTGCTTATATGAGGAGTGAATCAGATCTGTGAAGCGCATCTGGAGGATGCAGGTGAGGGGCACGGAGCTGCTGGGAGTCTCTTTACAGGACCTTCCAACCTCAGAGAAAGAGCTCTTCCTAAATGAAACAGAATGGTGGGAAAGAAAGTTAATGGGTAGGAAGGAGTATTGAGTGTACGATGCACTGTCTGTCATTTGAATTGTATCTAGTGTAGACCACAAGAGTGTATGTCTAAGTTTTAGGATAAAAAAACTAGAAATAGAAGGTGGAAATAAAAGTAAGGCACAGCTCTGCTGAAGTCTTATGAGACATAAAGAACTCAGACCTGGGGCAGCTTTAGTGTTGCCAACAGGTTCAGCAGCAAAGGACTTAGCCAGACATAGTGACTTCAATTCTGGGCATTAGTCTCAAGAATAACTGTAGAATGTGTTGGGGATGCCACATCCTGAGACAGAGAGTGATTGGCTGGAACATCTCAGGCTCCATTCTAGTCTCTCCTAGAAACAAGATGTCCTTCAATGCTTTAGCTCACTGGTCCTCTTGTTCCCAGGATATAAAGCCCAGTGTGGGCTGCTTTCCTGCATCTCTTAGATGTGGTGCAATTGAGATATGTACAGTGGAGACTCCATCCACTCCAGGCAGCTTTCCTGAGACTTTGGGGATCAGCTTGCGATATATCCCAGGCTTTTGCCTAAATTCTGTTTTGCTGCCTATCTGTATGTTATAAATCCAACTTACGTAACATGGTGTGTGTCCAGTGGGTGCTCTGTCACATTGGATTAAGACAAGTTGATAACCTTTGCACAGTGAGCCTGTTTCACACTCCTCTCTTTCTCCTCCAATATTTGAGGAGTTGGGATTTTATGCCATGACCCCTGTTGTATCAGACTAACTACAGCCAGATAAATAATTATAAGCCCTTAGAAGTCATCGTATGGAGAGAATTCCTGCCCAGGGTGTTGGGCAACATGAACTCTAAGATTCCTTCCATCTCTGATTGTCTGGTCTGCCATTCCCCATAAACTAAGTGTAAAATCCCTGAACTCACGAAACGCATTCTGTTCCTTTACCTACAAGCCTCATTCAGTGTACACAGCGAATGCTCAGTAAATTTATATTTCTGGGGTGATCAAAACTTTTTAGAATCTCCTGGGCTTGCAGAGACTAAGGCCAGCTCACAATCGGAGGGAATGTGCACACCACATAAATTTTCAACAGAAGAATGTTCCCTCCAGCTCCCACATCTGCCTCAGCCTGCAAAGCCTTGAATTCATCAGGAGATTGAGCTGATGCTGCCCCTGTGGCTTGCTGTAAAAAGGCGTATCACTAATGCCACAAAGGCACTCCCCTTCCCTCCCAGACTGTACCGCATTTTGTAGCAATACATGTTGCCAAAAGAACAAAAATCCCATTGACACATCCATGGCTGACAAGGCCTTAATTTGTGTCTGTTGATGCTGGCCCCTGACTCCCTTGTCATTAATTACACATCAATGACACATTTGCCTGTGTAATGGAGAGAGTGAGAGAAGGGGAAGAGGAGGATGCATCTTAACAACCTTGGCATGCCTTGGCTCTGGGGACCCTGGGAGCCTGTTCAGGGGCAATTATAAATACAAACACTGCAACAGGCTTGCCTAGATTAACAGAGAAAATAAGATCTCTTCTCCAAATGAAGGAAATTGCTGATGTTGTATATTCAGCATGCTTACACGGAGGGTGAGGGGAATAAACAGCTGTCTGAGGATGTAAGACATTGCATTATTAATATCATCATGATAATTTACATGTCTTCTGTGCCTTAAAGTTTATGGGGTTTTTTTAATCAAATATTTTATTTGATCCTCTCTATTATGGCAGGAAATATTTTTTGTCTTATACACAGTGCCTAAGTTAGTGTCACACACATTGCAGACATTCTATAACTATTTAGTGAATGAATACATAAATGGACTAATAAAAGAATGTTAAAGTAGGACCTCCCTTAACACTGTGTTCATATTTCAGGTGAACAAACTAAAGTGCAGAACATTTTAGGAACTTGCTCAGATTCCTGGGATTGATAGGAGGCAGTGTCAGGACTGAGTCCCAGGTTTTATTCTTCCTGGGCCCTGGTACTCTCCCCCTTATTTTCTCTTGTGAGGTACTTTTGCATGAGTGTGACCATTAAAAATCTCCCTGTCACAGAACCCACAAAATATGTGCACCTATTACGTAAAAAATAAATACCTGTTACAAAACTCCTTCAGTGAGCATCTCCCCATCCTGTCAGTGGTGCATTCTCTAGAACGATGCATACACAGCACTGAGCTCTGCTGACTACCACAAAGAGGAGGGTTTGGGACAGATGCCAATCTCAGCAAATGAAGAAGTGATTTCCTGCTGGCCATGGCTTATGGGGCCCTGGCTCTTTAGGAGGACTACTTGCAAGGCAGAGTTCTCTCCAGAGGCTTCAAGTGGTACCAAAGCAATGGGGCTCCCACAGACTGTGAGCTCCTGTGATGTTTCAGACACTGGATGTCCATTCTTTCTGTGGGCATGGTGCTGGTTTTGTCTTACCTTTTTGCGTATGAATGCTGTGTGTCCTAATTCCTTCTGTGCATTGTTGATACATAGTGTCACTATTCCATAATGGAACTTTAGCAAAGCTTTTTGAACTGGAAAAACATTGTCCCTTGGAATAGAAATATAGACACGATGACATTTCCTGGGTAACACCACTAAACATGCCCTAACAGCAGTATCTTAGTAGTGCCAGCTCTCTAGCATGTCATGGAGGTTCTACATGCATCCTCGTACACAGTTCTTGATCTACATAGACCTGAAACACACACGGGGAAGGAAATATAAAAGATTGATTTTCTAATCTCCAATGCTATATTAAAAAGCACTATAAAATAAACAACACTGCTGGAGTCTCTGGTAGGTTCCCACTTACTTGTAGAAAATGACGTAAGTCCAGAAAAGCACAACTATACCTCACAGAGGAGTACAGAAATCTTAACTGTAATAAAAACTTGCAATACAATTGCTGAGATTGCTCACCCAACAGTCAACAACTTTTGGCAGACACGCTCCTAATACAGTGTGGGAGACGGTTCCAGGCCAAGAATATAAAGTAGCTGTCTATTTTATTAAAGTAAAAAAAATAAGTTGGGAATACACAAATTCTGCGATTGTTACATTGAAGTATTTAAACTTTCTCTAGTGAAATAATGTGAAACAATGGTAATCTCTACTACCTACTCTAGTTCTAGTCCGATAATCTAGCCCAGTATTATTTAAACATGGTCTCAGAGCTCCACAAGTTCTAATATGTACATTTTTAGTTCCTGCTTTTGCAAATAGCTGCCCCAATCAAGTTGGTTTCATGTAATCACCAAATATGATCACCAAAAGTACAATTATATTTGACATCTTGATAGACACTTCTGGCAGAATTTAGGTTCGTATGTTCAAATGTAAAAATATATATATATAATATATATTTTAATATATAAAATATATATATTTTATATATAAAATATATATTTTTTAAATATAAAATATATATATATTTTAATATTAATATATATATATTTTAATATATAATATATATATTATATATTTTATATATAAAATATATATATTATATATTTTATATATAAAATATATATATTATATATTTTATATATTAAAATATATATTTTATATATTTTAATTATTAAAATATATATATTATATATTTTAAATATAAAATATATATATTATATATTTTAATATATAAAATATATATATTATATATTTTAATATATAAAATATATATATTTTATATTTATATATATAAATATATATATTATATATTTTAATATATAAAATATATATATTATATATTTTAATATATAAAATATATATATTATATATTTTAATATATAAAATATATATATTATATATTTTAATATATATAAAATATATATATTATATATTTTATATATATTAAATATATATTTTATATATTTTAATATATAAAATATATATATTAAATACATATATATATACTTACATTCCACATCTTCCCATTATATTAACCCTGAATTTTCTTACGGTTTTATAGGCAAGATTGTTTTACATGTATCATTGAAAGATAATTTCCACAAAATAAGACTTTAGTGTCTTAAGTTATTTACTAAACTAATTGTATTCATTACCTGTTGCTGCACAACACATTACCCCAAAAGTCAGCAGCTTAAAACAACAGACATTTCTTATCTCACCATTTCTGTTGGTTGAGAATCTGGGCCCAGCACAGCTGGGTCTTTTGCTTCAAGGTCCCTTTCAGGTGGCAATCAATGTGTCAGTTGGGCTGCAATCATAGCAAGGCTCAACTGGGGAAGGATCACGTCACTGTTGGAAAGAGTCAGTTCTTCATGGGCTGCTGGACTGAGGATCTGGGTTGCCAGATGGCAGTTGGCTGGTGGCTTACCCCCCAGTCCCTTGCCATGTGCACCACTTCAAAATGGCAGCTTGGTCCACCAAAGTAGACAAACCAGAAAGGCATTAGAGAGAGTTTGCTAGCAAGATGGAAGTTACAAACTACTGTAACCAACCACAGAAGTGACATCTTATAATCTTTGCCATATTCTATCAGGAGCAAGCCACCAGGTCCAATCCATATTCAAGGAGGGGAGATTATACAATGGTGTGAATATCAATAGGAGTGGGTATTAAGGACCCTCTTAAAAGTCTGCCCATCATAGGGATTTTTGTATTAACACCATGAAAATTAAAATGTGCTAGGTGCAATTTTTAATTGCTGTGGCTAATAAAACACTAACAGCTTTAATGTGAAAAGAAGGTGTTTGAACCAAGTGGGGAACTGATGTACTTGATAAACCAAGGTTTAAGTAGCTCAGACACAAACAAATAGGAGAATTAAATCTTTGCCCACCACAGTAGAAACATCTTCCCAAGTGCATAATATCCAACAACCCAAACCACAGCCATCAGTGCCATTTTCACCTTTAAGTCATAGATTAGTTTCAGGAAAACATTATCAGCCATATCCAAATAATAGTATTTTTCTGAATATTATTAAAATAGCAGTTGAATTGTTTGTATAAAATTGGTGCATTTTCTCCATTTAATAGTTCTTTCAGAGTCAAGAGCTACAAGCACAAGAAGTTTGTACTACAGTGTATAATAACACTGTAACAGGAATGTGTGGCACATTACTGGAGCTTGAGAAACATGGCATTCAGCTTATGTTTTTTAACTTTTATTTTTGGTTCAGGGGTACATATTCAGGTTTGTTATATAGGTAAAGCTATATGTCACAGGAGTTTGGTGTACAGATTATTTTGTCACCCAGGTAATAAACATAGTACCAGATAGGTAGTTTTTTTTTTATCCTCTCCCTCCTGCCACCTTCCACCCTCAAGTAGGCCCCAGTGTCTGTTGTTCCCTTCTTAGTGTCCAAGTGTTCCCCTCTTAGTGTCCACTTATAAGTAAGAACATATGGTATCTGGTTTTCTGATTCTGCATTAGTTTGCTTAGGATAATAGCCTCCAGCTCCACCCACGTTGCTGCAAAGGACATGATCTTATTCTTTTTTATAGCTGCATAGTATTCCATGGTGTGTCAGTACCATATTTTCTTTATCGAATCTACTGTTGATGGGCATTTGGGTTGATTCCATGGCTTTTCTATTTTTAATAGTGCTGAGATGAACATACACATGCATGTGTCTTTATGGTAGCATGATTTATATTTTGGGGGTATATACCCAATAATGGCATTGCTGGGTCGAATGGTAATTCTGTTTTAAGTTCTTTGAGGAATTGACACACTGATTTCCACAATGGTTGAATTAATTTACATTCCCATCAGCAGTGTGTAAGCATTCCCTTTTCTCAGCAACCTCAGCAGCATCTGTTATTTTTTGACTTTTTAATAATAGACATTCTGAATGCTGTGAAATGGTATCTCATTGTGGTTTTGATTTGCACTTCTCTGATGGTTAGAGACGTTGAGCATTTTTTCATATGCTTGTTGGTGGTATGTATCTCTTTTTTCCAGCTTGTTTAAAAGGCCAGATGCCTTAGCATTCAGAAGAGCCTGCAGATTCTCTCAGGAATCTGAAAGCTAACCAATTAGCATTTGAGTATTTCATAAACTTCATTTCAGTAATAATACATTGAGATATTAAACTAAAATGTCCCCCATTTTTTATGAGTATCATTGCCCTGTTGTTGTTTAGGGGAGGGAGGAGCCAAATGAAAATAAAGAGGTTCTTGCTCGGCACTGAATTTCAGAGAGGGTTTTTGAAATCTAGGGTGAAATAATAATCCTAACAGCCTAGCTGTGTTGAAGGAGAAAATGACATTTCAATTCCAAAAGATTCCTTCTCTATATCAAGAGCAATACTTTTAGTTTAAGGATAGAGCCATGGGGTGGAGAGAATGGACAGGAAGCCCGATTATTCAGAAAGAAGGAGACGGTTCCACTGCTGAGAGAAGGTGGAAGAGAGACTCAGAAGGGCAAATAAGAGGCTGAAATTCAGTGGTATTCTCTCTCTCTCTCTCTCTCTTTCTCAACAAAACCTCAGGGTAGGGAGGGAAAGATGGCAGGGGAGTACAAACCTCCATGTCAGGAGGGAATCCATAAACCCTGAGGTGGTCCCTCAGGATGCCAGCTCTCAGCGATGTGCTGCTTCTGGCAACTGGAAAAATTTTTGTGTCCAATTGTGTGGTGGATTCTGCTGTAGCAGAAGGAAACATTTAGAGAGGTGGGCCTGAGAGGAGGATCCCAGCAGTTCATAGGATGATGCCCCAACAGAGGCCCAAGATTGTGGCAAGGAGCCCCAGACTATGGGGTCCTAGAAATTCTAGACACATTGGCAACCATGTTTTGGCCTAGTGTTGGTAAACCCACTAACTTCATCAAAAAGCCCACATCCATAAGGGTTTCTTAGAACCCTTATTGGAACTGGTAGAAAAGGGGAGTTCTTATTGTCTCTCTCTGGGGAGCTTCATTTGCTGTTTTGCAGACTCTTGGCATCTGGTAATATCCATGTTCTAAGGAGAAAGAGATAGGAAAGGCACCTTGACTCCAGTAACATGAAGCTCAAAGACATTGCGGCCCCACCTCATGTGACTGCTGGGGGCTCCCCCAGGACTCCCAACATTTCCACTGTGTTTTTGTCAGCAAGCTGTCTTTACTGGATAACTCTCCAGGCTCCTAAAGCCAATGCAATATGACAAGGATGCCTTTGGTGTGCCACCCAGGCAGAAGACTTTGCTTGAGAACCCAGGGATTCCTGTTCTGCCGTCCTTGGGTAATCTGACAGGGTTGCTGACACAGATTTCTCTAATTGTGCTCATACTTTCTCTCCTCCCTTCCTTTATTCTTCCCCTTTCCCTTTAAAATTGGATAAACTCGAGAATGAGTTTCACTTTCTTTGACTCTAGAAAATGGGACAGTACCCTATGCATCTCAGCTGCCTCAAAGACCCTCTATCCCATGGGAGCCCACAGCACCAAGAACCCTGCGAGATGAGGCAGGAAGAAACCAGGGAGTCTCTTCATGCTTCTGCTTTTCTACAGTTTGTGGTCTGTGGTATGGAAGTGTCTTGTTTTTTTCAGGCAGCTATAATAAAAATACCACATGCTGTGTGGCTTATAGACAACGGAAATTTACTTCTTGCAGTTCTAGAGGATGAGAAGTCCAAGGTCAAAGCACCAGCAGATTCGGTGTCTGGCAAGGGCCCGCTTCCTTGCCAGTGAGCTATTTTCTCACTGTGTCCTCAAATGGCAGAAAGAGAGGAAGTTTTCTGAGATTCTTTGCATGAAGCTGCTAATCCAATTCATGAGGGTTCCATCCCTATGACCAAATGGCCTCCCAAAGGCTCACCTCCAAATACCATCACACTGTGGCTTAGGATTTCAACCTAAGAATTTGGGGAGACGTAAATATTCAGCCTGCAGCAGGGATATGTGACAACACAGATGATCTTTTTATCCATGGCCTCCAAAATATCTAATCTCAGATTTATTATTTTCCAGATTTTTTTTCATCTGGCAGCTGCTCAAGTTCCTAAAGAATATATATGAATGATACTTCGGTAAGTGAGGAACACCTCCAGATCTCTTTTCTTCCTGGTGTGCCTGGTACAAAATAGGCATTCATAAATGCTTGTTGAATGAATCGATGACTTGTGAACAGGGAAATCTCTATGTACTGAGACCCTGATGGCCTTGGGGTTCACCTAAGGCTGCTTTCTGTACAAAAATGTTTGATGTTACTACTCCAGGGCTTTTCTCCTGATAAGCAGCCATGGCCACTCTGAAGCCAATCTGCCCTAGAAATCTTAGGATTTACTTAATTAACCTCATGATGCTCTTGACACACATTGAGAATGGGAAAAAATGATGGCACTGACATTGCTCAAAAGCACGATGGATTACACTTCCTTCCATATGACTGCCTCTTTTCAGCCCCATCTTAGTTCAGCTACCTGTTGTCAACCGTATCACCCGGGATCCAAAAGAAAGAGTCAGCACTGTTCTCAAAGGAGGCAAAAGGGGAATGCTTTTGATGTTTCTCTTTGTGGGCACTCTGCTTGCATCTTGTAAATTCTTATGAGCTTGCAATAAATAGTACGTGCCAGGGAGCCCTGTTCAAAGTCCCTAGATGTACTGAGTCACCCTCAACATCTTGGCATCTAATAAATCACTTACATCCATGTGTGTGCTCCCCATAGCCTGGTAGCCCCACATCCAATCTAGAGGAACCACAGAAAACAATTTTCTTAGCAAATGGGAGCAAATAAAGGACATTATCTTCAAACAACCCACACAAAATGAAGCTAACAACCCACACAAAATGATAAGATAAAAAGAAATGTATTCCATCATAAAGGCCCTCACCAGGTGGGCAACATGGACAATGTGTTATGGGCCTAATTACCAGAGAGTCCAGTCAGTGAAAAATCTCATGCAAAAGGCTTCCTTTTCCCTCTGACCAGGAATTAGGACTCAATGCTAAAAGGAATCTTGTTGCTGTGGTCAGAAAGAAGAAAACTGGACTCTACATTTTAGTTCTACTATCATGTAGTAATTTTCTCTTCAATTACTTTCATCTATGTACAATTCAAATGTCTCAGATCCCCGAAAAAAACCCATCAAAAGTCCCACATTTGTACAAAGAATTCGTAGGAATGTTCCTGGTCTAAGATGAAAAGAGAAATGGAGAAGGTGTGTGTGAAACCATCTTTCTCCTTCCAAATGTGGATTCAGGGTGCCATTCTCTGTGACACGCTATCTCTATACACACATGCAATTGTACATTTTAGTCACATGACCATTTTCTTCTTGGCCATATTATAAAAATTCTACTAAACCATAAAATGTTTTACCTGTAGATGAAAAGGGATTTTTGTTTATGCCCCTGAAGTTGAAGCTTCAGTGATACAGGCTCTAAGGTGGATGTTACAAGAACAGCAGAAAAGACAGAAACCAGGAGAGACAGAAAGAAAATGGAAATAACTGCAGAGACAATGAAGCAGAATTCAGCTTCTTTTTTTGAAGCTTAACATCTGCTTCCTCCATCCCTCCTAGAGCACCTTGTTTCCCAGGAATGAAGAGCCAGGAAAAGCCTCGAGTGCTGTGATTGGAAATGAGCTAGCCAAAGGCAGATTCACCATTAAAATGTGAATCCGTTATTCCACAAGGAAAGAAAACAACACCATGTACGCTAGTGGTAAGTAGAAATGCCATCACATTTGGGGCATGAAAACCGGAGGCAATACTCGCAGTGAAACAAACTGTCAACTATGGCTGGAAAATCCAAGTGACCTTTCAAATAAGGAATCGTTACCTACCCAGGTGGACAGTAATTTTGAGTGGTTCTTAGTCTCTGCCTCAGGTGAGATTTCTGGCAGCAGACACAGCATCACATGTCTTGTTTCTTTTATCCCAAAAATTCTCCCTTCACAATGATGAAAAGTTGAAAGAATTGGGTTTTTTTAAAAGACAAAAGGCCTATACTCCATACAAGCTTTGTAACTGCTGAATCCTGTGGCCTGGGATGCGGGACTTAACCTCTGAGCTTCAGTCTTCTCAACTACAAAATGGGGATAATAACAGCCACTTTCTTGTGTTACTGAAACAATAAAATGGAAAATGTTCACAGCCCACTGTCTTGCCTATTATTAGTAATCAATAAACATTAGTTGCTTTCTTCCTTCTCCTACTCACCAAGACTAAACTCTACTCTGAGTCACTAGCATGCCAGGTAGCTCAGTCTCCTGACTTTAAGGAACTTCTTTCCCAAGGGACAATTGATGGAAAAAAGCACTGAGCTTTTGGGAGCCCCAGAAACATGGAGCTAAGCCACTGGTTTGCAAACACTTTTAAAGTGCTTAACCCTTTATTAAAAAGAAAGCTCATATAAATGCATATAGATCTAAGTTAAAACATGGCTTTTGGCCTTTCTGCTCCTCTGAGTGCCACCCCACCAAGGAAATCTCTAAACAGAGTTCCAAAAGCTTGCACTTAATGGTCCCCACGTGCCCTCTTTAATCTATGAATACTATTGACCCATTTTTTATGTGCTTTAGGTTTTTTTAGATATATATCTGTCTTTAACAGCAACTCTCATTTTAATTAGCCTTCAATCCTTAGACAAAACTCAGAAACACCTGCCACAATGTCTGGAATTTTATTAGAAATTTACTCCTTTGAATCTTGAAGGCTTTTTCATTTTTCAATAGTCACCCAGAAATTGTAAACTCCCTGAAAGAATCTGTACCTTCTTCAGGGTTTTGACCAGTCTGTAAGGATAAGATGCAGCCTGACTAAATGATAGATGCTCAAGACAGAATACGGAGAAGCCAAGAGCAGATAGAGTAGACAGAAAGCTAGAGCTAGAAAAAAAAGACTCCCTGTGCCTCGAAATAAACCCTGTCCTCTAACTCTTATACTTTTCTATTATTCTTTAAAGGGACACAATTTTATTGGCTATATGAAACAAAACCTTTCCCAAAATTTGCACTGTCTTACTACTCAAGGCAAAAGATGGATTTTAGATGTAATTTCAAAACTAAACAGGGTGATTATTTATTGTCTTCATACTGTTAAGTACCTGTTCTAGACTTTGTTAAAAATATGTAAAGAAATAACTCAGTTTCATGTCTTGAAGACATAAATTAAGAAGAGTGATCAAGAACTCACCATGGGAATGGGTCCATACAGGAATTTGTGGCATGCCTACAGAGTTGAAGAAGGGTCACCTCTCTTCTCTGACACATGAAAAGAAGAAAAAAAAAGTCCATGAAGATAAGAGTAGACCTAAGAGGGTAATTTCTTAATTATTTAATGTACATTTAACGTACAGATGCATAGTATTTTCCCCCAGAGCATCTATATTTTGTCCCCGTTTGATAAAGCCCTTTACTATGTATTACGCAATCTGGGGCTTGGGGATAATTAGTGGAATAAAAGTTGTGTCCCACTTTCTCTTCCTCACAGCAATATTAACCTGGCATCCCAAAACTTGAATTTCAAAACTACAGTCAGTTCTGTTATAATGTAATATAGTATTCCTGAACATCACCATGCTATGCAAAATTGTACAAGAAAAATTACAGGGTTTAAGAAGAAAATGGGAGCACAACATTTAAAAATGTTGTCAGTGACATGTAAACAAAAGATAGGAACTAAATAAAAATGATAGTTTTACACAAGTTAAATGGCTAGTAAATATTGCAAAAAAATGTGACTCCTTATCTTGAAAAAAAACCTGAAGTGGCCTATGTATGTGAATTTAGGAAGGCTGCAGCTTGTAAGTTACTGGGAAACGGAGGAAGGAGGGTTAGTTGAAATCACACAATGTGAAATCAGACAGGGTCTAAGAAGACAATGGGAGCACAACATTCAAAATTGTTGTCCATGACATGTAAACAAAAGACAGGAACCAAATAAAAATGGTAGTTTTACACAAGTTAAATGGCTAGTAAATATTGCAAAAAATCTGACTCCTTATCTTGAAAAAAACCTGAAGTTTGCCTATGTATGTGAATTTAGGAAGGCTGTAGCTTGCAAGTAACTGGGAAATGGAGGAAGGAGGGTTAGTTGAAATCAGACAATGTGGAAAGGTCAGGTGTGGAGGGATACAGCTGATAATACACATAGTGAGCTGACAGAGCTGGTAGACATGCACATGCTCATTTTGTGAATTCTTCCATAGCCCAATACAACAGAGTGCAATTTCTGCATTCATCCAGCATTCCCTGTGGACAAAACTGTGAAAGAAAATGCAAAATCACATTGTGCTCAGTTCACCTCCTAATATTTCAATCTTGTTGAAACAAATTTGTGTCTTCAAAACAAGCATTATAGAAGAACTGACTATATCTGGAATTTTCAGGTTCTTATCTCTCACTGCCACCCTTCTTTCCACTTGCAGAATAAATTCTCCTAATACAAATCTCATCTTTTGTTTAAGATCTCTTAGAAGAAGCAGACATTCAGATGAATGTTTCAGGTGATAAACGAGGCAGGATTTTAAAAGACAGAGAGATTGTGGTTTGCTCAGTTCTCTGTCAAAGTTTCCTTGCTGAAGCATAATTGAGCCTGATATTGAAGAACAGTAGAGTTGGGAGAGAAGGCAAGGCATAGGCAAGCAGACCTAGGACCCAGACCCAGGACCAGGCTCTGTGCCTACAGGAAAGAGTCTTGTTTCTAACAGGGCTCAAGGTATTAGTAGCTACTCTTGATGCTGACTTGAAGAATTTTACATTTACTAGATGTTCCTATCTACCCTTTTTAACTTGCTAAGAATACCATCTGTGAATTTACCTAAATCTCCCTTTTAAGCCTCTAGCTATCTTAAGGAATATTGTCGTGCAAGAGCTGGGCAAGAACCAGGAGCATAGTAATTGGGACATTCACTCACCAGTATTGAATTGACCAATCACTGTTTGCGATGCCACCTAAGTGGAAAAGGAAAGCTAAAATCACATTCTTATGAGTCTAGCAACTTCGTGGCAAGTCTCTGTGGAGCTCAAAGCCATCCTAAATTACAGAGCTTTTATATTCTGTGGCTGACAGCTGCTTCTTCCCTTACCGGTTTTTCTCTACTATTGGTATTTGGGGTGGTGCAATTATTTTTTGTGCAGGACTGTCCTGCTCAGTGCAGGACAATCAGCATCCTTATCTAACACCTACCAAATGTCAGTCGTGTACCCTAATCACTGCAAATGTCCAAAATGCTTCCTTCACAAACCCAAACACTTTTGGCAGGTTAGAGCGTTCCCTGAATGAGAACCACTGCCACTGACGTCTCCTTCAGCTGCAAACTTCCTTCTCCCTGCAGATGCAGGCCTGCCCACTTCCTGAGATAAACACTCAAGCAGTTTTCACTCATTTACCTTGGAGAGAATACACTATCTTGGATACAACAGAAGACATTACAGCAGAGAAAAAGGAGAATAGGAAAACTCTACATGCTCCTCACTGTATTACATTACTCTTCTTTAGACAAGAGTCTCACTCTATTGCTCATTGCAATCTCCGCCTCCCAGGCTCAAGGGATTCTCCTGCCTCAGCCTTTTTTTTTTTTTTTTGAGATGGGGTTTTGCTCTTTCACCCAGGCTGGAATGCAATGGCACGATCTCGGCTCACTGCAACCTCCACCTCCCTGGTTCAGGCGATTATCCTGCCTCAGCCTCCTGAGTAGCTGGGATTACAGGCATGTGCCACCTCACCCGGCTAATTTTTTGCATTTTTAGTAGAGACGGGGTTTTGCCATTTTGGCCAGGCTGGCCTCAAACTCCTGACCTCAGGTGATCCACCCACCTCAGCTTCCCAAAGTGCTGGGATTACAGGCATGAGCCACAGCACCCGGCCTCAGCCTCTGGAATATCTGGAATTACAGGTGTGTGCCACCATGCCCACCTAACTTTTGTATTTTTAGTAGAGATGGGATTTCGCCATGTTGGCCAGACTGGTCTCGAACTCCTGACCTCAAGTGATTCGTTGGCCTCAGCCTCCCAAAATGCTGGGATTACAGCCGTGAACCACCACACTGGGCTTACCTTACTCTTCTTATGCATGAAATGTTAATATCATTTCTGTCTCAGAACAGTCCTATAAAATTGGCCGTGGAAAGAAAACTGTGACTCAGAGGTCTGTCCCTGGTCAGGCTGCTGATTTGGGATTAGAATCTGGTTGTCCTCATGTTGCTTCCTCTTGTGCTCATCTTGCCAGCCCTTACTTCCGTTTCTTGGCCCTGGGAAAAGAACCTGAACTCTTTTTCACTAGCATCTGACTTCCTTCTTCCATGTTCTGCAGAAACTTGATTTTGCCATTGATGCTGTTGACCAAATATTTCCAGCTCTCTATCTTCATAGCACATGGTGATATTATACTTCCAGCCCATTTCTGGTTCTTCAAAGCAGCATTACTAGTTCTGGCCAATAAATGGTGAGCATTTAACAGCCAGTGCGAGAAACTCATTCTCTTTTCCCTCTGACGTAACAACTGGCAGCATTTAAGATGTTGTCTCTTCTATCAGCATGGATCCAAAAGTCAGGAAATGTTGAAGCAGAAGCCTCAGCCGAACCAAAATGGACAGCTAGTATGAGCAATAAAAAGCCCTTAGCTGTAATAAATCACTAAGATCTGAGAGTTGTTTGTCACCAATGTGTGATGTATCCTATCCTGACTGATACAGAATTATCTGCTTCTCCCAACATTTGCTCCTGAGTCAGTTCTCAGGTGTTTTGGTGGAATAAAAGAACTTCTCAGATCCATCCCCTATACCACATACGCACACGAATACACACACACACACACACACACACACGCACACACACAACACATGGGCCAGATTCCTTATGAGCTAGTGCCTCTTCTGCACATCTTCCTTACTGTGATGGTTAATACTGAGTGTCAACTTGATTGAATTGAAAGATGCAAAGTATTGTTCCTGGGTGTGTCTGTGAGGGTGTTGCCAAAGGAGATTAACATTTGAGTCAGTGGACTGGAAGAGGCAGACCCACCCTCAATCTGGGTGGGCACCATCTAATCACTGACCAGCATGGCTAAAATAAAAGCAGGTAGAAGTTGGAAGGACTTGACTTGCTGAGTCTTCCAGCCTTTGTCTTTCTCCCATGCTGGGTACATCCTGCCCACAAACATCAGACTCCAAGTTCTTCAACTTTTGGACTCTTGAACTTTCAACAGTGATTTGCCAGGGGCTCTTGGACTTTTGGCCACAGACTGAAGGTTGCACTGTTGGCTTCCTTACTTTTGAGGTTTTGGGACTCAGACTGGCTTCCTTGCTCCTTGGCTTGCAGATGGCCTATTGTGGGACTTCACCTTGTGATAATGTGAGTCAATACTGCTTAAACTCCCCTTCATATATACATCTATCCTATTAATTCTGTCCCTCTAGAGAATCCTAATACACTTAGGATTTTTAAATTTTAGCCATTTCACCTCTCACACTCTTTCCCCTTCCTTTTAAGAGTCTCACTCTGTCGCCCAGGCTGGAGTGCAGTGACGCAATTTCGGCTCACCACAACCTCTGCCTCCTGGGTTCAAGCAATTCTCGTGCCTCAGACTCCCAAGTAGCTGGGACTACAGGTGCATGCCACCACACTCAGCTAATTTTTTGTATTTTTAGTACAGATGGGGTTTCTCCATGTTGGCCAGGCTGGTCTCGAACTCCTGACCTCAGATGATCCGCCCACCTTGGCTTCATAAAGTGAGCCACCACACCCGGCTCTCACTTCCTTTTGAAGCATCAGTCATTCTAGACAGTAGAATTGGCTCCAGGATACCCAGTTGTTTTTGTTTCACTGCAAGTTCTTTAATGATAGGGAATGTGCCTCATATCAACTCTGCCTACCATAGAGCCTGGCACAGAGAAAGCAAAATACAAATACTTGTTAAATAACTAACCTTTGTAATCTAATGCTAAGAACAAAAGGGGAAGAGAAATTATCTAGGCTAACTATTTTTTTCCTCCAAAAGTACTGAGAAGAATAAGGAGTAAGAATACACATGCTAGAGAAGAAATATAATACATTTTTAAAAGTTTGGAAACTCAGAGTTATAAACACATAATCAATTACTACCACAATATAGAAGTTTTTCTTTTCTTTATAACCAAGAAAACTTCTCATTAATTACATCATGCTCCATAAGTTATACTTTATCAGCTATCAAATAAAAGACGTTTTATCTCATTCTAGATCTATGGTCAACAAAAAATTCAGCTCCTAGTTAATATCTGATGAATCCCGGGATGACTCCAGAGGAGACTCGCTCAATAATCCAATAGCTCATTTCACTCTCATCCTACTCAGCTATCCCAGACATCCACTGCCGCCAAAGTGAAATATGATATTGATCTTGCACTGCATTGTTCAGTCTCTGTGAATCCTTGGGGGTCATTTGCCACTGATAGATTAACACAAGTGTGATAATCACTTCGGAAGTAAACTGTCAAGTACGTGCACTACCCTGGATGCTGTACTGAGCACCCAAGAAAATTGGCTTCTCCCTAAGGGGTGTGCTACATAATTACGTTTGATAAAACTCAAAGCTATGCTGTAGAAGCAGCGGTTACTACCAAAACATGCTACCGTTTGTGTCCTCTGAGATGGGGGTCTGTCTACCCCAGGCTTTCAATTTAGGATGTCTTGTTTCTTTCCATTTTCTGGGGATCTCCTAAGCCATAACAAGAATTTAACTTGAGGTTAAAGTAATAGTAACAGTAGAAAAAAGGAAAAATTGTGCTAGCCAAGTATTATACATTTTTATATGCATTACCTTGGAAAGGTGATATAGTAGTTGAGAGTAAGGACTCAAGAGCTAATCTGCTTGGCTTCAAATTCCAGCTTGCCACTCATTAGCTGAGCAAGTTACTTAACCTCTCTGTGCCTGTTTCTTCATGTGTGAAATTATCTTACACGTAGAACTGTTGTGAAGATTAAATTAGTTAATTTATGGGAAATACTTAGAATAGTGCCTGTCATGTAAGTACTCCTTAAGCATAGTTTTATCTTTCTTTAAAGAGATAGAGAAGGAAATGGAGATAGAGATGCCTACAAGTGTGCATATGTGTATTTGTATATATTTCATAGACTCTATGAGATACATATGATCAATAAATCCATTTCACAAAAAAGATCATGAGAGTTAGTGGGGTAGGAGGAACAGTGAGTGAATGGTAAAGCCAGCAATTAAACCCAGGGCTTTTTCACTCTACAGAATACGTTTTTAAATAGCAGGCACATTGTTAAGTGATATTTGTTAGTCAAGAAATGTTTGTTGAGTGCCAACTATGTGCCAAGCATTCTGTTAGGCCTGGAGCCATGGGACTCTTTTACTCAGAGCCAGAGCTGGGGAAATGATGAAAAAAAAAACCCACAATATGTTTTTTGTGTTCCTTCAATGATACTCTAACCAATAAAGTCAAAACCTTTATCCTCTGCTTTCGCTCTTGTGCCTCACTTAAGTAGATTCTCCCTGGGCAGCATTCTAGAAATCATTTTTTATTCTCATACCCATTTCCTTGATACCTATTCTCTGAGAGCCTTCATCTTTGTTAAGTAACAGCAAGCTGTTCTGGTTAACTCAAATGACAATTAGTTCCCTTCATGGAAGAAAATAGATTGGGAATGAGTAAGTGCCCCATAGGTAAGCACAAACTAAGGCTATATGGTGATGACATAATAGATTTCTAAATTAGATCATGAATTAGACTAAAGAGACTTCCAAATCCAAGATAACTCAATTATTCAATATGCTAAGATCAGCATTCTTGTTTATTAGATCAGCTCTCATGGTGAGATTTCTTGTACTATGGTTGCAATACTAGGAGAATGCATTGGATAAAATAAAAATTTAGTGGTTACCTATTTTTAATGCCCCTTAATCAACCATGATAGTTGGCCAGCCAAATCAATACCTTACACAGTGATCCATTTGAACTTGACATTGATTGTCAGGATACTTAGTGGTACTATATGTGATTCTGGTAACAAAAGAAAAGAAACTCTCTGTGATGTATGCGATCCCACCTCCAACTCCTAGGCAGTAGAATCAGAAAATCGATCTGATGATTGAAAGACTAGAAAGTATTTCACACAGTCAAATCAGCTAACTCTAATTAAATAACTTCATTCTTTTCCTCCAAAAGGCCCAATTGTCCAAACTTTATCCAAGCTAAATAATGCCCTATATTTTTCAAATTGATCTCCCAGGCTCTCTAAGTATGACTTTATCTCTTTCCTTCTCTACATTGGCAAGCTGTTAGAAAAAAGTTCAGGCTTACTGTGTCACCTCCTTGCTTCCCATCCCCTCTTTGCTATGTAAGGCCATTCTCCTTTTTTCACTTCCAGGCCACTGTGTATGTCCAATCTGTAATTTTGAACTGCCGCTCTGCTATCTTATGTAAATCATACTCACATCCCCTCTTTGAGATTTTTCCAGAATCCAGGATTTTTATGCACGGCTCTGACACTAAATCTGTCCCTATCAGTCCTAACTCCCAGGGCATGAACACAGAGATACTGTTCAAATTTCTGTCATAGTTTACCTATAAATGGAAGCAGAAAAATAGGGTATTAGCTGGAGAGTAATGGGGAGACTATAACTTTTTAAAAAAGAGATGTAAGATATTTTAGTATCTTTGCTGTTGGAAACGATCCAGCAGAAGTTAAAAAAATTAATAATGCAGGGGTACAGGGTACTTCCAGAAGCAAATTCCTTATACAAGCAAGAATTTACTAAAAGCAATCAGTTGTATGGGTGATTTAATCTTTGCCCAGAAAAACGGAGGATTTCAACCTGGAAACTTTTGCTGTCCTGTGTAATTTTTTATGAAATTTAAATTTTTACACATATTTCTAAAATTTTACCATAGTTTTTTTCAATGTGTTTGAACACAAAACCATTCAACCAACTTGCCCTCAAGTCTTCATAAAATGATTGCTTTCAAATTGAGAAGGGTAAAACCTTCTCTAGATCCCCAGATACTGACTCATAACCAGAGTGAGGCAAAGCCCCGAAGCCTCAAGCTTACTGAAGTTGTCTATGAATTCAGAAGCAAAATTCATTGCTATCCTTCCTGCTTCTAGGGGAAATTAGGTAAATGACTCTTACCCTTTACCTCTGCCACAATGCATAGTGTATATTTTCAAATATTTACATTCTTGGGCATGACCCCAGTCTTGATGAGTCTAAATCTCCTGGGACAGTAAACGCAAAAGGAAAAAATACAGAAATCTGCATTTTGTTTTGTGAACTCCTCCAGCTATTCCTGTGTGCACTGAAGCTCAAATCCTGAAATAGAGAAGCAAATATGATGATTTCCATTTTCGTTCCTGCTTTTAACCATGTGTGTCAGGCCCTGTGTTCGGCATTGAACATGCAAGTTTAGAACATGATGGTCCCTGCCTTCAAAGGGTTCACAACACAAAGGGAGAGAAATGGGAGCTAATCAAGGGCAATTCACAACGTGAAAGGCTTGTGACCAAGGAAGTCTAAGGATGCTGAGAAGGAATATCAAAACTGGGTTCAGCTGGGGGTGGGTGTGATGCCAGAAAGGCCAGGCTTGCTTTCGAGATGAGTTCTGAAGGATGAGCAAGAGCTAGCTAGGAAATGATATACCAAAATCTAAACAGAAATATTTCTGGTTCTTATTTAAAAGATTTTACTTGCAATTTTTTTATTGAGTTGCACAATGCATAGTAAGTTCTCATCTACAAAATATTTCTAGTTAAAAAATTGCTTTGGTATCATTTTACCAGTCTAGAAGTAACAGCTGAGGGTCTTTTCCCTTTAAAGTGATGGGAGGCCTCCAAAACACACATTTCTTGCCCTCAGACATAGAAAAGAAGGTTACAGAAAAGAGGTGAAAATTCAGCTCCACCTTAAAGAGGAGAAAAGAGCTTTTAGTTGGAACTTAAAGAGCAAGACTTAGAGAAAGAGGAGAGAGCAGAAAGACAAAATAAATTTAAATCTCAAGTGGAAATGTTCTACTCTGCCCATGCAGGTAGGAAGATAAAAGTTAAATAATACATAAAGGAAAAGTGTTTCTCTAGGTTTGAAAAATTAGAGGTGACAATGAAAACAGACTCCTCTATAAATTCCACATGAACCTATCCTGAGGGTTCCTGTTTGTCCTGGCCAGTCTGCCCTGAATTTCCCAGTGTAAGAGAACGGTATGTGCATGGTATGTGCACTATACATCTCCAAGTCCAACTTGACTTTTCCAGGGCAGACTCGACTTTGTGGTAAATTGGTGAAAATGGGTTATATATAATAAACTTTATTACAATGAAGATTTCTGCCAACAAAGCTGTTTTTACAGGTTAATGTTAGTGAACTATACATAAAAAACTTTGTTATCTAGTTGCAAATGATTCCTCTCTAAGAAAAATTAGTTATGTGTTAATAAAAACCCAGCTTGAAGGCTACGGGGAGCAAGGCCCCACACCCCTCTGCATTGGTTAGACCTGTCTGCAACCTGAATTCCTCTGCACTGAAGTCCTATCTGAAGTTCTAGTTTACCATTTTGAGGACAACTAGAAAACTACCACAATTTAGTCACTGTTGAAACCAAAATACATGAAAAACTAATAAAGTTCCCCTCAGAAAACAGATGGCACACTCATAACAGGGACCAAGGGGAGTTTAAAGAAGGACAGAGCTAAGGGAAAAAGAAGGGAGGTGAAGCATCCCCAAGGATACACCCCTAGACCTGAAGGGGCAAAGAGGGAGAGGTGACCAGAATCCCGTAAGTCCTACATCTGAAGGAACCCAGCAACCGCCAACACCTGTGCCAGCCATGGCACAGGGGAAGGGACTGGGGAATAAGGGCTAGCTTGCTGACATAGAGCTCCAGCCAGCACCTCCCACTGGCCAGAACAGAAACAAAAGAGAAGCAAACCTGTTGACTACAGGCCATGCCAGTTCCTGGGGCCCAAAGCAGATTAGAGAGGGGAAGAGTTGGGTTTTAGGAGCCAACAAAAAATACTCAGCACAGAATCAAAAGTCGACTGCTTGCTGGACATGAAAGCTGTCTTTTGGTATTTAAAGTCAATATGATCATATCACCAGTTTATTGAGGCATAAGTTCCTGATTGCCCTCGATGAGCAGCTTCTACAATCTCACGCAGACTCCTAACAGCTGGAAATACCTTGGTTAAAAACCTTCCAGTAGAAGATTCCACAGCTTACATAAAGAGTTTTTAACTCATTGGTCATGACTTTATCTACATTTCCAACTTTATTTCTTACTATTTCTCTGCTCATACCCAGAGATTTTGGTAAACTGGATTTTCAATGTTTCCTAATTCATGGTGTACCCTTTCTTACCATTCGAAATTCAGTTCCACATTTAAGATTCATTACTAATTCTACCTTCTCCACAAAACCTGATTTCCCACAATGTCTGATTGTCTAAGCCAGTTGTAATCTCTCCCTCCTCTAAACATAGACCTGTAGTTTAATCTCTTGAAGAATTTATCTTAAAAACCTGTGTGGCCGAGCATGGTGGCTTGTTCCTGTAATCCCAGAACCAAGGTGAGAGGATCGTTTGAGCTCAGGAGTAAGACACCAGCCTGGGCAACACAAAGAGACCCTGTCTCTATAAAAATAAAAATTAGCTGGGCATGGTGGCAATCCTGTAGTCTCAGCTACTTGGGAGGCTGAGGTGGGAAGGTTGAGCCCAGGAGGTCACTTCCCTGAATTGCTTTCAAATAAGTTGGTTATAGATTTGAATAAGCTTATTTAGCTCTCTCCAAAGAAGAAAAACTTATATCAAAAGAGGTATCATTATAGGTAGTAATGTTTTGGCTGAACATAAGATTTTATAAGACCTAACCATTGGATGGTTTTTGCCTTCAGCTCCTGCTAAATGGCAATATAATTTCAGACCATGTAATTTCAGAAGGCCCCATTAACTTTAGGAATATACATGTATTAGTGAGTGGGGATAAGTTAAAGGGGACATACCAGGTTTACCCAACCATTATTTCTTTGCTGGGAAAATTCCTATTCAGAAAAGGAGACAAGAAACTTTCACAGAACCAGGACCTGTCTCCAAGTGCCAGGATTTATTATTAAACTCTGTCCCACTAGATCATCTGTGATTCTTGGCAGATGAGTGGATACTGAAGTCTTTTCAATTACAATGACTAAAGAAAACTTCTTTGTAAGATTTAATAAGCACACCGGCTTCTTTAATGGTTTTTAATACGTGCTCAGGCAACTCAAATATTGCCATCACAGCATAAAATTCCAGAGTCTTCTGAATATATTTCATGCTTTTTTAATGACCTCATTAGACAAATCAGTTTTTTGGCAAAGCAGGGCTAAAAAAAATTAATCTCACAGTGATTTGTGATAGCCAATGATCAGACAATACAGAATACATGCTTTTGGAATTGCCAACCTATTACAATAATGAGAGAAGGGGTACAGAAAGCAGAAAAGCAAGATATTTACCTTACCCTTGAGGAGTTTATAATATACTTATATAGACAAAGTGAACTCAGACTATTGCAGCAAATGATACATAACAGCTCATAATCAAGAAGTACCATGATATGGGTGGGAAGTAGAGGGGAATGATAGTTTAGGGTTAGAAGAATAAGTTCTGTCTCTTATTTGCTGTGCATCTTCAGGACAGTTACACTATCCCTTTGAGTCCTCTTCTGGAAAAATACTTGCCTTACAAGGACATTTTGAGGATATAATAGGGAAATGTATGTGAAAGTAACAATAATAAAATGTAAATATCTATACATGTTCTGTCACTCCATAGGAATTTATTAGGAGCCCACTGCATGCCAAGTACCATCCCCAGCATGACTGGAGTTATAGATTTAAAAAACTACAGTTTTTTTTCCTCAAAGAAGTCAACTAAGCATAGTCCTATAGGTTTCCTTCAGAAAGGACTGGGAACCACAAGTGCTGTGATAATGAGAGGAATCGATGAAGGATAGTGGGACCTGCACTTTCTAGGCTGTGTAGAACATGTAGCTCCTCAACTTATAATGGAATTACTTCCTAATACACTCAACAGAAGTTGAAAATATCCTAAGTCAAAATGTATTTAATACACCTAACATAACAAACATCATAGCTTAGCTTAGCCTGTATTACAAGTGTTCAGAACACTGACATTAGCCTGTAGTTTGGCAAAATCATCTAATATAACGCCCCTTTCCTAATAAAGCCTGAATATATCATGTAATTTATTAAATACTGTACTGAAAGTGAAAAAAAAAACCAGAATGGTTGTATGAGTACTTGAAGTACGGTCTCTACTGAATGTGTATCACTGTGGCACCATCATCTAGTCAAAAATCATTAAGTCAAACCATCATAAGTCAGAGATTATCTACATAGATAGTTGGGGGAAAGGAACAGGGTTTTTTTTTTTTTTTTCAAGCAAAGAAGCAGGATTTCCTAGAGATAGGCAAGTCTGGCATATTTTTGAGTGCAGGTCCTGATTAGAAGAAAAAATAAATTGTGTCTATTTCAAGAGTCAGGATTATTGAGCTCAACTAATGCAAAGTAAAATAATTGAACAATTTTCACTTAAATCGGTAGTAACACTAAGGTACATATATATTAAATAGAACCGGCTGACTGCTCAGATTTGGGGAGTTCCGTACTTTTTAAGGCAAAAGGAGTCAATCTCAGAAATGTACACGGATATTAAGAAGTTAGTAACAAGGGAGATTTAGAGGACATCTGTGGCTCAACGCACCAAAGCTAGCAGAAGGACTTCATCTCAAATGCTATTTCCCATCAGCAGGTAGCGGCTGCCTGCAGCATCCCCTCAGGAAGAATACCAAGGCTTTGTCTGAGCTCTGTGGGACAGCGTGTCATGATGAAATATCGAAAGTAGCCTTGGGTATTGGACGGCAGAGGAACTGCTCAAGCCTTCTCTTTTCCAGTGCTGCTTACACCTGCCCCAGCTCCCTCCTGAGCCCTGAACATGGAGACATGACGTTTAGAATAATAGCTCTGAGGGCTTTCACAGTCAGTTTCACTAGATCAGATTCAATAAAGCAGGAAGGCCTGCATATCATCATCACATCCATTGAAAAAAGACGGTTTTCAGCTTAGCTTTTAGCAAAGCAAAATGCTTTCATTAGAACTTCCTAATAGCCCAGGAAAAAATGAGGCTTTACATTTGCATGAATGACTATCCAAGGACACAGATGAAGGGTAGTTTCTGACCTTGAATAGCTCACAGTCTACTGAGAGAAAAACAATATAAAAACAATATCAGAATAAACAATGAATTTTATAACATTTTTCAAAGGATTCCATTCTCTTACTTTGCTTAGGTTAATTTCAAGGCACAGAAAGGAAACACCAAACTTATTTCAATGTATCCAGACAGGATCTATGTGCAAACATGTTTTCTAATGAGTCCTGAAGCAATTAATGGTTAATCAACAGAATTCTCTCCATTTTCTGTCATTCTAATTCTTAATCCTTTCTGAGGGAGGGGCTTCTTCTTACTCTCTTGCCAGATTACCCTCAAATTTCTGGATACCCATAGCTACAGAGAGAGTAAAATCAAATAATTTATTGCCCATGTGTGAACTCCTCAAGTTTTTTATGAACATATACCATGATAGAAGTAGCAGAGTTTGTACAACTAGAGGAGAAACCAGTTTAAAAGGGCAACATTTTCAAATATGCACATTCTGCCACCTCATAATCACGGAGGGACAATTTCTAGGGTACCCCAAAAAAAAACCTACCCTGTGGGCAGGTGTGTTTTCTGACTCAGGATGATCAGTGTTGCTATTTGGAGCTCAGACATGATACAGATAGGGAGGAAGGACAGGTGGAGAGACAGACAAGGAGCTGACCCAGTTGCACTAGAAGAAGCTGTCCAGCTGCTCGCCTCAGTGGCCCAAAGCTGGCTGTGTCTGGGTAGTGGGCAGCAGACGACGGGCCACAGCTGCCACCTGGTGTTCTTGGGCCAAACAAGGACTGCAGCTTTTGGGCCTCTGGCTAAGACTGGCAAATGCGGCATGCTGCAGGGAATGCTTGTCTCATGCAGAAGGCAGAGAACGACCCTGGCAGTACTGCCTGGAGCACAGTTCTCAGAGGATCCCCCTGTACTCAGTCAGAAATAAATGAAACATCACATGCCCAAGAGCTGGAAAAGTTTCCTGCCCTTCAGGAAGTAGAGAAAAAGGCAACATTCCTGACAAAAATACTCATTCTAACTGATACCATAAGGAGTACAAAAAACATGCAATAAACTGCCATTTTATATTAGATATCTGCTACGTGTCAAGTGTTTTGCTAAAAACTTTATATGTATTATGTTCAATGTTTGCAGGTGTGATTAACCCCACTTTGTCCGTGAGAGGTTGTCACTTGTGCAACACACACAGTCAATAATGTTTGGCTTGGGATCTAAATCCAATTCTAAGTTGCACCAACTATCTTCTTTTCTTGCTGGGACTAAGTAGAGCATGCAGGAAAAACCTTTCAGGGATAGAAAAAGAAATGTGTAACAGTTCTGTTGGAGAATGTTCCAGGATATCATTTTTTTGTTTTTTTAAGAAAAATGTGTATTCTGCTTTTGTTGGGTGGAGTGTCCAATAAATGTCAAGTATAGTTGGTTTATAATGTTTTATAAGTCCTCTGTCTTAGTCTTTTTGTGCTGCCATGACAACATACCTGAAACTGGGTAATTTATAAAGATGGAAATTTATTTCTCACAGCTCTGGAGGCTGGAAAGTCTAAGATCAAGATTAAGGTAGTGGCAAGTTTGTTGTCTGGTCTGTGCTTTGAAGATGCTGCCTTGAATGCTTCATCCTTCAAAGGGGTAAAACACTCTATCGTCACATGGTGGGCAATGGAAATTGCAAGAGGGCTGAAGGCTGTGTGAAGCCTCTTTCATAAGGCCCTTAATTTCATTCACAAGTAAAGGAGCTCTCATAACATAATCACTTCTTAAAGGTCCCACCTCTTAATAACATCACATTGGCCATTAAGTATTTACATCTGAATTTTGGAGGGCACACATGATTATTGCATTCATTTTCTTGTTGACCTTTTCCCCTTTTTTTTTTTTGAGATGGAGTCTCACTCAGTCACCTAGGCTGGAGTGCAATGGCGCGATCTCAGCTCACTGCAACCTCTGCCTCCCGGGTTCAAGTGATTTTCCTGCCTCAGCCTCCCAAGTAGCTGGAATTGCAGGCACACGCCACCATGCCCAGCTAATTTTTGTATTTTTAGTAGAGACAGGGTTTCACCATGTTGGTCAGGCTGGTCTTGAACTCCTAACCTCAGGTGATCCGCCTGCCTCAGCCTCCCAAAGTGCTGGGATTACAGGTGTGAGCCACTGCGCCTGGCTTTGTTGATCTTTTCTTTAGTTTTTCTACCAGTACTGAAAATGGAGTAGTGAAGTCTGTAACTATTGTTGTTGAAATGTTGATTTCTCTTTGATATTAGTATAGCCACTCCAGTTTTCTTATAGTTACTGTTTACATGGTATATATTTTACCATCTTTTTGCTTTCAATCCATTTGTATATTTGAATATAAAGTGTTTCTCCTGTAAATAGACAGTTGAATTATGTTTATTTATCCAGTCTGACATCTCTGTATATTTACTGTATTATTTTTTTCACATTTAATATTATTGATATGATTAGATTTATATCTGCCATTTTACTTTGTGTTATCTATATGTCTTATGTCTTTGTTGTTCTTCCACTTCTCCTTTATTAAATCCTTTTTTCTTAAATGGATATTCTGGTGGAATATTTTGATTTCTTAATTTTTTTTTACTATTTTTTAGTCATTTTTATAATGGTTGCTCCAGAGCTTGTCATGTACATTTTAGCTTACCAGAATCTACTTTAGACTTACACCAGCTTAATTTTGGTGAGATATAGAAATGTCACTCTTCTATAGCTATATTTCCTCCTATCATTTTTTGTGCTATTATTGTTATATATATTAAATCTATGTTACAAGCCCAATAATGCATTGCTATATTCATTACTTTTTATGAATTTATGTCTTGAAGAAGCTGAGGAAAAAAAGGAGAGGAAATATTTATCTATAGTTTGTTATATTTGCCTTTTCTCCCTCTTTATTATGTCTTTAAAAATATTATTTACCATTTCTCACTTTTTAAATTTGTTTCATGCACATCTGTGTGAAGAGACCACCAAACAGGCTTTGTTTGAGCAATAAAGCTTTTTAATCACCTGGGTGCAGGTGGGCTGAGTCCAAAAAGAGAGTCAGCGAAGGGAGACAGGGTGGGGCTGTTTTATAGGATTTGGGTGGGTAGTGGAAAATTACAGTCAAAGGGGGTTGTTCTCTTGCGGGCAGGGGCGGGGGTCACAAGGTGCTCAGTGGGGGAGTTTTTGAGCCAGGATGAGCCAGGAGAAGGAATTTCACAAGGTAATGTCATCAGTTAAGGCAGGAACTGGCCATTTTCCCTTCTTTTGTGATTCTTCACTTCCTTCAGGCCATCTAGATGAATACATGCAGGTCACAAGGGATGTGATGGCTTAGCTTGGGCTCAGAGGCCTGACAGTTTGTATGGGTTTGTATTGGAGTCATTGTCTTAATCCAGTGTTCCTACTCACCCCCTTTCTGTTGTTATTGTCAAATATATTACATTTCTATATGTTGTGGCTCAACAATACAATTATATTCATATTGTTTTATACAATTGTTTTCTAAATCTGTCAAAAGAAAAACAAAAAATATGTATTATACTGACTTTTATAACTAAATAGTTACAAGTACCAGTGCTTGCTTTTTTAAAATGTAGATTCAAATTTACATCTGTGCTTACTTAGACTTAAATTTTTCTTTAGTATTTCTTGTAATGTGGGTCTGCAAGCAAAAAATTCTCTGAGTTTTTATCTGAAATATCTTTATTATGTCTTTAATTTTGAAAGATAACTTTGCTAAGTATAGAATTATTGATTCACACTTTTTTTTTTCCTTTCTGCCCTTTGAATAGGTTATCCTACTTCTTCTGGCCTTCATTGTTCTGATGATAAATGAACTGTCAATCTTATTGGAGCTCTCTTGTACATGACAAGGTTTTTTTGTTTGTTTGTGGTTTCATTTTATCTTGTGTTGTTTTGTGACAGCATCTCACTCTGTCATTCAGGCTAGAGTGATGGTGAGATCATAGCTCACTGCAGCCTTGAACTGGGCTCAAGCAATTCTCTCACCTCAGCCTTCCAAATAGCTGGGACTGTAGGTGCATGCCACCACACCCAGCTAATTTTTGTTTTTTGTTGTTTTTATTTTTGTGGAGATGAAATGTTGCTATGTTTCCCCAGGCTGGTCTCAAACTCCTGACCTCAAGTGATCCTCCCACCCCATTTTCCCAAAATTCTGGGATTACAGGTGTGAGCCCCTGTGCCCAAGCTCTCCTGCTACTTTCACCTTTTTTGTTTTTGTCTTTGGCTTTCAGCATTTTTTACTGTAAGATGTCTTAGTATGAATATCTTTGTGTTTCTCTTACTTGAAGTTTTTGAGCTTCTTGGATGTGTATATTAACGTTTTTCAGCAAACTTGAGAAATTTTCATCCATTATTTCATCAGCTAGTTTTTCTGCCCCTTTTCCTTTTGTCCTTTCTTGAGATACTCCCACTAAATATATGCTGTTGTGCATATTGTTGTCTCACATTTCTCTGAGGCTCTGTTCATTTTTCTTCATTCTATTTTCTCTGTTCTTTGAATGGGTCTATCTTAAATTCTCTGATTCTTCTGCCAGCTCAAATATTGTTGAGCCACTCTAATAAATTTTTCATTTTTGTTATTATGCTTTTTAACTGCATAATTTTAATTTTTGTTTTTATAGTTCTTATCTCTTTACTGATGTTCTCTATTTTTTGAGACATTCATTGTCTTCACACCTTCTACTACTTCTTTAAGTACTCTTTTAGTACTTTTAATATATTTATAATGTCTACTTTGAAGCTTTTGTCTGTTAAATCTGACTACTGGTCCCCTTCACAGGCCATTTCCATTGCCTCTTGTTTTGTTGTTGTTTTCTTCCTGTGTATGGGTCACATATTCCTGTTTTATTGCATGTTCTGTAATTGTTGAAAACAAGACATTTTAGGTAAAATATATTAATAACTCTATATATTGATTTTCTGTTCCCCCTCCAGGGCTTGTTTTTATTGTTCTTTTTTGTTTTGTGACTCAGGGAGGCTAATTTAGTCAAGTCTCTTTCTCAAAAATGTGAAGTATTTTGTGTTGTTCCTCAGAGAGCACACAATCACCGTGAAATAACAGGGGTTTTGACAAGGTCTCTTTGACTGTCTTTTTCCTGATATCTCTATTAAGCTGTAGCTTCATTTGGTGGTACATCCTGCCTGTTAGGCTCCACTAAACACCAGCTGATTGCTCTATTGTTTTTGACAATTCCCTAAGCATTATAATTTGATTTAATAAAATTTGAGAAGGGATCATATTTGAGGCCAGTCTTTGAGGTATTTCTCTGACCACAAGTAGGCTCACAACAAGTAGGCCCTTTTTTCTGTTTTTCTCTGTGGTGAGCCAGCTGGTCTATGGCTTAGCTTGTTTTTCTTTAATAAGTGGAGCTATCATTTTTTAGAATGCCCTTAGGCTTGAATCACTTCCTGTGGGAAAGAGCTGTGAAGTCTCTCATTCTTTTGGGCCGCACCTTCTCTGTGATAAACTCTCTGAAACACTACTCTGGATGTTGGGTGGTTCAGTAGCCCCTGGTCTTCTCCTCTTGTCTCACTAAGCGTAGAACCTCTGCCCTACAAGTGACCTGGGGTGAGAGCAGTCATGGCCCCAGCATTCTCCACTCCTGATCAGATGGAGGCTGTATTCCTATAGGCTTTTATATATAGGTTTCTATACCCCTTCAATATTAAGCAATTCATAAATGTCATTTTAATGTCTCCTTAAATCATATGATATTCAGAAGATTTTGTTTTTGTTTGTTTGCTTTAGGTTAATCGGCAGGGCTCTCTTTTATTTTAAATGTCAATGTATTTTAAATAATAATATTAACTTTATAATTCTTTCTTAAAAATTTCTTTTGTAGACTTCCATATAGCTATGTTTGGTAAAGCTAAGATATGGGCTGTGGAGGAGTTAATTTCAGTAAAATCGACTTCTGGAGAGAAGTCATTATGCGAGGTAAAGTGGCCTCCCTGGAAAATGGTTTCTTAGAGTATACTATGGATATAAATATTTTCAGTTTTTAGAGTCTCTGACATTCTGAGATATAAATCAAAACTAACTGTATTTGTAGTCTCTGTTTGCTCCTCCCCATCTCTTACACCTTTTTTATAGTAGAGCAGAGAACTGATTTTACACACACACACACACACACACACACACACACATCTGTGGTCTGTTTCCCTCCCTGGAATAGGTCCATTGTTCCTATGGAAAGTGAGGCTTATAAAATAAAGAAAAAAAACCCTTGGTTGCCTTTCACATAGATTATAAGGCTCAAGTTATAAAACATGAAGTAATATATCAACCCAAGGCTAAGCATATATCAACATAAGGACTTTAGTTGAAAGATCTGGGATTAGGAATAAGTGGAAAACTCAGCCTTGCATTGCTCCACATATCTAAGAGCCAGGCTCACACCTCCTTCAACAGAAAAGAGTCTAGAGAGTGAAGGAATATATAAGTTACTGAAGCAATCCCTGGAGGCCATGTTTGGGTGGTTGGACAAATAGTTTTCTTCAGAAACCAGCAATTCCTGGAAGTAAATCTCTTAGGCTAACCTGCTGCTTTACTTTAAAATAATAATGGTTATTATTGAAAAAATAATTGTGATTTAAGGAACAATGCTGGAAATATCTATGCACAATGTAAAAAAACATAGAGGTATAAATATTTTAAAATTTAAATCATATTCACAAGGGTGTTCAGATGGTAATTTACTATGACATCCAGACATGCATAAAAATTCCTGAATGGGGGAGAGGAGCCAAGATGGCCGAACAGGAAGAGCTCCGGTCTACAGCTCCGAGCGTGAGTGACGCAGAAGATGGGTGATTTCTGCATTTCCATCTGAGGTACCAGGTTCATCTCACTAGGGAGTGCCAGACAGTGGGCGCAGGACAGTGGGTGCAGCACAACATGTGCGAGCCAAAGCAGAGCGAGGCATTGCCTCACTCAGGAAGCGCAAGGGGTCAGGGAGTTCCCTTTCCTGGTCAAGGAAAGGGGTCACAAACAGCACCTGGAAAACCGGGTCACTCTCACCCCAATATTGCGCTTTTCCAACGGGCTTAGGAAATGGCCCACCAGGAGATTATATCCCGCACCTGGCTTGGAGGATCCTATGCCCACGGAGTCTCGCTGATTGCTAGCACAGCAGTCTGAGATCAAACTGCAAGGCAGCAGTGAGGCTCGGGGAGGGGCGCCCACCATTGCCCAGGCTCGCTTAGGTAAACAAAGCAGCCGGGAAGCTCGAACTGGGTGGAGCCCACCACAGCTCAAGGAGGCCTGCCTGCCTCTGTAGGCTCCACCTCTGGGGGCAGGGCACAGACAAACAAAAAGACAGCATTAACCTCTGCAGACTTAAATGTCCCTGTCTGACAGCTTTGAAGAGAGCAGTGGTTCTCCCAGCACACAGCTGGAGATCTGAGAAAAGGCAGACTGCCTCCTCATGTGGGTCCCTGACCCCTGATCCCCAAGCAGCCTAACTGGGAGGCACCCCCCAGTAGGGGCAGACTGACACCTCACACGGCCAGGTACTCCTCCAAGACAAAACTTCCAGAGGAACGATCAGAGAGCAGCATTTGTGGTTCACGAAAATCCGTGGTTCTGCAGACACCACTGCTGATACCCAGGCAAACAGGGTCTGGAGTGGACCTCTAGCAAACTCCAACAGACCTGCAGCTGAGGGTCCTGTCTGTTAGAAGGAAAACTAACAAACAGAAAGAACATCCACACCAAAAACCCATCTGTACATCACCATCATCAAAGACCAAAAGTAGATAAAACCACAAAGATGGGGAAAAAACAGAGCAGAAAAACTGGAAACTCTAAAAAGCAGAGCGCCTCTCCTCCTCCAAAGGAACGCAGTTCCTCACCAGCAACGGAACAAAGCTGGACGGAGAATGACTTTGACGAGATGAGAGAGGAAGGCTTCAGACGATCAAACTACTCTGAGCTACAGGAGGAAATTCAAACAAAAGGCAAAGAAGTTGAAAACTTTGAAAAAAATTTAGACAAACGTATAACTAGAATAACCAACACAGAGAAGTGCTTAAAGGAGCTGATGGAGCTGAAAGCCAAGGCTCGAGAACTACATGAAGAATGAAGAAGCCTCAGGAGCCGATGTGATCAACTGGAAGAAAGGGTATCAGTGATGGAAGACGAAATGAATGAAATGAAATGAGAAGGGAAGTTTAGAGAAAAAAGAATAAAAAGAAATGAACAAAGCCTCCAAGAAATATGGGACTATGTGAAAAGACCAAATCTGCATCTGATCAGTGTACCTGAAAGTGACAGGGAGAATGGAACCAAGTTGGAAAACACTCTGCAGGATATTATCCAGGAGAACTTCCCCAATCTAGCAAGGCTGGCCAACATTCAGATTCAGGAAATACAGAGAACATCACAAAGATACTCCTCAAGAAGAGCAACTCCAAGACACATAATTGTCAGATTTAACAAAGTTGAAATGAAGGAAAAAATGTTAAGGGCAGCCAGAGAGAAAGGTCGGGTTACCCACAAAGGGAAGCCCATCAGACTAACAGCAGATCTCTTGGCAGAAGCTCCACAAGCCAGAAGAGAGTGGGGGCCAATATTCAACATTCTTAAAGAAAAGAATTTTCAAATCAGAATTTCATATCCAGCCAAACTAAGCTTCACAAGTGAAGGAGAAATAAAATACTTTACAGACAAGCAAATGCTGAGAGATTTTGTCACCACCATGCCTGCCCTAAAAGAGCTCCTGAAGGAAGCACTAAACATGGAAAGGAACAACCAGTACCAGCCACTGCAAAATCATGCCAAAATGTAAAGACCATCAAGGCTAGGAAGAAACTGCATCAACTAACGAGCAAAATAACCAGCTAACATCATAATGACAGGATCAAATTCACACATAACAATATTAACTTTAAATGTAAATGGACTAAATCCTCCAATTAAAAGACACAGACTGCCAAATTGGATAAAGAGTCAAGCAAGACCCATCAGTGTGCTGTATTCAGGAAACCCATCTCATGTGCAGAGACACACATAGGCTCAAAATAAAAGGATGGAGGAAGATCTACCAAGCAAATGGAAAACAAAAAAAGGCAGGGATTGCAATCCTAGTCTCTGATAAAACAGACTTTAAACCAACAAAGATCAAAAGAGACAAAGAAGGCCATTACATAATGGTAAACGGATCAATTCAACAAGAAGAGCTAACTATCCTAAATATATATGCACCCAATACAGGAGCACCCAGATTCATAAAGCAAGTCCTGAGTGACCTACAAAGACACTTAGACTCCCACACAATAATAATGGGAGACTTTAACACCCCACTGTCAACATTAGACAGATCAACGAGACAGAAAGTTAACAAGGATACCCAGGAATTGAACTCAGCTCTACACCAAGCGGACCTGATAGACATTTACAGAACTCTCCACCCCAAATCAAGAGAATATACATTTTTTTCAGCACCACACCATACCTATTCCAAAATTGACCACATACTTGGAAGTAAAGCTCTCCTCAGCAAATTTAAAAGAACAGAAATTATAACAAACTGTCTCTCAGACCACAGTGCAATCAAACTAGATCTCAGGATTAAGAAACTCACTCAAAACTGCTCAACTACATGGAAACTGAACAACCTGCTCCTGAATGACTACTGGATACATAACGAAATGAAGGCAGAAATAAAGATGTTCTTTGAAACCAATGAGAACAAAGACACAACATACCAGAATCTCTGGGACACATTCAAAGCAGTGTGTAGAGGGAAATTTATAGCACCAAATGCCCACAAGAGAAAGCAGGAAAGATCCAAAATTGACACCCTAACATCACAATTAAAAGAACTAGAAAAGCAAAAGCAAACATATTCAAAAGCTAGCAGAAGGCAAGAAATAACTAAAATCAGAGCAGAACTAAAGGAAATAGAGACACAAAAAACCCTTCAAAAAATCAGTGAATCCAGGACCCGGTTTTTTGAAAGGATCAACAAAACTGATAGACCACTAGCAAGACTAATAAAGAAGAAAAGAGAGAAGAATCAAATAGACGCAGTAAAAAATGATAAAGGGGATATCACCACCGATCCCACAGAAATACAAACTACCATCAGAGAATACTACAAACACCTCTACGCAATTAAACTAGAAAATCTAGAAGAAATGGATAAATTCCTCAACACATACACTCTCCCAAGACTAAACCAGGAAGAAGTTGAATCTCTGAGTAGACCAATAACAAGATTTGAAATTGTGGCAATAATCAATAGCTTACCAACAAAAAAGAGTCCAGGACCAGATGGATTCACAGCCGAATTCTACCAGAGGTACAGGGAGGAACTGGTACCATTCCTTCTGAAACTATTCCAATCAATAGAAAAAGAGGGAATCCTCCCTAACTCATTTTATGAGGCCAGCATCATCCTGATACCAAAGCCGGGCAGAGACACAACCAAAAAAGAGAATTTTAGACCAATAACCTTGATGAACATTAATGCAAAAATCCTCAATAAAATACTGGCAAACTGAATCCAGCAGCACATCAAAAAGCTTATCCACCATGATCAAGTGGGCTTCATCCCTGGGATGCAAGGCTGGTTCAATACACACAAATCAATAAATGTAATCCAGCATATAAACAGAACCAAAGACAAAAACCACATGATTATCTCAATAGATGCAGAAAAGATCTTTGGCAAAATTCAACAACCCTTCATGCTAAAAACTCTCGATAAATTAGGTATTGATGGGACGTATCTCAAAATAATAACAGCTATCTATGACAAACCCACAGCCAATATCATACTGAATGGGCAAAAACTGGAAGCATTCCCTTTGAAAACTGGCACAAAACAGGGATGCCCTCTCTCACCACTCCTATTCAACATAGGGTTGGAAGTTGTGGCCAGGGCAATTAGGCAGGAGAAGGAAATAAAGGGTATTCAATTAGGAAAAGAGGAAGTCAAATTGTCCCTGTTTGCAGACAACATGATTGTATATCTAGAAAACTCCATCGTCTCAGCCCAAAATCTCCTTAAGCTGATAAGCAACTTCAGCTTATCAGCTTACAAAGTCTCAGGATACAAAATCAATGTACAAAAATCACAAGCATTCTTATACACCAATAACAGACAAACAGAGAGCCAAATCATGAGTGAACTCCCATTCACAATTGCTTCAAAGAGAATAAAATACTTAGGAATCCAACTTACAAGGGACGTGAAGGACCTCTTCAAGGAGAACTACAAACCACTGCTCAATGAAATAAAAGAGGATACAAACAAATGGAAAAACATTCCATGCTCATGGGTAGGAAGAATCAATATCGTGAAAATGGCCACACTGCCTAAGGTAATTTATAGATTCAATGCCATCCCCATCAAGCTACCAATGACTTTCTTCACAGAATTGGAAAAAACTAAAGTTCATATGGATCCAAAAAAGAGCCGGCATCACCAAGTCAATCCTAAGCCAAAAGAACAAAGCTGGAGGCATCACACTACCTGACTTCAAACTATACTACAAGGCTACAGTAACCAAAACAGCATGGTACTGGTACCAAAACAGAGATATAGATCAATGGAACAGAACAGAGCCCTCAGAAGTAATGCCACATATCTCAACTATCTGATCTTTGACAAACCTGAGAAAAACAAGCAATGGGGAAAGGATTCCCTATTTAATAAATGGTGCTGGGAAAACTGGCTAGCCATATGGAGAAAGCTGAAACTGGATCCCTTCCTTACACCTTATACAAAAATTAATTCAAGATGGATTAAAGACTTAAATATGTTAGACCTAAAACCATAAAAACCCTAGAAGAAAATCTAGGCATTACCATTCAGGACATAGGCATGGGCAAGGACTTCATGTCCAAAACACCAAAAGCAATGGCAACAAAAGCCAAAATTGACAAATGGGATCTAATTAAACTAAAGAGCTTCTGCACAGCAAAAGAAACTACCATCAGAGTGAACAGGCAACCTACAAAATGGGAGAAAATTTTCCCAACCTACTCATCTGACAAAGGGCTAATATCCAGAATCTACAATGAACTCAAACAAATTTACAAGAAAAAAACAAACAACCCCATCAAAAAGTGGGCAAAGGATATGAACAGACACTTCTCAAAAGAAGACATTTATGCAGCCAAAAGACACATGAAAAAATGCTCATCATCACTGGCCATCAGAGAAATGCAAATCAAAACCACAACGAGATGCCATCTCACACCAGTTAGAATGGCGATCATTAAAAAGTCAGGAAACAACAGGTGCTGGAGAGGATGTGGAGAAATAGGAACACTTTCACACTGTTGGTGGGACTGTAAACTAGTTCAACCATTGTGGAAGTCAGTGTGGCGATTCCTCAGGGATCTAGAACTAGAAATACCATTTGACCCAGCCATCCCATTACTGGGTATATACCCAAAGGACTATAAATCATGCTGCTATAAAGACACAGGCACACATGTTTATTGTGGCACTATTCACAATAGCAAAGACTTGGAACCAACCCAAATGTCCAACAGTGACAGACGGGATTAAGAAAATGTGGCACATATACACCATGGAATACTATGCAGCCATAAAACATGATGAGTTCATGTCCTTTGTAGGGACATGGATGAAATTGGAAATCATCATTCTCAGTAAACTATCGCAAGAACAAAAAACCAAACACCGCATGTTCTCACTCATAGATGGGAATTGAACAATGAGAACACATGGACACAGGAAGGGGAACATCACACTCTGGGGACTGTTGTGGGGTGGGGGGAGGGGGGAGGGATAGCATTAGGAGATGTACCTAATGCTAAATGACAAGTTAATGGGGGCAACACACCAGCATGGCGCATGTATACATATGTAACTAACCTGCACATTTTGCACATGTACCCTAAAACTTAAAGTATAATAATAATAAAAAAATTAAAAATTAAAAAAATATATATATTCCTGAATAAAGTTGCATTACAGGAAACATGAATCCAAGCAGCAAGCCTGGAAGTTCTTCCCCAGGTAGCCCTTCCCAGAGTGCGTTAGAGTAGAGCACTGAGTCCTCAAGAACTAAGAGAATAATTTATGGATGCCGATTGTTCAGTTCAGAGCCTGGGCCTTTCAGTACTCCATTCTAAGTATCTCCTCATTAGGTTGGATACTAGGAAACTGCATTCACACTGCCTACTGTAGCTTACTGCCCAATGTACCGAAAGAGTGATGAGGGTTTCCTGGGAGAAAGTAAACATCTGGTCATCCTACACTTATTTGCCCTGAAACTTTCCAATCCTTTGCCACAGTCCTCAAGATGGTGTTAGTATTTAGTGACTGACCATCTTTTATTATGGATGTCTAAGAATAATAACTTGATACCCTAAAGAAGAGTTTTACATTTTTTCACATAGGATTCCTAGAAGTATACTATATTATCTCAAAGAAATGAATTTCTAAGCATAGGGTTTGGAGGAACCGAATCAGATTTGGGGGCACCAAAGCATTTCTCTGTTGGTCCCAAATCAGATTAAAGTAACTGGGCAAACACAAAGCCCTCTTGCTCTGCTTGCTTCCTGACACTGAATTGGTCATTTATTGTCTCATAGCCACTACTAATTCAATAGGCCCATTTCCAGCAGGCATGTCACTAGAAGATGCAGCATTGCTGGTTCCAAAGCTGAGCAGCTCTATTTGCCAGGCATAAACCATCTACAAAATAGAGCACTGAATTGCATTGTTTATGCAACAGGAACAGAGAGAACTATTTAGCATGCAGATTAGGTCCATCTGCGTTTTCATCTCCAGCAGGGCACAGCACCCAGAACTCCTCTCTCTTACTCTCTCCCAATCCCTAAGAGACATTTATTTATCCCTCAATCTATAAATTAAATATTCACAAGATTAATATACCATAACTGGTATATTACTGTTAATTTTATCTCATAATTACCAGGGAAAAGCAAACTATATACCTCTGTAATTTTGAGGTCAATATCAAGACAGTCACTGACCACCTCTCACACCAGTCATCCTTGGCACCACTGTCAGTCAGTGCCATAAACTTAGATTGGCATGACTATGGGGTAACCAGGATGGGATGGCCACACTGAAGGTGCATTCACCACATGGAGTGAAACAAGCTGGAAAGCATCAAGGTAGCGAAGGACAGACTGCTCAGTAAAGCAGAATGAGGCAAACAGACCAACTGGATAACTTTAGTTGAATTCATTTCTCATGAGCTATATATATATATATATATATGTATATATATATACACATAGACACACACATACATATACATATATGTATAAGTGTATATACGTATCTATATATTTACTTATATATAAATTAAATATATTTATATATATAAATTACATGCATTTCTATATATATTTTTATATATGAATTATATATATATGTATTTCAAAAGTGAATAATTTGTTAGGCAGGTGAAAGGCAAGTTATAGAAGGGCAGAGCTTCTAAAAGGTAGGAGAATTTGTTCCAAGAGTTCTAGATAAATTTATATACCATAAGGCAGTATTGCATTTTTAACACCTTTCTCAAGAGGAAAAAGAAAAGTAACATTTTGTAGCTCTATATCAAGGGAGTTTAGGAAAGACTGAATTACAATAAATGAATTTACATGAGGAATCGTTTTTATCAAACATGAATGCTTAAGATGAAAGAATAAGACATTATGCACCCAAAGAGAGCTAAGCTTCTTTAAAATAATTCTGCTAGAATGTGAATTTTAGGATCTGATAATTTATGAATGTCACCCGGCCCCTGGCCTGTCACCTGTATCTTCTACTCCATGCCAATCTATTCAAAAGAAGGAACTGCTGATTCCCAAATGTGTCTGAATTTACATTTCATCTACTCTCTCATTCCAAGTCCAGTAGCGTGGGCAGAAAAAACTGTCACCCTGAAATACACTCCAAGGGCCTCTGTGAGTTCTCCAGGAGTAAGAGTGCTTCACAAGCTCTGCCACATGCACTCTGCTCCACATGCTAACACAGAGCCTGAAAAGGCATCCCTCTTTTAATTCTAACACTGTCTCCAGAAGATTGTTGATCACACACAGAAATACCCTTTTTTTGAGCAGTCATATATTAAACCAAAAGCCTCAACAAAAATGAATCATTGATTATTTCCTAAATAGCAACCTGAAAAAGAATATGACAAGGAAAAGGTCAGTTTTAACTGTGGAGGAGGATATTGGGGAAAGTCTCAAAAGAGGTTTCTCAAACTTGATTAATCGCAGGACTTGTTCAAAAGACAGAATCATGTACTCTACCTCATGAAGTGCTGATTCGTTAGCTCTGGAGTTGATACTAGAAATTGGTATTTTCACCTTCTGTCTCAGATGATTTCAGTGAGCCTTGTGGTTTAGGAAATGCTGCAGGTCAGTCCTGAGAGGGTCTCGGTAGTGGTGAGCCCTCAGTAGCCATCAGCTGGCATGTGGGCAGTAGGCATCCTGGGAAGACGAGTTACTTCCCTCCTCTCCCTTATGGCAGGGCAAAGGTTATAAATACAAAGTACTAATGGTGAGCTGGGAATGGAAACATCACCCTCCTAAATGAAAGCCTGAGGTTCCAGGTGATGCATGAAGGACAGGTAACCAACTGTCTTTTCAATCCATTGGCCTTGCTGCCTAGGTAATGAGGTCCAAGAGAAGTTAGCTTTTCAGCAATCTCAGCAATTGAATCATCAAATAAGGTCTAAGTGAAAAGGTTACTGGAAGAGGCAGATATGTCACTCCAATACCACCTCAATACTGCAGGAAGGAAAGTGGACATCTGGGAAACATGAAGATAACAAAATACAAATTTCTCTCTAAAAAGACCATCAGGGTTTACCTCCAGTATAAGCCCTGTGGTCATACCAGCCCAGAATTCTGATTCTTCCCATGGACATAACCATGGCAAAAAAGTGGTGGGTCAGCATGGTGTTGTCCTTGATCATACCCACGATACGTTAGGGATATACACACCAAACACAAAACAAAAGTAAAAGCAGTAAAAACAAAATGAAGTTGGAAGATACATTAGGCATCTTTCACCCAGAGTTTGGAAAATGCCTACAGCCTTTATCCCAAGTAGACTTCAAATTCTGTCCCTCACCCCTTTGGGTAAATCCTCATCTTGTGCATGTGGTCATATCCAGCTCCAACAAAAGGACAACCCGAATTCCTGCTGCACACCGTCAAGCCGGCTCCTTCCTCTTCTGTGTATGACTGTGTTTTAACAGCAGTATTTTATGATTCAGTTCGATGCTTTGGAGGTGAAGATAAAACAAAAATAATGTAGCACCAAATACCAAACCCTGGGGCACATAAATGTAAGCTTTGAGTAGCCTGTAAAAAATACAGTCATGTTAGCCTGGGGAGAAGGAGGATGCTGAGTAATGCTCACCCAGAATATAACCGGAGCAGACTCTGATAAGGTTTAAATGCTTGGGAAGTTCTTTTGAAGAGATGAAAGCATCTCTCCTGTCGTTATTCTCTCAGTCCTAACAATTGCCCAGTGACTGTTTTTTGGTGTTGTCTTTTTGTTTCTTTGTTTAGTTGGTGGAAATGTTAATCAGTGACTGTTTTTTTTTTTGTTTATTTTTTTTGAGATGGAGTCTCACTCTGTCACCCTGGCTGGAGTGCAATGGTGCGATCTCAGCTCACTGCAACATCTGCCTCTTGGGTTCAAGCAATCCTCCTGCCTCAGCCTCCAGAGTAGCTGGGATTACAGGCGCCTGCCACCACACCTGGCTAATCTTTGCATTTTTAGTAGAGATAGGGTTTCACCATGTTAGCCAGGCTGGTCTCGAACTCCTGACATCAGGTGATCCGCCTACCTCAGCCTCCCAAAGTGCTGGGATTATAGGTGTGAGCCACTGCGCCAGGCCCAGTGACTGTTTCTTAAGCAAGTTTCTCTGGTTATTGTTCAGAGATGGTAAATGGTTCTTCCATCAAAGCCAAACTGGGCACGAATCATGTTTAAAAAACAAAAAACTGAAAACACTAAGCTTCCTGACTTTTCCGGCACACGCGAACATTTATAAAAAGAGGCTTGTTATCGACTTCCAGATCTCTCTCTTCTTCTGTATTTTCCTCCACCTTCACTCTGTGAGAGTTCCCGTCTGAATCTTCAGCATGGCAATCAATAAACATGGCTTCCTGGGGCACAAGCGAGCTGTGCCCTCTGCAAATTGATAAATCTACACTCTAGAGTACAGTGTATTTACTTGATGAAGCTTTCAATTAAAAACCAGCAAGGAAGCCCTAGATGAAATCAAACATTAGAGAAATATGAAATCAGTCAGAAATAAGCAAATATTTACCATGCAAAATGGGCTGTGTGACAATTAAATGAAAATCTAAATGCTGGAAGGTGTTTCAGAGGCAAATGAAAAGAAAAGCACCTATAAATCTTTTAAAAAGGTTAAAAAAGGAAAGGTTGGGGATTGCACAATTTGCTTCTGCCTGGCTATCTAATAATGAAATTTGTTCATGAGAATATTTTGATGGTTTAACCTTCTCAAGAGATGATAAAAATGGAATTTTTATTTGATTCAGGACTTATTTTTGGTGTTTTATATCTTTGGATTTTGAATATATTTAAGTTCAGGTTTAGTTCAAACTGGTTCCCTGGTGGTTAAAACAGAAAAAGAAAAAACAAACCAGCATTTATTTCTGTTGAAGAAAAAGTATATATTTTGAGCTTATTTATAAATTCAATAAATTAATACAGTCAGTTTCAGGGTTACAGGTTTAATCCACAGTTTTGTTTAAGGTCAGCTTCCACAAAAAATTTAAACTTAGAAAACTGTGGCCATATATTGTGCATGCTTTATGTCTTGGCCTAACATTTGCCTTGCATGATGGCTGCATCCCAATTTATAGTAGACAATAGGTCATTTTTATTTTTCTGCATGAAAGTCTCATGAATTTATTACCATATTTTATTTATACCTCATAATTATGACACACAACACTGGAACTGATCTCTCTTATCCAAGAACTGTTTGTAACACACAAAGGTAGGAGTGACAATTTAACTTCTTTTCAAAAATGCTCACTTCACTGCTTTCTCAGTTGTAGCCCCATAAGTGTAGTGTCATATATCAGTAATTTTAGAAATATACCATATTTCTTTTTATGTTGACTACATTAAATCCCTATTTAGGGTCAGCAAAGCTTACACAAAGAGTATCACCATTGCATTATAACAAAGATAAGATATATAGCCACATTGATGTGATTTTCTTTCTTTTGCTTTCCTCTCAAATTTTTAGCTATTGCCAGACACAAGGCTTTTAGATAGTGAGAGATATGACACAAAATTCTAAGGTCTAGAAAAATACTCATCTGAGCAGAATTTCTCTGCGTGCCTATTATGACATACGTCAGGATGCTTTTCTTTCAGGATCCTGGGTAGCTTCTTCAGTCTAGGGCGTTTATCTTGTTCACACGCTCCTAGTTTATCAACCAAAGGATTTACACAGCTCTGAAAGGCACAGTTAGCGCATCATTGCTTCACTGCACTCACATACAGCATTGAGATGGTAGCAGTAAAACAGGGAGAAGGGAGCAATCCTTCAGCAACTGTCCTTTATGGGGTAAAAACTACTCAAGGCCAAGACCACCCTAAATCACAGCACGTCATTGCACAAATTCAAAAGCACAGTAACAGTAGCAGTGAACACAAATGCCGAAATACATTAGCAAATGCAACATGCCAATTCTCCCAGGTTTCTGGGACGGCATCTTTACATCCTGGTGTTTCTCTACAATTTCACTGATAATTTCCTGATGTTCTAGAAAACTGCATCCCTCTTAAATGGCTAAGTCTTTTTCCAAAGCAGTATATGCTATGCTTATTCAGCACTAAGACTGCATTTTAAGCAGGACATTTTGACGTGATGCATTTGATGAGGTTGCATTGGTGACTGAAAACATCCATGATAAAAAGTAAAAACACTGTTTCTATTATTTTTAAAAAGTGTACAACAGTTATCCCTTATCCCTACTTCACTCTTGAATCACACTCTCATTCTTGACACCTCATCATTCAAACACACTCTGAAGTTTACTCCAGACGGATGCTGGTTTTGCAGGCTGACTGACAACTTTCAAAAGGTGAAATTCCATGGTTTGTGTTTTGGATTGCATCAAAATACCCCATGCTAAAATGACAGGATTAAAACCATCACAGCAACACATCAGAATAAATGTGCTCCTGGATGCAGTTGGGAGTTCCAATCCTGCCTAATGCTGATCAGGCCTTAAACCACAGTAATACATCCAGTCCTATCAGAAAGCTTCTTCTCTTCCCCAGAATATCAAAGCTTACTCATCATTGGTTACATCTGCTTGGGGCCCAGTGCTCTGATAATATAAGACTCGAATTAGAGCTGTTATACACATGGCTAGTAGAGAAAGGCAAAGAAGGGATCATTTCTAATAACCAACTTCGCACTTTGCAAACGTTATATCATTTACTACACACACAGAAAACATGTAAGGCATTCCTGTAACTCATTTTACAGATGAGAAATCTAAGTCCAGGATATTCACATTCATTCTTATAGTCGCTCATTTAATAAGGGAAAGAGCCAGAATTAAACATGGTTCTGTCTGGTTCCAGCATCTGTGTGCTTATACTACATCATGCTAGTCAATTCAATCTATTAATATTCCAAGAGAACATTTGCATTTATCCAAAGCTTTAAAGTCTTAAAGAACACAAATGGGCTATATAGGAAATGAAGGCTGGAAGAAAGAAATATCTTTCCCCAGAGGGCCAAGATGTACTGCCCATAAGGCCAGCAGTTGGGGTAGAATCCAAATGATCCTTTATTGGTCTCATTTAGATTGTTTCTTGATACAGTTCCAACCCATGTCCCTCTGGTTCATTCAGGGATTTGAAGACAGACTGAGGCTGCTGGATGACTATTAACAAATGTTCTCCCATCTTCCACAGTAATAAAACCCGGGGTTTTTTAGCTCAATCCATGACTTCCCAGAGAAAAAAAATAAACAAAAAACACCTAAGTTCCCCAACCTCCTTTGCAATTATACGAGGCCAGATGCCTACGTTCTGCCTGATGAAGCTGATGAACTTTAAGCACAATGATGTGTGGCACCTCCAGGGGCCATCCTTAAAAGTCAGTTGGCATGCACCCCTTGTCATAGCCCTTCCTCCTTTCTGTAGACTGCAACGCAAACCTGATAGCTGAAGCCAGTGCAGCCATCTTGGGTCACTGATTGGCATTAGAAATACAAGGCATGAAAAGTAGATCAACATATTAGAAGAATCCTGGCTTGCTCACAGCATCACACTAGCCTTGGACTGCTTTTTTGCCTCCACATTTTCATGTCAGAGAGAAATAAGTTTCTAACTTATTTAGTTTGAGTCTCTTTTACCAAGAGATAAAACTAATCCTAACTGATGAACACAGAGAGGGTTGATACTAAATGTTTCCCAGCCTTGTGGGCTTTGTGAACAATGAGCTAACCCAAGAAAGAACAATTTTGTTCAATAAATGCTAGCTTTGAATAGGAGGATTTTTAGAAACATTAATGAAGAAGAAATAACTACAAAAATAATGATGTTAAATTACCTCAGTGTGACCTTTCTTCCATTCTTAATGCAGCCAGCATAATCGGAACACTGTTGTGTCATTCTCTATAACCAATAATAGAACATTCAGGTGCATATGATAATTATTCTATTATAATGATGAAAGGGAAGAGGCTCCTGAAAGCCATCCCTGGTGCCGAATCCCTACCTAAAAAAATATCATTATATGTTAAGAAAAGAGACCAGTCTTGATGCCAATAGCAGAAATGTACTATTTTCAGAACTGTGTATCTACCTTCTTTAATAAGGGAGGATAAAGCACTAGTTTACTTCCTTAAGAGGCAGCAAGAGATGAAACTTTCCATTAGCTCTAAAAGTTTTATAACAGTTACTATAAACTATTAACTTTAGGTGGTTTTAGAAACAGATCTGGAGGCCTGACCCAAGAGTCAGAAGGTGCAATGGCCTGGTTAGACCAGATGTAGAGCTACCAAAGATGAAAAAACTGTATCTACTGTATGTCTCTGCAGTTATGTTTGGAAACAAACCACAGCCCTGTTTCTTCATCTTCTGGGGGGTATTCACTTGCCTCAGCAAGACGTTGATTACAGGGAAGGAGGAACAGTATATGTTTGTGAAACATCATGAAAGCCTGTCCCTCCTAGATCATGGTCCAGATGGTTCAAAATCACCTAAAAGGCAGCACTTGATTGTCTATTCCATGCACCTTCTGTTGCAGACGTGGAGAAACAAAGTTGTGAGCTGCCCCAGGATTTCCCTGAAGCCAAGAGTCTGCCCAATTCCTCTCTGGGCAGCTCAGGTAGCCCAATTTAGTGAAGACAGCTGTCAGGCACATTTGGCCACATGCCTAAATGGAAGCCTCCAGCATTCTGAACTAAAAAATGACATTCCTGGGATAGCGGGAGAGAGTCTGAAACAATAGGGGCGTTGGTAAGGGCTTGGAAAATCAAAGAAGTTTTTCTAGAGTTTTTCAAAGACAGGTAGCTGAGCCAACATCAGAGACGATCTTATGAACAGAAAGTGCTTCAGTGCTTGCATTTTGAAAGAGCAAGTTCCTGAAAGCATAAGAGGAAAAAGGAGATGATTCCTCTAGAGAGCCTAGAAAACATTTAAATTCGAGATATCTGGGAAACTGATCACCACTAATGCAAACCCAGTGGCTCATGAATAGCCCCTGTATTCATGGTCCTCACACTTAAATAAACATGAGTGCCATGAACTTCAAGCCATCTCCCAGTGTACTCATTACAGTTAGAATCACCTGCATCAAGATGTTAGATGATGGCTGTGTTAGTCAAGGTAGGTTGGTCTATGCTGAGGTAACAAATAAACCCCATACTTCAGTGGCTTAACATAACAGAAGTTCATTTCTCACTAAAGGCACAGCCTGAAAGGCACTGGGCTATTCTCCTCTAACTATAATTTACAGGTCAAGGTAGCTTCCAACTCGTGATTCTACCAACTTGTGGCTTCTTGGTCAAATGGAGGCTTCTTGCTCAAGTGGAGGATCAACCAGCCACAGATGGTAAAGAAGAGAGCACAAAGAGGGCACAATGGATACTGAACTGCTCTCAGCCTGGAAGTGATACCTATGTGGCCAGAATGACTCACATGGCCATCCTAATTGCAAGGAAGTTTGAGAACTATCAAGGACCACAAGTACTCAGTGAGCACTGACTGTCTCCAATAGGGATGCGGAGTGAACTGAATGTGGGGGCTTAACCATCAGCTACACTGCAAAATGACTTTTTAAGGGACTCTAAGAGAAAAAAATTAAACTCATGAACAGCACAACAAAGAGAAGGAAGGACAGAAGGAAAGACAGACAGACATGAATAGCATTGTTAGTGATTTCTGTGCTAAGACACAGGAAGTCTGAAGCAAGGGCCAACAGAGAAGGTGCCTATGGCTGAAACACAGACACTACAGTAAAAGGTTAGTCAATTTCCGATAGGAAGCTTTAGAGGATTGTGTTCGGAAAAGAACTTAGAATAAGTTGACAGTAAAAGAAAGAAACAGAAGACAGGAAACCAGTTATAGTCAATAGAAACATCAAAAGGAAGACCTTTAGAATTAGAGGCACAGAAGAGACAGAGAAAAGAGGAGTTCACCTCCTTGACTGAGGCAATAAGGGCTAAAAAACATATAGAGAACTCTGAAAATTGATCAAGGAGACATAATCACCAATTCATAAGCATTCTGGAAGATAGTGAAACAGGAGATATAGAGGAAATAATACAAAACATTGTCACAACTATTCTAAAATTAAACTAGGAAAAAAGATAGAATTTTTTTTTTTTTTTTTTTGAGACAGAGTTTCACTCTTGTTGCCCATGCTGGAGTGCAATGACGCAATCTCAGCTCACTGCAACCTCCACCGCCCAGGTTCAAGCGATTCTCCTCCCTCAGCTGCCCGAGTAGCTGGGATTACAGATGCCTGCACCACGCCCGGCTAATTTTTGTATTTTTAGTAGAGACGGGGTTTCACCATGTCAGCCAGGCTGGTCTCGAACTCCTGACCTCAGGTGTTCCACCTGCCTCGGCCTCCCGAAGTGCTGGGATTACAGGCATGAGCCACCGCACCCGGCCAAAAGATATAATTTTTTAAAGACTTTCAGAACATGTATAAAATGTTCATAAGATGATGTCAGACAAGTAGTGTTTAAATTCTTGAATTAAAATAATGGATCTGTTTAGAAGTATGGAAGGATATGTGATATTAGGGACAATTTTTTAAATCTGAAAATTGTTCCAAATCTGTAAACAGTCTCTCTTGGTGAGTGGTGGGGAGGGAGGAATGTAAACCAATCCTCATATAGAACCAAATTTTAGAAATGGTTGCAAATTCCCAGGAGAAATCTTCATCTAAAACTTTGTTCTTAATTAAAGAGAAAAGAAAAATATTTTCAAAGCTCAAAAATTATAAAGAAAAATTATATAAAGTATGCAGGTTGAGTAGTTCATGTAATGAATAGAAAAATGTTTCTAAAAGGAATTAAGAATATGAAATTTAGTGTCTACAAATGCAAGATCTTGTTTTTGGATCTAAAATTCAACCGCAAAATAAAAAATTCAACTGCACAGGTGCAAGGGAGATTGACTTAGCAACTGGAAAAGGCAGACAGAAGGGTAAATGAAAACTTAGAGGTTCTAAGGAATGAAAGATGTGATTCTGTCCTACTCTGAGCTAGATCAGACTATACCTGGAATATCAGGTTTCAATCTAGGAATGACACTTAAAGTAGCTATAGATGAGCAGAATGGCCAAAATCGTGGTGGCCTCCAACTTTCATCAGATGAGGAAGTGATGAAAGGAGAAAAAATGACTGAAATGGAGAAGATCTCTAAAGGAAAGAAAAATGGCTATATTCAAGATCTGAAAGTGGTACATTTAGATTCCTCATAAGGATGCACTTTCAGTATTTGTGAATGTGCTGCCTCCTGGGGTGGTAGAAGCTCCATCTCTGGGGCTGTTCAAGCAGACGCTAAAAGATATTTTCAGGATAATGGAGGGGGAATTGAACACAGAGAAGGTTACTAGACTACATGGTTTTCAAAGTTTCTTCCAACTATGAGATTTTCTAACTCTATGATTGGGATTAAATTAATTTACTGAGTATATGTCTCTGCAGAATCTTCCTAATGGAATTGTCTTGGCAGAAGAGTTTATTGCACATTTAAAAACAAGAAAAGGCTGGACACAGTGGCTCACACCTATAATCCCAGCACTTTGGGAGGCCAAGGTAGGTGGATTACTTGAGGTCAGGAGTTTGAGACCAGCCTGGCCAACATAGTGAAACCCATTTCTACTAAAAATACAAAAATTCCCTGGATGTGTTATCTGGTGCCTGTAATCCCAGCTACTCCGGAGGCTGAGGCAGGAGAATCACTTGAACCCGGGAGGCGGAGGTTGCAGTGAGTGAGCCAAGATTGCGCCACTGCATTCCAGCCTAGGCGACAGAGCAAGACTCTACCTCAAAAAACAACAACAACAAAACAAACAAACAAGAAAAAGTGGTAACCCCACAGGCCCTTCCCTGTGATTGGCAACTGTGTTTCCATTTCATTTCCCAGGATTCTGTTGTCAATAAGAACACCTCAGTGAAATCCTTCTAATGGCCTTAGGCCTAAATATCAGAAAATAACATAGCAGTGGTTACAGGTCTGCAGAGCCAAAGGGAAGCAATGAATAGATCCCACTTATGAGATTCAGTTTTCTTGTGAAAACACATTCTGCTGAGTTTGGCATTGAATGTTCCATAAAGTTTACATTAAAGGAAACAATGACTCTAAGGTTGTATGGACCCAACAAAAGTGTTTCCAAGAACAGAATCAACGAAACATTACAGGTAGGTATTCCATTTACAAAACCCAAATCTGAACAGGTAAACTTACAGTACAATAAATCTGAAAATATTAAAAAGTTGTCATTATTCCCTTAAGAAAAACATTAACCACATGTTCCTATTTCATCAAGGTTAAGGTTTCTTTACATCAAATACAAGGAACCTTCAACTTGCAGACCAAATTCTCTCTTGCATTTTATGTCATGTCCTAAGTAGAATTCTCCATCATGGCCACCTTTGGAATTTCAGTACAACTTGATTGCCATGATTTCAAAAATTTACAAAAGGGGTTATAGCATTATGAAAATGATCTTCCCCGTAAAATGAAAGGAAATATTTACCATTTTTCAAAGAAAACATATGAAATGCATTGTATTTATGAAAAGACTTCAAGATTTTCTGTGAATGGCTTCAGATAAAAATGAATGATAGCTAGATCCCTCTAGAGTTTAATATGCACATCTTATTTAGTTACATACCAATATACATATTGAACTTCAGAGAGATCAGGTTCCCCTCCTCAGTCTTCCTAGTTCTGACAACTAAGGACATGGCTAAGAAAAAATATATATATAGCTCACAACTTTAAGTGTAGACTATGTCTACTGTTCGGGGTAGCAATGTCCTCAAAGGGCTGGCTGTGTTCAGCCCTGAGGTAGACAGGCACCTGTGCAGATGACTCTCCTGGGAGGTCTCAGCTGAGGTTTAGCCAGATGTGACTTCCCTCAGAAAGTGCCTGTGGAGCAATCTGGGAGCATGTCTCTCCAATCACATTGCCCCATGGGCTAACAACTAGATTAATGGTATTTACAGGCCCAGGAGAAGACACTAACATCCCTGTATAAGTAGGAAGCTTGCCTCCTCTCTCATGCTCCTGACCTCATGCTCCTGACCCAACTCCAAGCACTGAGGAGAAAGGTGCTGGAAATGGAGAATGGTTTTGATTTATGCATGAGCTTGAAGTTCTCAAACAATCAGGACTGAGCCTCACAGAACTTATTTGGAGACTGCTTTGTTAACACAAATTGTCTGAGAAATTAGGAAGTCAGACGGAGGCCACAAGAAGTCCTACTCCCAGGCAGAAATGTTGAACAGGGCACAGCCGGTTGCAGTTGTTGAGAAAAACAAAACTGCTTCCTGTTTATACTCCCAGTGAGTTGAGACTCTTCACAAAACTTGTCCTGTGTAAAATATATTGTCAGAAACTTTCCTAAATGAGTATAAATTTTGTCTCTCCTGCTGTTTCTCAATCTAACTCTATATGCATCTAACTACATTTCTATAAAATAGCTAAAAATGACTCATATTTGTACAGTGCCTTCAGTTCCACATGCTTCTTTCAATTTTTTTTTAATTTCACAATAGTTATTTTGACAGTTAAAAGCACATAGCTAGAAAATGGTAGACCCAGGACTCAAAACCAACTGTCAAGTCTCACAAAACTCAAAGTCGGGAATTCCGTTTTCATCTCTAGCTGGTTTCCGCTCCCAGCCTGTCTGGTCTTGTGCCTTTGTGTGAGCTGATGCTTTTGAGGTTGTTCACTTGCCATGTAACTTCCGCCCCTCTCTGCCCTTTTCACTTTCACAGCTCCTCCGTTTCCATCTTGTATTTTTCTCCCTCATCATTACTCCTTCTCCCACATCCACCCCACCCACTTCCCACCTCATTCATTCTCATCAGAAGGAAAACAGCCACTGAATTCAAATGCCATAATCAGTGGTGGCCCCTGCAGGAAACAAATCAAGCACCGGAGTACTCAGCACTCAACAGCGGAAAGATTTTCCTTCTGGAGGGAATATTTCACAGCTGTTGAAGAATCAAGGCTTCTGGTAGGTTGTTTCTCCCCCCTTCAGTGAGAAGGAGAGGCTTGTCAAATCAAAGCTGGTATTTGTTCTTTAGTGTCTGATTTAGGAGATTATACATCAGAGGGAAGCACTTGTAAAAGGATTATAGCATTACAGAAAAATAATTGGAATGTTTCATCTCTCTGCATATCATAGCTTGTTAAAGTTGCTCTAAGGAGTAGCCAGATTAATTAGAAAGAGGCAATATGTTTATTTCTCTAGCTTACCACTCTGATGGTCAGAGATACTCCTGTTTATGTTAGTAAATGTTAAGTCTAGAGATAAAACAAAAGAGTGGCTTGAAGGAATTAGCCTGACACTTTTAGCAGCTCACCACCCCTTATCCTCCCCCCAAAAAAGGATCTATTCAGGATATGTAGAGAAGTTGGGTTATAATGTTGTTCCCATTATTCACAACACTGTATGTAACATAACATGGGAAGTGAAGGGAAAGAACATTTGTTGAGTATCTGCTCTGAGCCAAGCACTGAACTGGAAGCTTTATAAGTGTTAGATCATTAATTCTCCTCACAACCCCATGAAGTTATCTTCATTTTCGGAGAATGAGCTGATGCGTGGAAGGACCCAGGTCAGTCTGATCTTGGCCTGCACCCTTTTTTCAGTTCTACCTGGTACCACTTCTGGCCTAAGCATCTTTATCAGTGACAAGGGCAGAGATTGTGCCACATACTCACCATGTTGCTTTTAAAAGAGAAACCCAGCAGACCCATATCAGGTGTCCACAAATAAAAGACAACATTTTTGTCCTAGGCATTGAAATGTCAACATATGTTTATTACTAGAGCACAGCTTAGCCTATCACAGCTGATACAGTGATAAGTATGTCATCTTTAGTTGACCAAAAAGCAGAGTACTGCAGGAGGAAGAATGGTAACAGAGGAATAGGGACTTCCAGAACAAACCTAAGAAGCAGGCTTATTGATCCTACAGAAATAAGGCAGTAGAATGCATTGTTGACAAAACAGGCCTTATAGTTAAGGTAATTAAAACTTAATAGGATGTCACACCAACATGGCACATGTATACATATGTAACAAACCTGCACGTTGTGCACATGTACCCTAAAACTTAAAGTATAATAATAAAATAAAATAAAAACACAATAGGATGTCATACCACTTCTTTGGAACAAGGTCTCAAACCTTTTTACTAACTTCATGCAGCCAAAGGGAAGATCGTGAATGTCTCCTTAATTCCCCAATTAACAAGTATATTAGTCAATGTTCTCCAGAGAAACAGAACCAATCACAGAGAGAGAAAGAGGGAGAGAGAGAGAGAAAGGCTGATTTACTCTGAAGGACTGGCTTATGGGATTATGGAAATGGAGAATACCATAAGTTGCAACCAGGGGAGGGGCACGTGTAATTTCAAGTCTGAAGGCTTCAGAAACAGAAGCATTGGTGTCCTAGGGCAGGAGAAAATAAATGCCCCAGCTCAAACAGCAAGAGATGATTCACCTTTCTTCTGCCTTTTTGTTCTATTTGGGCCCTCAATGGGTTGGATGACACCTGCCCACATTGGTGAGGGTGGTCTTCTTTACCCAGCGTACTGATTCAAACGCTAATCTCTTTCAGAAGAGGAAGAGATGTGTGTGCTTATCTCAGGCTTGTAACAGACATCCATTCAGAGTAGTGAACTCTATAAATTAACTGTCTATACTACCCAAATAAATGAGGTAATTGATATATATCCTTAAAATCACTCCACAATACCTACAGAAAAAGAAGATGATCCTTTTTCTTCTGAGTGTGTCTGAGACCCTCATACACTTAGAAATAATATTTTACCAGCTATTGGAGCATCTCTAAGCCCAGTCAAGCAGACACATAAAATTAACCATCACAAGACATATAATCACCCTCGTTCTTCCTTTTTGCACAGAAAGTAAGTGTGTGACAGACCAAAATGTAGGCCACAAATATAAAGGATCATCTTCTTTTTCTGTAGGTATGATGGAGTGATTTTAAGAATATACATATATATCAATTATCTCATTTATTTAAGTAGTATAGACAGTTAATCTATAGAGTTCCCTACTCTGAATGGATGTCTGTTACAAGCCTGAGATAAGCATTTTGGTAATCTAATATATTCTAATATGCAATTAGTTAAAGTCTCCCCTTTAGGATGAGCTGTTGGTTCACTCCTAAATTATTTAAATACATATAGCCATAGAAAAAATAAAGGTTGGAAAAATTCTGAAGTTAGGAAAAATTGTCATCAGTGCCCCACTTTCTATTTAGACATCTTTTCTTGTGCTTTTCCCCTTTACTCATTCTCTAAAAACCCAAAAAACCTCATGTCCCTTCCTCTTTCCCAGAATCTCCACATATTCCCCCGCTGACAACACATTAGCCTCCCAAAACTGACTAGACCTGTGTTCCATTCCCTAGGGTCAGACACAGGTAACAGTGCTTTATCAAGTAACCCATGCCCGTGTTTCCTAGATGTTCATGAGTTTATATATTCCCATTCCTCATCAGGGTATTTACTTGTACGTGACCTCCCAGTTAACCTGATTATTTTTTTGACAAGGGCTTTGCCAAACGTACATAAATCCACAAGGATGAGAAGTGTGGGCAATTCCAGCACTATGGTAGGCCAACAGGGGGATGATTTTTCAACAAGACTTTGTTACCCTCCAGATCACACTACATGGGCAGATGCCCTCATGCCCACACCTGTGACCTCATCACTCTTCACAGGGAAAGTTGACATTCTTCTCTACATGGTATGTTAGGCAGAGAGCCACTTTTTTGAGCTTACATCAGACCCTAGAAACTCACCTCTACAATAAAAAGGAAAGATAGCCCAAGCCCCTCCCTACCCTACTCCCCACAGGCCAACGACTCCAGTGGGATCCTCTAACTCCCCATCCCCACAAAGCTCTGGAATGTATCTCCTGCGGGCTCAGACACATGCTTCAAAATACACTAGTTGTTTAAACATTGAACTTGCTTCACCTTAGTGGTAGACAAGGAATGTGTGTGGGGGTTAATCCTGTACTAAAAACTAATAGAATAAAAACAACTGGAAGAATCTAGACAGCCTGAAGGCAGGATTAGGAAACTAGATGACCGAGCAGGAAATAGGAGCCCTGACAACCAGGCTAACTACTTGACAGATTAGCCTCAGGCCAGCCCTTCTCCAACACAGGGAATATGTCTTCTTCTATTATTGTCAAACATTCGAATCACACTTTAAGATGCAACTCAAAAGTCACCTTGTTTGGCTTCATTACTTCATTCGTTTATTCATTCAGTTCTTCACAAGGTGAAAGAGCAATGGAAAATGTATCACATTAAGATTTCTTGATGGAGTCTGGACTATATCAACATGGTATCAAGCTAAGGAGCCATTCAGGGCTCTCTGATAACAACCAACTCAGAGGACATGGCTTGTGCTTCCATCTGTTTTGTTTATTTTATTTTATTTTTATTTTTTTATTTTTTAAGACAGAGTCTTGCTCTATCACCCAGGCTGGAGTGCAGTGGCACAGTCTTGGCTCACTGCAAACTCGGCCTCCTGACAGAGTCTCACTCTGTTGCCTTGGCTGGAGTGCAGTGGTGCGATCTCGGCTCACTGCAACCTCTGCCTCCCAGGTTCAAGCAATTCTCCTGCCTCAGCCTCCCAAGTAGCTGGGATTACAGGCATGTGCCACTACGCTCAGCTAATTTTTGTACTTTTAGTAGAGACAGAGTTTCACCATGTTGGCCAGGCTGGTCTTTAACTCCTGACCTCAGGTGATCCACCCACCTCGGTCTCCCAAAGTGCTGGGATTACAGGCGTGAGCTACCACACCTGACCAAGCTTTCATCTTGAGTCTTTACCTCCATACACACATACACACACACTAACATAAATAACTCCATCCCCTCCAACACCAAATGGAGATGCTCAGGGGTCAATCGAGAGAACCCCAGAGAACACCAACGTGAAGAATGAGAAAAGAGCCTGAACCGGTACACTTATAGGGGCAAGAAGTTCCAAAGTAACTACTACAGGCAGTGTGGACCTTCAAAACACTGTGGCCGTACTTGCAAATGATAAAATTCCATCCTGTGAACACTCAGAATAGCAGCTCCTCCACTCTTAGGAATAGGATGTAGGATAGAGGAAATGGAAAAGGAGATACACAGAAGGGCGTATATGTAGGGAAGAAAGAATGAAAAATCCACCTCCATAATACATAGAAAAATAAGAAACAGGCTTTCAAAATGATCAAAATCAAATTGCAGAGACCAGAAGCAGAAAAGGATGAGAAATATACAATGGAAAATTAATAGTGTGGACAAAAAGCTCTAAGAGTTCAAGGAAAGAACAAAAATTGGATGGAATTATATAGAAAGATTGCAGAAGAGAATGAGACCTTTTGCAGAAGTGGCTCAGAGGTAACTTTATAAACTGTAGGCCAGACCAGGAAAAAAAGAAAGTGGTCTTGCCAACCTGTACGATTATGGCCTTTCCTCATCTCCTCCACAGAACCAGCCTGAGTTTACATGTGCTACCAAGAGAACCAGCCTGAGTTTACATGTGCTACCAGGAGAACCAGCCTGAGTTTACATGTGCTACCAGGAGAACCAGCATTGGTCTGTTTGCCTGTCTCAGGGATCAGCTGCCCTCGTGGTCACTCTGCTCAGGCAGAGTGGATCCGAAATGAAATGCTTTTTATCGCTACTTCTCAGCCCTTGATTAAATAATTGTCAACTCTCATATGCAGAGTGTAAGAACTTCAGCTTTCTCCAACCCCAGTGGAGCACGTGCCTTTTGTTTTTTCTTCAACCAAACACACAAAGGTGGAAAATTAATAAGAGATTGTATTTTGCAGTTTGTTGATAAAACGTCCAGAGGTAAATCCCCAGACTTTCCATCATGGCAGAGCCTTACATACGTCTGTCAAGCTAGTAAATCTCCTTAGAGAACTTTTTAAGACCATGTGTTCCTAAAGCTGGGGCTTTACGGAATTATGTCTGGCATCTAATTTATTCTCTTTGTGAACCAAAACATAGGCCCACTGAGTATCACATTGTATCACCATTCTCAGTCATCATACTAAACACCAGTACCAGAAAATGATACCCAGATCAGAGAATCTCTGAGGTCAGAGCTAGGAGGTTGTGAAAAGAAAAGAAAATCTCGAGACCCCAAACTCACTATACCAAAGGGAAAAGTTAAGCTCAGAAACTGAGTCATACAAAAAAGAAAAAATGCCTTTCCTTTTGTTCCTAAACAGATAGCTGTACAATAAAAGGCCACATATCTCCCCAGGTAGCTTCCCTCACTCTGATTATGTAAATTAATGGCTTACCTTCACAGGTACAGGACAAAGAAAAGACTAGAAATCATCCCTCCTCCTACCTCAAAATAAAGTAGATTCTCTATTTACTTATCTTATGTAAAATGCAGATTTATTGAGTGCAAGATGTATGTATAATTGATTGTTCCTCTATGCCTTTCACATGCAACATGGATTTAGTGAGTGCTAATCAAAGCCTCACAAGAAATGTGAACAGTTACCTCACTACATACCCTCCCTTTAATTTTCTTTCTTCCTTCCCCTCCTGCCTGCTTTTTCTCCTTTAAATATTCAAACCCCCAAAACCCTCTTAGGAAAAAAGTACAGGCCATAGATCCCACTGAGACTTGTGTCTCCTTTTCTCAGGCATGTCCTCAATCTCAGCAAAATAAACCTCTAAATGGATTGACACCTGTCTCAAACACTTTTTGTTTTACAAGATCAAAGTAAGGTTTGAAAATATAACAAATCAAGTATCCAAACTCAGCCAATCCTGAGATTTGAGAAGCAGGTAAAGTGACAACCAAAATAAGAACCACAGCTAGCCCTGAAATAGAAAGATAGCAGAAGGGTGGTGAACAGAACATGAACAGTGAACAGCAATAAAGCAAACAGATCCTCCAGTGCTTTCTCTCCTCACTTCCTTGTAGGAAGAGAAAAATTGTAGCTTGGATAGGTTATCACAGCCTACCTGAGAGGCATCTGAATGGCAGCAGATATTCTGCACTAATTGGTGCAAATTTCCCTCTTGCAACTTAGTCTGGCGGCTGTGCTATTACTTCCCTCATTGCTGACCTAGAGATCAGCAATCTGGAACTCTCTATGAAGGAAATAGAAAATCTTTCTAGGATTTTCCTTGAAACCTAGAGGATGCTGGACAAGTCCATCCAAAATGCCGTTTCTTGATCAAGTTTTACAACAGTATAAAGGGCTCAAGAGAAGGGAGCTCAATGGAACATGTGTTAATATATAGGGATCATGTATTAAACTGATCTCCTGCCTGGTTGAAAACCTGAAAGTTGCCCACAGAAGCCTCTAGGGGCCATATTGAATATGTCATCTATGAGACCAGAAACAGAGAAATAGAGTATGTCAAGATGATGACGACTTAAACCCTCAACATTTCTCAAAGTGTGGAGGACCATGGGCCTCAGAATCAACCAAGGGCATTGTTAAAAATGCAGACAGTCTGGGCCCTACATAAATCTACTCAATCAGAATAACTGAATCATGAATCTGTATCTTAAGATTCTCCTACCCCCACTTTTAACCTCACTCCACTGACCTAGGAAATTCCATTCTTTTCTGTCCTTCTAGTATTAGTCACTTTCAAGGGAGAAGGGGGTTAAATCCCACGGTCTACTTAATATCATAGGGGAGAATACAAATCATCACTCACTTTATCCCTCTGGGAAGAATAGAAAAACAAGATACCAGCAAACCCTGCAAGAGGATATGAGCCAATTAGAGCCCCTAAACTGAGAAGGGTAGTATCATTAGGACCTGAATGATTTGAAGCTCCCAGGGTATGCTGGTACTCAGTAGGTGCTTAATAAATATGGAGAGGGAGGGAGAAAGGAAAAGAAGGAGAGACAGGGGTTGGCGGGGGAGGGAAAGAGAGAGAGAAAGAAGAAAGAAAGAAAAAGAAGTAGGAAAGGAAAAGAAAGGAAAAGAAAGGAAAGGAAAGGAAGAAAGAAAGAAAGAAAAGAAAGAAAGAAAGAAAGAAAGAAAGAGAGAGAAAGGAAGGAAGGAAGGAAGGAAAGAAAGAAAAAGAGAGAGAGAAAAGAAAGAGAAAGGAAGGAAGGAAGGAAAAAGAAAAGGAAAAGGAAAAGGAAAGAAAAGGAAAGAAAAAAGAAAAGAAAAAGAAAGAGAGAGAGAGAGGGAGGGAGGGAGGGGGAGAGAAAGAGAGAGAGAAAGAGAAAGAGAAAGAGAGAGGAAGGGGGAAGGGACAGACAGAGACAGAGAAAATGAATGACCAGCCTTAATCTTGTGTTAATTTTCATCCTCCGCATTCTGCCCAGGCCTTACTCTCAGCTCTAACCCACTTACAGTCAACCCCTTTCACTTTCATTTGGGATAATAGGACTTCTCATTCATCATGCTGACTCTTTTTGATGAAGGTCTCCTGGCCTACAGAGTTAAGAAACCCTCAGCCAATGTCAACTGCTATTCTCTCTGATTCTCTAATCTGACAGCTTCTTAAAGAAGAAAGCATTTTTTCTATTTTACATTAAAGGTACTTCTCAAGGTCAGAGCAGCAGAGGCGTACACACAGAGGACAAGGTGTGGATCAATCCACAGCACCAGAGCTCAGCTCCCCTCACTGTTTCATCAGCTCTTTAGTTCCTGTGCAAAGCCGAGCTCCTTCCTCTGGCTCTGGGTGTGTGTAGGGGGTTTGGGGAGAGCAGATAACAGGGAGGAGATGGCATCTGTGGTGTTTTACAGATTGTTCACACTCTCTGCCTATGTGGCCTCTGGGTCTTCTGGTCTGCCATGAATCTGGGGGGCCCAGTTCCTGGCACCATCCCCACTGCCATTGGCACTCTAATTTCCAGATTTTCCATCCAACTATTAAAATGTTGTAGGTACTCTTTCTGAAGGAATGCTGTATGCTGGGCACTGAGCGTTGACCATTGGAAACAGAATGTGTGTGTGTTTATTTTTAAATTTCAAATTATGTGTAGCAGATTTGAAAAACAAAGAAAAATACAAAGAATGTAATTAAAATAATCTCTAATCCTACTACTCATCAATAATCACTGTTAAGTGGATCTATGTGCTTGTTAAATTTGTAAATAAGTACAGAACTGTTTCATTTTTTCAAAATTAAAATAATGTTATATGGTCTCTTTTTTTTCTTCTTCAATGTAAATGAATAATATTTTCCATGGTCATTACAATCTTTCATAACAATTTTTTAGGCTATATAATGTTCTATGATATAGTTTATTTAGGCAATTATCTTTTTGGAGATTTGAGTAATTTCCAATTATTCGCTATTATTTTTTAAACCACTGGGATAAACATATGCATTAGTAAGCATATACACACAATTTTGATCATTTCCTTAGGATTAATTCCTAGAATAGGAATTGCTTAGTGGGCATAAGTATGTTTAAGGCTTATGATGGCTATCATTAAATCACTCTCCATAGGTTATAAGCATTTAAATTCCCATTATCACTAAGAGAGCATTTCCATTTTTCTTACCCTTATAACTACCAAATAGTACATTTCCCTTTTTTAAAAATTTCATAAGCAAACAACAAATTTTGGAATGCATTTTGTCATCTCCTACCAATTGTCTATCCATTTCCTTTGTTCATTTTCCTACTGTGTGTGTGTTTGTTTTTGTTTTTGTTTTTTTACCTTTTGTATATTGATCAGTGCTATGTTCTGAGCGTTTTTGAGAATGGACTCCTCAAGAAGGGGATTAATGACCTTACAAAAACAGCCCCTAGACTGCTAGCTAGTTCCTTCCACTATGTGAGGACACAGCTAAAGGGTGCTACCTGTGAAGCAGAGAGCAGCCCTCCCCTGACATGACTCTATCAGCACTTTGATCTTGAACTGTCCAGCCTCCAGAATGGTAAGAAATAAATTTCTGTTATGTACAAGCTACCCAGTCTATGGTATTTTCTTATAGCAGCCTGAATGGAGTAAGACAATCTGTTAAGACTTTTTATATAGTAAGGAGTGGATTATAAATCGCAAATATTTTTCCACTTTAAAAATTTAACTTATTCACAAATTTCATATGAAAAACGAGTATGGTAGTCTATTTTTGTGTAATGTTTTATGCGTCTTTGTTTTTATGTCAAAAGGAAGACTTTTCCATTTAACTCTTTAATCCATTGTTAATGTACTTTAGTATATTGTGTGTTACAAAGATTAATTTTCTCCGGTAACTAATTGTTATAGCACCGAAAATGAACAAATTTCTTCTTTAATCATGAATTTGAAATCTTTACTTAACCATATACTATATTTTTATATTTGCAAGTATCTGTTTCAGAGTTTTGCTTTGTTTTGTTTTCTGCTCAATTAACTTTTCTGTGTTTTTGCTTCAATATAAAGTAGTATGTATTTTAGCTTTAAAATACATTTTATTATCTAGTAAGATAGCATTTCTTTTTTTTTTCAAACTTCTCTAATTGGCTGTTTCTATTCTAAGAGATGTAATTTTTTGAACTTGCATTCTAATATCTGCTCACAGAATCTAAAATTACAAGATATAATGAAAGAGGGAATTTTCCTTAACCTTCCATAATATCCCTTTGTTCTTAATTTCACCACTTTAAAAATTTTTTTTAACTTTTATTTTAGGTTCAGGAGTATATGTGCAGGTTTGTTATATAGGTAAATTGAATGTCACAGGGGTCTGGTGTATAGATTATTTTGTCACCCAGTTAATAAGCATAGTACCTGACAGGTAGTTTTTTTATGATCTCCCTCCTCCCACCCTCTACCCTCAAGGAAGACTTGGTGTCTGTTGTTCCCTTCTTTGCATCCATGTGTTCTCGTTGTTTAGCTCCCACTTATGAGTGAGAACACGTGGTAGCTGATTTTCTGTTCCTGCGTCAATTCCCTTATGATAATGGCCTCTAGCTCCATCCATGTTGTTGCAAAGGACATGATCTCATTCTTTTTTATGGCTGTGTAGTATTCCATGGTGTATATGTTCCACATTTTCTTTATCCATCGATGGCCATTCAGGTTGATTCCATGTCTTTGCCATTGTGAATAGTACCCCAATGAACATAGGTGTGCATTGTCTTTATAGTAGAATGATTTATATTCTTTCGGATACGTACTCAATAATGGGATTATTGGGTTGAATGACAATTCTGTTTTTAAATTATTTGAGAAATTGCCACACTACTTTCCACAATGGCTAAACTAATTTATATTCCCACCAACAGTGTATAAGCTTTCCCTTTTCTCCATGACCTCAACAGCATCTGTTATTTTTGACTTTTTAATGAAAGTCATTCTGACTGGTATGAGATAATATCTCATTGTAGTTTTGATTTGTATTTCACTAATAATTAGTGATGTTGAGCATTTTTCCATATGCTTGTTGCTCTTATGTAGGTCTTCTGTTGAAAAGTGTCTACTCATGTCCTTTGCCCACTTTTTAATGAGGTTGTTGTTAAGTTCTTTATAGATTGTGGATATTAGACCTTTGTCAGATGCATAGTTCGCAAATATTTTCTTCTATTCTGTAGGTTGTCTGTTTACTCTATTGATGGCTTCTTTTGCTGTGCAGAAGCTCTTTAGTTTAATTAGGTCCCATTTATCAATTTTTGCTTTTCTTGCAATTGCTTTTGGCATCATCGTCATGAAGTCTTTGCCAGGTCCTGTGTCCAGAGTTGTATTTCCTAGGTTATCTTACAGGGTTTTTATAGTTTTATATTTTCCATTTAATTCTTTAATCCATCTTGAATTGGTTTTTGTATATGATATAAGGAAGGGGTTAGTTTCCATCTTCTCCATATGGCTAGTCAGTTATCCCAGCACAACTTACTGAATAGGGACTCCTTTCCCCATTGCTTGTTTTTGTCAACTTTGTTGAAGATCAGATGGTTGCATATCTCTGTTATTATTTCTGGGCTCTCTATTCTGTTCCACTGGTCTGTTTTTGTACTAGTACCATGCTGTTTTGGTTACCGTAGCCCTGTCGTACAGTTTGAAGTCGGGTAATGTGATGCCTCCAGCTTTATTTTGCTTAGGATTGCCTTGGCTATTCAGGCTCTTTTTTGGTTCCTATGAATTTTAAAACAGTTTTTTCTAGTTCTGTGAATAATGTCATTGGTAGTTTGATAGGAATAGCACTGAATCTGTAAATTGCTTTGGGCAGTATGGCCATTTTAATAATATTGATTCTTCCTATGCTTCAGCATGAATATTTTTCCATTTGTTTGTGGGTCATCTCTGATTTCTTTGAGCAGTGTTTCATATCAATAATTCTCATTTTGTAGAGATCTTTCACCTTCCTGGTTAGCTATATTCCTAGGTTGATTTTTTGAGCTATTTTGAATGGGATTGCTTTATTTATTTGGCTGTCAGCTGGGATGTAGTTGGTGTATAGAAATGCTACTAATTATTTATATTGATTTTGTATCCTGATATCTTGCTGAAGTTGTTTATCAGATCAAGGAGATTTGGGGCAGAGAGTATGGGGTTTTCTAGGTATATAATCATATCATCTGCAAACAGGGATAGTTTGACTTCCTCTCTTCCTATTTGGATGCCTTTTATTTCTTCCTTTTGCCTGATTGCTCTGGTTAGGAATTCCAGTACAATGTTGAATAGAAGTGGTGAGAGAAGGCATCCTTGTTCTGGTTTTCAAGGGGAATGCCTCCAGCTTTTACCCGTTCAGTATAATATTGGCTATGAGTTTTTCATAGATGGCTCTTATTATTTTGAAGTATCTGATAAATGAATTTTTACCATTAACAGTTTCTAAAAATCTTGGTGGAATTTAATTGGAATCACATTAAACCCATAATAATTTGGGAACACACAATGTCTTTACAAATTGAGGGTTCTCATTCATAAACTCTGTTTTCATTTTTCCAATATTTTGCTCAATTTGGGGGGTGGTATATGTGATTTTCTGATATATGTATACAATATGTAATGACCAAATCAGGGTAATTGGAATATCCATCACCTCAAACATTCATCTTTTATGTTGAAAACATTCCAAGTCTTCTAGCTATTTTGAACTACACATTATTGATAACTGTAGTTACCCTACTATAATGCCGAACAGTTGATCATATTCCTTCTAATGTATTTTTCTACCCACTAAACATCCTCTCTCCATCCCCTCTCCCCTCCCCTGTTTGCAGTCTCTGATTTTTATTTATTTAGTCAAGTTATTTTAATAATCTTAAAAATAGCTTCTATGGCATTTGCAGTTTTATCTAGGCTTTGCACTAAATTTCAAATTAAGGTAAATCACAGGTATTTTACATTTGTACTGCTCATATGGATAATAGTTTCCCATTATATCTTTGAGGCCATAATAGATGTATAGACAAAAGTTATGAAATTTCTTATATCTGAATTTTTTTTTACATTTTTATTACTCTATATTTGTTTTTATAGTTAGTGTTCATCTATTTTTGATGATTCTTTTTCTATTCTCCCCCTGCTTTGTATAACAAGAAAATGTTCATGCATACTTTTGTAGTTTGGTGGGTCTATGCTCTGTGGCCACCAGGGCAGATGGTTTGGTAGAGGCGGTCTAAAGGAATGTTTGCATTTTTCAATGTGAGCATATCCATCAGACAGAGACACAAAAGGAACATTCCTATTTTTTCCTCCTACCTTCAATCACTCTGACATCCTTCAGATTCTTCTCCAGCAACTCATTCTGCCTGGAACTATCTCCCTCCAATCCATCTCAGCAATATTTATCCCTTTAATTCATTTTCTCCTAAAAGGCTTCTCCTACTCCATGATCAGAATTGTCCAGTGCTCTGAAGGAAATTAGTTATTCCTTTATTATGAAACCGTATGCATGTCTGTCTCCACACCAAAATCTAAAACAGAAAATGATGATCCCCAACACCTAGCACTGAGTCTGGTACACAGTAGGTACTCAATAAATGTTTGTTAAATTGAATCGAATTGCATGAAACGTTCACTTATATATGTCTAAGCAAGTTAATAAGAAAAGAACCAAGAGGAACAAGAAGTAAACATATTTTCAGCCATATTGACATGTGCAAAAAAAAAGTTTTCTATTTTCTTATTTCACTTTTTCAAAGCTAGTGTTTGCTTAAGTCACAGACACCTGCTGCTCTGCAGCTGTATCAGGGAATACATTTGTGCTCTAAATTACCAACTTAGAGCTTCCCAGTGGCTTTTCTACTAACAAGCTGCCAAGTCTGGAATGATGAGGTTTCTGTTTTAGCTGACAACCAAAACAAAATCTGGCTGCTCTGAACAGGCTCTTTCACTCCACCTGCTGTTTCTACAGCTAAAGTGTAGAAGGACATAGGAATCACCTAAGCCCAAGGCCAGGATTCTGATAGAAATCTAGAAATCCATGGATTTCAATGCAAGGCATTGTGAAATTGCTTGCACATTATGTGTTTATTCCTGTTGAAACCACCCATGAAAAATATGAGAAAGTTTTAAAACTTTAAAAGCTGTCCATGGCTTTTCCTGTCCAGGAACCTATCTTTGATAGCAGCATTAAGAGCTGGAATATGGTAGGGCTCAGGAATCCACCCATCTTCTCACCTCTAAAAGGGAGGAATAAACTAGTACAACTCACCTTTGCTTCTCCAAAGCTTCCCTTGCAAAAAAGAATGACTCATGGGAGAAATTTCAGAGACTGAGACAAGTTGTAAGGAGGTATTTGGGCACTAAGAGGGCCTTTCAGTCTCATGCACATCAATCTTGGCACCAACTGAGGCTCTGTCAGAGTGTACTGAGAAAAGTATAAATAAATCCATCATTCTCATCACATTGTGTCAACTTAATAAGACTCTCATCTGCTTTGGATGAACCCACTTGGTGGGGCAGGAGGTGAGAGACTAGGGAGACCTCAGAAGGCCACCGCAAACACACCAAACCATCCCCCACATTCCACAGCACCAGACACAGAGAAGACACTTTGAATTGCTGGATATTTTGAGTGAATCATGAATAAATGAAAATAGTGTTTTAATAATAATTTAAACATTATAAAACATTAGTTTATTGAATGTTTACTATTCATCAAGCACTGTGATAGCACTTTAAATGCATTATCTAATTAAACGGTCACCCCGAAATCACACAGTTGATAAAGGATTTCAGGAGAATTTAGACCCAGGAAACATTAATTTTCTCTTATTCATTCCCAATCTAGAAAACTTGTGGGCTGTCCTCCCAGACTATCCCAAATCATAGAAAGAAAATTCTCCTAATACACAGGGAGAAATCAAAAAAAGGAAAGGTTATGCAGATAGGCCAAGTAAAGTTCCAGGATGCCTGTCTTCCAGAAAGGGTTCTCACTGTAACAGGGACACCAGAATTGCTACCTCTACAAGAAGGGCACAAACCCTGGGTTCTATCACACTTTGCAGATATCCGATCCTGTAATAAATTTCTGAGGACATTTCTCCAGATGTAACTCCCTCCCTTCCCAACAAAATGTCAAGACTGCCTGCCTCACATATGGTGGCCTTCATAATAGGCATTTCAATGAGCTTTAGATTTAGGTAAAGAAAATTGTATTACAGCATTTTAAAGCATCCTTAATATTGCTCATTTTAAAATACTATTAGATAGAAGCATATCTTGGGGACATGATTTCTAAGCTAACTTGTTTGGGCTAAGCAATTGATTTAGTTAAGTTGACAAAGATGCATGTACATATTTTGAAAGAGTGTTTCCCAAAATACAGTATTTAATGTATTCTCCCTCAATTCTTAGTTTACTGCTGAGCTGTCCTTTAGTTCCTGACAAATAAATCTAATGGTAGAATTGATTCTCTTCCTAAAATGTTTATTTCCAGCTAACATTGTTTGAACTCAGGTGGTACCAGTATGTATGCTACTCCCTAAGACTAGTAAAGGCCAGTTATTGAAAACCACAGCTACTCAGAACAGGTAACGCTTGTTTGTAATATGGAAGAAAGAGTAGAGGTTATAAAATAGATATGATAAGTACATGAACTAATATGATTCATGACTTAGAGAAATGCGCCTGGGCCCTTAATCAGTCTGTCTATTCCTGTTTTAGGGACTACTCTAGTAAGTTTAGCCATTTAGTACCTAAGGTTATCCTTGAGTTTCAGCAAGAAATTAGGAGCATTTTTTGGTAAACAAATTCTGACAACATGAGCTCCTGTCCCTAACGATAAACAAAAGTAAATATGAAAAGCAGGCAAGAGACACCCACAAGCAGAGCCGTCTGTGCCTACTGGGGGGCATGCTGTGCGTATATCAAGGGTCAGCAGGAATTATTCTACATCATTCCAAACACAAAACAAAACAAAGCAGATGGTGTTCACTGCCCCCAGCTCAAGATCAAAGAAGAATTTACACAGACTTAAAAAAAAAATACTTAAAGGAATAGGCTTAATTTATAACCTCCCTGCGCCAAAGCTCGCCTGCCAATCAAGATCACTCTGAGACTTGAGCATTTAGTCTTCCAACTCCAGTTTGTCCTACTGTGCTGATGCCAGATCAGCTCAACTTCTACCACAGTCCACAAACTGCAGGAAGTGGCAGAGGATCTTCTTGAATTTGAACTCTGGTGATAGTCAACTAAATAAATGCCAAGGCTTTCTTTAAAATAGCAGTAAGAATTACTGAGATCTATCCCATACATTCTCTCCCTATCTCTTTTTATTTTTCTTTCTTTTTTTTGCACATGTCTGGGTTATAAAAAGGGAGAATGGTGCATCTCTTAGGGGAGACACTTGCCATCTCCCCCTCTTCGGCCTTTCTATTTCTGCAAAGAAGAGTTGCCTACCTCTCCCCAAAGCCAGAAAGTTAAAGAGCAGGAATGCGGGTTCCCTCACTTTTACTACTGCTTCCTGATTAGTGAGAACTGTCACTGATTGGGCCACAGTTCTATCGGGTGGGGCTAGGGCTTGGCCTTCTACATTTGTGTCTCGTGGCCTCTGGATCTTTGGTTCTTGCTGGCAACAGTGAGTGCGTATCTTCTACCAGGCTTCTTGGTCCCAGTTACAATTGAGCAAATAAGCGAACCTTCCATCCGGTGCAGGAAGCCCACTGCTTTCTACACCCCCTGAAAAGGTTTGGGAGTGTGAGACATGCCTGCTGCTGGCGGCGGAACGTTCCTCAGGGTCTCCTAGACAGGATCCCCCCAAGCATTGGGTCCCAAGTCTTCATGAGGGTGGGAGTAAATCCCCATCTAAATTGCATTCCCCCATGCACATGACCAGGCATTTAGGAGATATTTTGCAATTGCCCAGAGAGTATCCCAAGTCTTTAATCACCATATTGCTAGTGATCATTATGCCTATGTTATCAATCAGAATCCTGAGAGATAAGAATTAGGCTCCCCTAAATCTGATGTCATCCAGTTTCTCACTAGGAGGAGGCAGTGAAGGGATCTGAACTCAGGTCTTCTCATTCCAGATCCAACCATCCCAAATCTCACATCATATCAGGCATTCAGGGCCAACTTTGTAAGAAGTGGGACAGGGACAGGAGATCGAGACCATCCTGGCTAACACGGTGAAACCCCGTCTCTACTAAAAATACAAAAAATTAGCCAGGCGAGGTGGCGGGCGCCTGTAGTCCCAGCTACTCGGGAGGCTGAGGCAGGAGAATGGCGTGAACCCCAGGGGGCGGAGCCTGCAGTGAGCCGAGATTGCGCCACTGCACTCCAGCCTGGGCGACAGCAAGACTCCGTCTCAAAAAAAAAGAAGTGGGACAGGGAGATGGGGATGGGAATAGTGAAGTACAATATCCAATTGCTTCTAATTGTTTTTCCTGTGATTCAAGTCCCTGATTAAAACAGAGTTACTAACCTGTAAAAATAAGACCACAAAAGCACTGGCAACAAAGACAAAAATAAACAAATGAGATCATATCAAACTAAAAAGCTTCTGCACTGCAAAAGAAACAATCAACAGAGGGAAAAGATAACCTATACAACAGAAGAAAATATTTGCAAACTACTCATTTGACAGGGGATTAATATCCAGAATATACAAGGAACTCCGATATCTCAACACCAACAACAGAAAAATGATTTTAAAAATGGGCAAATAATCTGAACAAACATTTCTCAAATGAAGACATACAAATGACCAACAAATATATGAAAAAATGCTCAATGTCTTTAATCATCAGGGAAATGCACATTAAAGCCACAATGAGGTATCATTTCACCCCAGGTAGGATGACTATTATGAAAAAGACAAAAACAAAAAACAAAAAACAAATGCTGGTGAGGATGCAGAGAAAAATAAACTCTTATACACAGTGGGAATGCAAACTAGTATACTCATCATAGAAAACAGTATGAAGCTTCCTCAAAACACTATAAATAGAACTACCATATGATCCAGCAATCCCTCTACTGGGTATTTATCCAAAGGAAAGGAAATCACCGTATGGAAGAGACATCTGGACCCCCATGTTTACTGAAGCACTATTCACAATAGCCAAGATATGGAATCAACCTAGGTGTCCCACTACAGATGAATGAATAAAGAAAATGTGGTATAGATATACAATTACATATTGTTCAATCATAAAAAAGAATGAAATTCTGTTATTCAAGGCAACATGGATAGAACTGGAGGACACTGAAGCAGTTCCAAGATGGCCGAATAGGAACAGCTCCAGTCTACAGCTCCCAGCCTGAGTGACGCAGAAGATGGGTGATTTCCACATTTCCAACTGAGGTACTGGGTGCATCTCACTGGGGATTGTCGGACAGTGGGTACAGGACAGTGGGTGCAGTGCACCGAGCATGAGCCAAAGCAGGGTGAGGCATTGCCTCACCAGGGAAGCACAAGGGGTCAGGGAATTCCCTTTCCTAGCCAAGGTAAGGGGGAACAAACAGCACCTAGAAAATTGGGTCACTCCCACCCTAATACTGCGCTTTTCCAACAGTCTTAGCAAATGGCACACCAGGAGATTATATCCCGTGCATGGCTCAGAGGGTCCTATGCCCACGGAACCTTGCTCATTGCTAGCACAGTAGTCTGAGATCGAACTGGAACGTGGCAGCAAGGCTAGGGGAGGGGCACCCTCCATTGCTGAGAATTGAGTAGGTAAACAAAGCGGCCAGGAAGCTCGAACTGGGTGGAGCCCACCGCAGCTCAAAGAGGCCTGCCTGCCTCTGTAGACTCCACCTCTGGGGGCAGGGCATAGCTAAGCAAAAGGCTGCAGAAACCTCTGCAGAATTAAATGTCCCTGTCTGACAGCTTGGAAGAGAGGAGTGGTTCTCCCAGCATGCAGCTTGAGATCTGAGAACAGACAGGTTGCCTCCTCAAGTGGGTCCCTAACCCCAGAGTAGCCTAACTGGGAGGCACCCCCCAGTAGGGGCAAACTGACACCTCACATGGCAGGGTACCCCTCTGAGACGAAACTTTCAGAGGAACAATCAGGCAGCAACATCTGCTGTTCACCAATATTTGCTGTTCTGCAGCCTCCGCTGCTGATACCCAGGCAAACAGGGTCTGGAGTGGACCTCCAGCAAACTCCAACAGACCTGCAGCTGAGGGTCCTGACTATTAGAAGGAAAACTAACAAACAGAAAGGACATCCACACCAAAACCCCATCTGTACATCACCATCATCAAAGACCAAAGGTAAATAAAACTACAAAGATGGGGAAAAAACAGAGCAGAAAAACTGAAAATTCTAAAAATCAGAGTGCCTTTCCTCCTCCAAAGGAATGCAGCTCCTCACCAGCAATGGAACAAAGCTGGACGGAGAATGACTTTGAAGAGTTGACAGAAAAAGGCTACAGACGATCAAACTTCTCCAAGCTAAAGGCGGAGGTTCAAACCCAATGCAAAGAAGTTAAAAACCTTGAAAAAAGATTAGATGAATGGCTAACTAGAATAACCAATGCAGAGAAGTCCTTAAAGGACCTGATGGAGCTGAAAACCATGGCATGAGAACTATGTGATGAATGCACAAGCTTCAGTAGCCAATTTGATGAACTGGAAGAAAGGGTATCAGTGATGGAAGATCAAATGATAGAAATGAAGTGAGAAGTTTAGAGAAAAAAGAGTAAAAAGAAACGAACAAAGCCTCCAAGAAATAGGGAACTGTGTGAAAAGACCAAATCTACGTCTGATTGGTGCACCTGAAAGTGATGGGGAGAATGGAACCAAGTTGGAAAACATTCTGCAGGATACTATCCAGGAGGACCTCCCAAAACTAGCAAGGCAGGCCAACATTCAAATTCAGGAAATACAGAGAACACCACAAAGATACTCCTCGAGAGAGCAACTCCAAGACACGTAATTGTCAGATTTAACAAAGTTGAAATGAAGTAAAAAATGTTAAGGGCAGCCAAAGAGAAAGGTTGGGTTACCCACAAAGGGACGCCCATCAGACTAACAGCTGATCTCTCAGCAGAAACTCAGCCAGAAGAGAGTGGGGGCCAATATTCAACATTCTTAAAGAAAAGAATTTTCAACCCAGAATTTCATATCCAGTCAAACTAAGCTTCATAAGTGAAGGAGAAATAAAATCCTTTACAGACAAGCAAATGCTGAGAGATTTTGTCACCACCAGGCCTGCCCTAAAAGAGCTCCTGAAGGAAGCACTAAACATGGAAAGGAACAACCAGTACCAGCCACTGCAAAAACATGCCAAATAGTAAACATCATCAAGGCTAGGAAGAAACTGCATCAACTAACGAGCAAAATAACCAGCTAACATCATAATGACAGGATCAAATTCACACATAACAATATTAACCTTAAATGTAAATGGGCTAAATGCTCCAATTAAAAGACACAGACTGACAAATTGGATAAAGAGTCAAGACCCATCAGTGTGCTGTATTCAGGAAACCCATCTCACATGCAGAGACACACATAGGCTCAAAATAAAGGGATGGAGGAAGATCTACCAAGCAAATGGAAAACAAAAAAAGGCAGGCATTGCAATCCTAGTCTCGGATAAAACAGACTTTAAACCAGCAAAGATCAAAAGAGACAAAGAAGGCCATTACATAATGGTAAAGGGATCAATTCAACAAGAAGAGCTAACTATCTTAAATATATATGCACCCAATACAAGAGCACCCAGATTCATAAAACAAGTCCTTAGAGACCTACAAAGAGACTTAGATTCCCACACAATAATAATGGGAGACTTTAACACCCCACTGTCAACATTAGACAGATCAGCAAGAGAGAAAGTTAACAAGGATATCCAGGAATTGAACTCAGCTCTGCACCAAGCAGACCTAACAGACATCTACAGAACTCTCCACCCCAAATCAACAGAATATACATTCTTCTCAGCACCCACCACACTTATTCGAAAATTCACCACATAGTTGAAAGTAAAGCACTCCTCAGCAAATGTAAAAGAACAGAAATTATAACAAACTGTCTCTCAGACCACAGTGCAATCAAACTAGAACTCAGGATTAAGAAACTTACTCAAAACTGCTCAACTACATGGAAACTGAACAACCTGCTCCTGAATGACTACTGGGTACATAATGAAATGAAGGCAGAAACAAAGATGTTCTTGAAACCAACAAGAACAAAGACACAACCTACCAGAATCTCTGGGACACATTTAAATCAGTGTGTAGAGGGAAATTTATAGCACTAAATGCCCACAAGAGAAAGCAAGAAAGATCTAAAATTGACACCCTAACATCACAATTAAAAGAACTAGAGAAGCAAGAACAAACACATTCAAAAGCTAGCAGAAGGCAAGAAATAACTAAGATCAGAGCAGAACTGAAGGAGAGAGAGACACAAAAAACCCTTCAAAAAATCAATGAATCTAGGAATTGGTTTTTGAAAAGATCAACAAAATTGATAGACCCCTAGCAAGAATAATAAAGAATAAAAGAGAAAAGAATCAAATAGATGCAATAAAAAATGATAAAGGGGATATCACCACCGATCCCACAGAAATACAAACTACCATCAGAGAATACTACAAACACCTCTACACAAATAAACTAGAAAATCTAGAAGAAATGGATAAGTTCCTTGACACATACACTCTCCCTAGACTAAATCAGGAAGAAGTTGAATCTCTGAATAGACCAATAACAGGCTCTGAAATAGAGGCAATAATTAATAGCTTACCAACCAAAAAAAGTCCAGGACCAGAAGGATTCATAGCCGAATTCTACCAGAGGTACAAGGAAGAGCTGGTACCATTCCTTCTGAAACTATTCCAATCAATAGAAAAAGAGGGAATCCTCCCCCTAACTCATTTTATGAAGCCAGCATCATCCTGATACCAAAGCCTGGCAGAGACACAACCAAAAAAGAGAATTATAGACCAATATCCCTGATGAACATCGATGCAAAAATCCTCAATAAAATACTGGCAAACCGAATCCAGCAGCACATCAAAAAGCTTATTCACCATGATCAAGTGGGCTTCATCCCTGGGATGTAAGGCTGGTTCAACATATGCAAATCAATAAACATAATCCAGAATATAAACAGAACCAATGACAAAAACCACATGATTATCTCAATAGATGCAGAAAAGGCCTTTGACAAAATTCAACAGCCCTTCATGCTAAAAACTCTCAATAAATTAGGTATTGATCAGACATGTCTCAAAATAATAAGAGCTATTTATGACAAACCCACAGCCAATATCATACTGAATGGGCAAAACTGGAAGCATTCCCTTTGAAAACTGGCACAAGACAGGGATGTCCTCTCTCACCACTCCTTTTCAACATAGTGTTGGAAGTTCTGGCCAGGGCAATCAGGCAGGAAAAAGAAATAAAGGTTATTCAATTAGGAAAAGAGGAAGTCAAATTGTCCCTGTTTGCAGACGACATGATTGCATATCTAGAAAACCCCATCGTCTCAGACCAAAATCTCCTTAAGCTGATAAGCAACTTCAGCAAAGTCTCAGGATACAAAATCAGTGTACAAAAATCACAAGCATTCTTATACACCAATAACAAACAGAGAGCCAAATCATGAGTGAACCCCCATTCACAATTGCTTCAAAGAGAATAAAATACCTAGGAATCCAACTTACAAGGGATGTGAAGGACCTCTTCAAGGAGAACTACAAACCACTGCTCAATGAAATAAAAGAAGATACAAACAAATGGAAGAACATTCAATGCTCATGGATAGGAAGAATCAATATTGTGAAAATGGCCATACTGCCCAAGGTAATTTATAGATTCAATGCCATCCCCATCAAGCTACCAAAGACTTTCTTCACAGAATTGGAAAAAACTGCTTTAAAGTTCATATGGAACCAAAAAAGAGCCCGCTTTGCCAAGTCAATCCTAAGCCAAAAGAACAAAGCTGGAGGCATCACACTACCTGACTTCAAACTATACTACAAGGCTACAGTAACCAAAACAGCATGGTACTGGTACCAAAACAGAGATATAGACCAATGGAACAGAACAGAGCCCTCAGAAATAATACCACACATCTACAACTATCCAATCTTTGACAAACCTGACAAAAGCAAGAAATGGGGAAAGGATTCCCTATTTAATAAATGGTGCTGGGAAAACTGGCTAGCCATATGTAGAAAGCTGAAACTGGATCCCTTCCTTACACCTTATACAAAAATTAATTCAAGATGGATTAAAGACTTAAATGTTAGACCTAAAACCATAAAAACCCTAGAAGAAAATCTAGGCAATAACATTCAGGACATAGGCATGGGCAAGGACTTCATGCCTAACACAACAAAAGCAATGGAAACAGAAGCCAAAATTGACAAATGGGATCTAATTAAACTAAAGAGCTTCTGCACAGCAAAAGAAACCACCATCAGAGTGAACAGGCAACCTACAGAATGGGAGAAAATTTTTGCCATCTACTCATCTGACAAATGGCTAATATCCGGAATCTACAAATAACTCAAACAAATTTACAAGAAAAAAACAAACGACCCCATCAACAAGTGGGTGAAGGATGTGAACAGACACTTCTCAAAAGAAGACACTTATGCAGCCAACAGACACATGAGAAAATGCTCATCATCACTGGCCATCAGAGAAATTCAAATCAAAACCACAATGAGATACCATCTCACACCAGTTAGAATGGCGATCATTAAAAAGTCAAGAAACAGCAGGTGCTGGAGAGGACGTGGAGAAATAGGAACACTTTTACACTATTGGTGGGACTGTAAACTGGTTCAACCATTGTGAAAGACAGTGTGGTGATTCCTCAGGGATCTAGAACTAGAAATACCATTTGACCTAGCCATCCCATTACTGGGTATATATCCAAAGGATTATAAATCATGCTGCTATAAAGACACATGCACACATATGTTTACTGCAGCACTATTCACAATAGCAAAGAACTGGAACCAACCCAAATGTCCAACAATGATAGACTGGATTAAGAAAATGTGGCACATATACACCATGGATTACTATGCAGCCATAAAAAATGATGAGCTCATGTCCTTTGTAGGGACATGGATGAAGCTGGAAACCATCATTCTCAGCAAACTATCGCAAGGACAAAAAACCAAACATTGCATGTTCTCACTCATAGGTGGGAACTGAACAATGAGAACATTTGGACACAGGAAGGGGAACATCACACACTGGGGCCTGTTGAGGTAGGGGGAGGGTGGAGGGATAGCATTAGGAGATATAAGTAATGTAAATGATGAGTTAATAGGTGCAGCACACCAACATGGCACATGTATACATACGTAACAAACCTGCACATTGTGCACATGTGCCCTAGAACTTAAAGTATAATAATAAAAATAAATAAATAAATAAATAAATAATAAAGCTACAGATAATAGCCTACCAAAAAAAAAAAAAGAACTGGAGGACATTATGATAAGTGAAATAAGCCAGGAACAAAGGTTAAACACCACATATTCTCACTCATATGTAGAAGGTAAACAAAGTTGATCTCATGGAATTAAAATGTAGAACAGAGTATACTAGAATCTGGGAAGGGTGGTAGGGGGAGGGATAGGGAGATATTTGTTAAGGATACAAAATTACAGCTAGATAGGAGCAATAAGTTCTAGTGTTCTATACCACTGTAGGATGACTGTCATTAACAATAATATATTATTTCAAGTAGCTACAAGGAGAATATTGAATGTTCCCAGCACAAAGTAATAAAAACTGTTTGAGATGACAAATATGCTAATTACCCTGATCTGATCACTATACATTATCTGTATCACTATGTGCCCCATAAATATGTACAATTTTTGTCAATTTAACAAATAATTTTAGAAAAAGACTTAAAAAATAAAAATGGGTAAGCAAAAATATTTTGAATATTTTGAAAAAATTTTTTTTAATTTTAATTAAAAACAATAAAATAAAAATATTATTTTAGAGTAGTGGTTCTCAACCAGAGGTGATTTGGTGGCGTCCCTCTCCCTGTCCAAAATCAGGGACCATTTGGCAATATCCTGAGCCATTTTTGGTTGTTATAACTGGTGGATAAAGGACAGAAATGCAACTAAACATCCTGCAATCCACAGGACAGCTCCCAAAACAAAGAATTGTGGCCCCAAAATGTCAATCATGCCAAAGTCGAGAAACCCTATTAAGGAGGCTCAGTGAAATATGGATACCAAATATAAATGCAGCATTGCATATAAATGCGTATAGCATGTAAATGCATAAGGGCCTCAGATTGGTAAGAAGGGAAACCACCCTTGTTGTATGATTACTGCAACTTTGCCATAAGCCTTTTGTGGATCTATCAGCCTGGGCAAGTCATTACCAAAACTGTCAGGTGGGGAAATCTTGTATTTGCCCTTCCCTATTCTATCTTCTCCCCTTTTTGAGGTCCTTAGCCCACCAGCATCTCCTACTCCTCCAGTCTCTGCTTGGAGACACTATAACTTCCCCATGCCTAGATGCTGTCTTGTGCAGTTCCTAACCAATCCTGAGCAGGATGAGAGAAAAAAAGCATATTAATACCCTTTGCCCCAGTAGAAAGTTCCTATAACTATTAAGGAATGCCTATATTTTAGCTAGCTGCTTTATATATTATAGCTCATAAATTTAAAAACAATCATATGAGGTAGGTATGATTTCAATTTTAAAGCTGAGGAAATTAAGGCTCAGAGAGGTTAAGTAACATGCTCACTTTCTTAGAGATAACAAGAAGCCAACATTCATATCTGTTCTGTATTAATTTCAACGCACATCCTTATGCCACATTTAGTTAATACCTGACTTTCCTGTCCTAAAATCATATCAAGTTGGGTACAAGCAGTTTTTTAGATTTATATTTTAAATTATTGGCAATAAATCTACAAGCCAAATAAATTATCGGTGTCTTCTTTAGTCTGTATCTTAATTAGGATGCTTTGATTGCAAGTTACAGAAACCAATTCAATCGAGATAAAATAAATTGGGGTAATTTATTACAGGGATGTAGGGATTCTCACAAAAACCAAGGAGATAAAAAACTGCAAAGCTGCTACTGCATTTTCTCTTTTCTCATTCTCACTCCAGATCAACTTTCTCAGCTTTCTCTCCTCCTTTGATAGTAAGGAAATATAGTTTGGACTGGCTCTGCCAAAGTTTCTGAAGTAGGGCAAGGGCTATCTAAAAAGGGACAGTTTTCTCTCTATAAGACACAAAAGATGCACCTTCTGTAGAAGAGAATTTCAATTGACTATTGAAATACAACCTGAGAGTAATCCTACTGATGGGTACAGAGCTTTTCCTATTTCATGATACTGCCTTATTTATTCTTAATAAGTGCTTGGCAACATAGAGATTTGAAAATGAGGATAAATTGACTAAAAGTTTCACCTCTAGGGTTTGAGATTCACACAGATAGATATTTCAGTCAAAACTATCAAATCACCTCCTGCCTTCTCTCCCATCTCACACTCAGATTGGCCTTCTAAGCTAACCTGTTTTTGGCTGTTGCAAAAATAAATGGAAATACCTTGGATGCCAACAAATGATGTTGAGAGATAGAATAAATGCACTGAACAGAGGATAAGTTGGGGCAAGTGAAGACACTTTCTCTTTTACCCTATAAAATGCAGATAGCTGAAGAGCTACTGCAGACATCATAAAGCAGCTATATTTTTAGTCCCTACTCATTACGGCTTTTAGTGAATAGTATCTCTGTTGTCTTAAGCCATTCATCTTTGGAGAAATATGGCCCCATTTCTCTGTTTATTTATCTCTTTGGAAATGGGAAAACATAAACTGTTGCACTGTAATAAATTTTCTCACTTTTAATAGTTCAAATGGTTGAACAGTAAAATGAAAGTCAAGCATTATTTTTTATTCCCTGGGTTTTTGTCATTTTGAGTATCCTTAGCACCATTTAATGTCACGATCCCTAAGAATGGCCTCAATTCTATTATCTGGCTTCTGAAGATGTTTTTCTCAAACTTTAGACATTTAAAAGTGGACTAGCAGACAGCCTAATCATCCTTTGTGTCTAGAAGTACAGAGAAAGCAGGTGTTTTTAGCTATCTAATTTCTAACCCACCCATGCAAATTTCAAAATGTAGAAAAGAAAAAAACAGGAAGGACTAAAATTATTCCAAAATAAAAATGTTTTCTAGGACAAGAGCTAAACAACCTCAAATTATTCTTAACATAAAACTTAATTTGAAAATACAAAGTTAACAAAATTTTAGATGCACCAAAGAATATGACACCTTTAGTGTCTTAGTGACACCTTTGCTATTTAGGCAGATAATTCATTTTCATAGGAAGAGATCAGTTTTGGATTTATGTAATCCATCTGCCTCATCCTGGTTCCTGAGAATTATAGCACAAGAGATATTTCAGATAAACGCATACTCTCTATTCCTGGATAGAGCTTCTAACCTGAATCCTTGTCTCTTTTCCTATCCCAGATGAGCTGAGATGGGCAAGTTAGAAGGAAATCCAAAGATTTTCTTCTTACCTTTGAAGTCAGCTCCACACCATGCAGTCTGCCTGCTTATCTTCCCTGAGCTTTTCCAGATTCAAGAGAGAGTATCAGAAGGAAAGTAATCGAAGAAGGAAAATAGAAAGAGAGACAACCCCACAAAAGCACTCAGGCCAAAATACTTCCAAAAACACTAGCCAATAGCCACTGCCTTCCATCCAAAAAAAAAAAGCCAAGAGTTCCCACTCCCACCAATTGAAACCAATGAGACTCAATTCCCACCTACAATATCTAGGATGAAGAAGCAAAGCAAAGAAATGTCCATTCACTCTCCAGATGGAATAATTTCCTATCTCCTTATTTTTCCCTGAATAAACCATAAACCTTGAATGAATTGACCTATGTTCTTGGCTAATATTTTCCCATGAGTTATGTCCAGTGTGCCATCAAAATGACATCTCACTTAGCTTCAGCATGTCTGCCTTAGATTGTAGGCTTTCATTTCCTACTGGTTTGTAAACTACCTGGAGACAGAACTTTTGTCACCTGCAGCTCAACAGTTAATAGCATGGACTTTGAAGCCAGACTGTCTGATTGCAAATCACGGGTCTTTCCTTTACTGACTGTGTGGTTTTGTTACTTTACCTCCTTATGCCTCAGCTTCCTCATCTGTAAAACTAATGGAGATGTTGCTAGTAACCGCCTCGTGGCAAGGCAGAGAGGATCAAATGAGACAGTTTGTATAAAGAACTTGGAGCAAGCCAAGTGCAGTGGCTCACACTTGTAATCTCAGCAATTTGGGAGGATGAGTGGGGAGGATCACTTGAGCTCAGGAGTTCAAGACCAGCCAGAGTAACATGGTGAAACCCTGTCTCTACAAAAAATACAAAAACTAGGCAGACATGGTGGTACATGCCTGTGGTCCCAGGTACTTGGGAGGCTGAGGTGGGAGGATCCCTTGAGCCGAAGAGGCGGAGGTTACAGTGAGCTAAGATTGTGCCACTGCACTCCGGCCTGGGCAACAGAACAAGACCCTGTCTCAAACAAACAAACAAAAACTTGAAGCACTATAAAACATGTGACTAGCAGTCACTTAATGTTGGCTAGTATTATTTCCCTAATATGTTGCACATAATGGGTACCCACTTAGTGTTGGATGAATGAATGAATCCTGAGAGGCATTTGAGCTCCTTCTCAGAAGAAAATCTGACATTATTGTGGAATGTTACTCTATGGAACCCTTTTGTGGCTTGAGAAAAGCATATCCAGACAGAATGACAAAATATACATATCTTTCCAAATAAAAATTTTCAACTCATCCTAATAGATTCCACACTTCCCCTGCTGCTTCATTTATCACTGGTTAGGGACAAATAAAAAATTTTCTTTGAAGAAAACAGAAGAAACTCAGAGTTAGGGTGAAGAGAATGTGAAACAGGAAAAGTTTGAGTCTTTCATAGGCTTTCTTCCCATCCCAGTCAGCCTGAAAAATTGTCTCTATCAGGGAAAGAAATGAGGTGCAGAAAAAATTAAGAATGCAAGCAGAAAGTTGATTTTGGTTTTACGGGCACTTGAGCGGTATCTCAAAAAATGTAGAGGCCATTTAAAGGTACCTTCTCTTATTTATGGTTGCACTTCCCGAATGAAATATTGTCTGCATTAATCCCATCTGGAATTACAGGGCCTTTCTATGTTTGATGCCTCCAGAAACTTAGAACACAAACACCAACCAAAGAAAAATATATGGACAAACATAAATTAGACTTTTTCCCCCCACTGGGATGCATCCATGCATCATAGCTTATAAATTTAGATTATATCTCTACTGCCATCGTGTGATAGAATGGTTTTTAGTGAAGATATCCTAAAAAGTGAGCCAAAAATTCAGAATACAAGGAGCTTTCAAGGAAAAAGGCTGTATGCTGCGTTTGCCTGCCTTCCAAGCAACGTCATGCTTTCTGATTACTCATGATCAAAGTAAAAATTGGGGAAGTGCTCTCTGTGTCCATGCAGCAACGGATCGGGGAGGCAGAACGGAGAACACTGAAAAGAACATGGCGACAATACCCAGCTATACTTCAGTCATGTGTCATAGAAGTGTGATCCTATTTTGCCTCACTCTAGATGTAAAACCTCTAATTTTAGAATGATATGCCTTCACCCATCCCCCAGGCCATTTATCCCCCAGCCTAGAACTCTCTGTCCCGTAATGGGTTCAGGTCATGGCAATATCACTTCTCCCACCTATATTCTCGAATGGCTTCCTCCCCACTGGACTTGGGCATCTCCGTTCACACCCATTTTTCTTTGGTTGCTTTCACCCCCGTCACATTGGAAATTTCTTCCATCACTTTGCATCACCTGGAAATCTGAGAAGTGTGCCTCCTACAACATTTTACAAATCATGGAGTCAATTTTTGACCTGACACTGAATACCGACTCCATTCATCCTCTGCCTGAATGTGCTGCTTTCATGTTTCCTCAATTTTGGCAGAACTGTAACATGTGGGAAGCTTGTCTTTGGTGCCCCTCAACGTGCTCCCTGTTTTCCTTTTCCCAAGCCCTAACCATCCATCCCAGCCTCTCACTACCCACAAAATGCCCTCTGGCTGCTCCTTCCTTCCACTCCACCTATTCTCTCTACTCCCCTTATCCCAAATCTGCCTCTCCACTCTCCTTATCAAGCCTGGTCTCAGAAATCTGTGTAAAGAAAAGAAGTTAATGTATTTCAAGCTGCTAATACAAACTGATGATGGATCCTCCATTTTGTTCCTTCCATATTTGTGTCCATCAGAGGAAAATGGACTTAAATAAAAAAAATAAGTGTCCAGTTGTATCATGGGATCATTTTAGCTGTCGCTGCAACCTCCCACCTCCACACTTTCTGATCAGATTTCTCATCCACATCCCCTGAGTCAGTGGCAGGTGTTACCTCCTGGGAGGTGTTGCCCAGAATATGAAGAAACAGAGGCTCACTATGCTTTTGAGCTTCTAAATAAATTTTGAAAAATTGTAGCAAACGCTTGAGAGTCATGAATTTTTATTTCCAAACCTATTGGGATTCTTTTAGTTGAAAACTTAATACCTAAAGAATACAGAGCTTGAAATGTTAGCTTCTTCAAATAAAAATGAAAATATATAAAATGCCAGGGTCCACAATGATCAAGAGGAGATTTGCCAGGGAGAATCAAAGTCAGAGAGTAGAAAAAGAAGTAGAAACTTTTCTGTGCATCTGTCAGTCCCATGCTGAGCTACCGGAGAGAAAGAGAAAGGGAAGGAGGGGACAGAAGTACCAGATACAACTGAGAAATTTAAGAACAAAGAGTCCCAATGACTTACATCCTACCAAAGTAAAAACAGCTTCCTGCACCAGCATGGTAGGACAGAAATTGAGTATAGCTTAGAGCACGATGTGTTTTGGTATTTGGGAACTTAAGATAGAGACCCCAAAAGACATGAACAGCTTTTCATGGAGGCTTAGAAGTAGGGTGAGAGAGAACCTATGGAACCTAGGAGACAAAGAAATGTAAATTTGAGGAACTGCAGCCCTATGACAGAGAGTGAGCATAGATATTTTAGTGGGTGTTGGTAGAAACAGAGACCAGTGACCTAGAGCCATTAAAGCTAATAAATATCTCATCCAAGGACATTATAACCAAGGCCCAGATGACCTTTTCAAAATCTAGATACCTCATAAACCCCCCCTCTTCCATCTGCATCAAGACCCCGCATCTGGAGAAAGAGAATGAGAGGAAATCCTGAATTGATTGGGTTTATACCCGAAATAACATAGAAAACCTGAAAATGACAGAATTTACCTGGAGATAACTAGACTAATTAGGCAGAATGGGAGCTTGAGGTAGAAACTAGGTTGTTATATACATTTTTTTTTTTTTAATGGGAAGTTGTACTTACACCGTATATCTGAGCTTGTGGTCAGAACCAGAACCATCTGAGGCATTAAGACATTCAGGAAAGCCTGACTGCAGGTTGGAAATACTGGGAGAGATACTAAGGTACTAAGGTAAAGGACCTTCTTAGTGTCCTTTAAAGCTTAAAGGTAGCCTACAGTGCCTGCATGCTTGGTTGATTCAGCCTCCACATCTGCCTACTTACCAGGTTTACCTGCAGAATTGCACCTGCCATACACTTTCATTCTTGCAACCTCATCAGCACAATAAAACCTCAACTAAGTGGAACACCAGGGAAATAAAAGTGTCTCACAAATTTAGCTTTCTGGTTAACTGAGGCTTATCCTGAATCTCAACACATATTGTGAAAATTATCCTGAAAATTCTAGTCTACTTCCTTCGAGTCTTCAGGGTCATCATTCTAAGCATTGTTCAGGACTTTTTCCTTTATTCTCCATGAATAGATTTCTTAGTTTCCTCAGATTTTCTGCAAACAACAAGATTCCATGGCCACTCTCATCTGCAAATGTCTGGCTTATCTATATGTCTTTGAATAGTCACTGAAAATGGAGCACAAATTCCCAGGGTCAGTTGATGTGAACAGGTTAAATATGGACTATCACTAAACACTGTAGTGTATTTCATTAATTCACTCCATGATCCCATGAGATTTGGGGTGACTACATCATGCTGGTGACTGAATCCCCTAAGTCAAGTGTTCTTAACATTGAGTTCATGGATGGGCTTCAGGGACATATGAACCATTTGAATGTGGTAGGCAAAAAATGTTATACGTATGCTTGTGTGTGTGTGTGTGTGTGTGTGTGTGTGTATACTTATATGGGAATATGTGTTTCATCAGTTGCTCAAGAGGGTCCATGACCCAAAAAAGTAAAAAAAAAAAAAAAAAAAAAAAAAAAAAAAAAAAAATAGTGGCCTTGTCTTTCTCACATGCTGCTGACAAGCCCAGATCTCTACTCATTTATACCTCTTAACTTAGGATTTTGAGAAGCTAGGAGAGTTTCACATCGCAAGTTGGTATACACTAGGATAAAAATGAAGGTGAAGATGTTTTTCACCTGCATTCTTTCTTGCCATCTCTCTCACTCTTCAACCATACAATCTATATACATGCTTTAGTATCTTCACCCACATTATAAAGAAAGTTTTAGGGGAGGATAAAGAACTCTAACATATCATAAAGTACCCACTTCCTGGTAGATATCACATATAACTTACAGATTATCAGGACATCTCACCTATGACTAAACCACTGAACTGTGGTAACCACACCCACACTTAACATCTTATTCACAAGTATATAAACATCTCTTTATGTGCCATTGTTAAAGTCCAGAAATGTTAAATCTGTGGCATTTCTGTAAGTATCCTCAGCTGAAAGGGAATGTAGAAATTATCTATATCAATCCCTTCATTTTATTAACAGGAACAATGAGGTCTAAACTATGTCAAAGGTGACCTTAGAGCCTTCTCTTGATAATAAGCCCAGGGCTCTTTACCCTGTTCCAAGTAGTCCATTGGCCATGATTCACTGCTCCTACTGATGCATTGATCCCTATATTATCCTTATGACACTTCCAGCATATAGTTCAGACTCCTGGACCAGACCATTAGCATTTGTGGGAGTGGGTGCATAGAAGAGAATCTCAGCTGGTTCATTTTTCCCTCCACACAGAGACTGCAATGATTGTGAAAATGTGGAAATATGTGCTTCCTATCAGAAAGGCAGGGTCCACCTTGCCACCAAGGGTAACCTGGATCTTGTGATTTTCAAATGCATGGAAAAATTCCTTTTAGTCCTCCTGCCTGGAATGTCATCATAGCCTGAAGTGCACTACCTATCCCTGACAGCAACTGACAGGTTTGCACACTGTGCAGCGACCCTGTGTCCAGCTTCTGTCAAGTTGGGCTAGCGTTGCAGTGACCAGAGGTACAGCGGGAAGACCACATGTTGAGAACTTTTCACTTCTCTCCTGTTGAGAGGAGCATTAACATGTACGAATGGTACCCAAGAACAGAAGAGAGAGGACAATTAGTTCTGAGGTCTCTTCATCAGGCTGACAAGCCAGAGCTGGGGCAGGAGGAAGGGAGGCAGGGGTAGCAGATAGACACTGTACTAAAACAGAGGAAAGCAGAAACCTGGGAGTGGTGTCCCTGTCCCCTTGGCTTTAACAGCCACAGCAGAGCCTCAGACTTGGTGATCATTGCCTGCTCTCTTGCCTTTCCATTGGTGTACCTTCCTGGATATCAGCATAAAAACCCATCTGCATACCTCCACGGAGCTCCAGGAAAGGACAATAGGAAATTATTTGCAAGAGTGTTGCCAGGTCAGCGGGGACTCAGATTGAAGGTCTGGCTCTAGGACATTGGGATTATGACTTTTGGACAAAGAGGAAAGTGATGGCGGCCTAACCCACACAGAGGATCCCACTAAAGAGAGCATCCAGAAAGGCAGAGAGCACACTGCAATAGGAAAGAACTGAACTATCCAGGACCCAAAATCAGCCACTAGTATGAGGGTAGTTCTGGGTGGTGACACAGGCTCCCATAGACAAGTTCCCTTGAAAATTTATTTGAAGTATTTTAAGAGAAGTACAATCCCTGAGATCTGTGATTAGGTATCAACTCATGTCATGTTGGTAAAAGCTCTGCAATCTCCCGTAGGGCTTCTCTCCAGGTGAAGGAGAAATGGGGTCCTGGGGGCGTGAACAGAGTCCTCTGCTGAAAGAATACACTTACAATGATTTAAAAAAATTCGGAAAAACTGCTAGCCTTTACACAGTTCCTTTCTACCCAAAGCTACCAGCCCCCTTTGAAAGGCTCCCACCTTCTGCTGATCATTGCCTCAAAGATCTCCCCAGGCTCTTTTCCTGCCCGATCTCCTTAGGCAGCAAGCTCTAGGCTTTGCTTCCTACCCTATCTCTAAACTTTCCACCTTACTAGACACTGTGCCTGGGATGCTTCCTGCCATTCCCTTTTGCTGTACAGCACACAGCTGCCAGCTAACCACAAGTCAGGCTGAACCCCAGGCCTCCTGTAAACCCAGCAGGGCCCTTCAGACAAGATCAAAGGAACAGGGACAGGAAACTACAGGAGCCACTGAGAAGCAATACCACTGAACAAGTGAGTGAGCCACCAGAAACCCAAGATAGACGTAAAGAGCCCTGGGAATCAAATTGTGCAAGTTATCAGAGTCAAAAACTGCAGTCATGATCAGTGGCAGCCAAGGGTATCCCAAAAATAGATAAGGCCAGGGAAAACAAGCATAGCATACAGAAGCATAGAGTACTCATTATGTGGGGTGGTCCTGTCTGTCCAGCTAGGTCTTCAGCTGCCTGAACACACAGTCCCTACCCTTAGAATGGAGTTATCCACATTCAGTAAGTCTTAAACATAATTCTGATACTTAAGTACCTGTTTGGTTAAGCCAATTCAGTAATTAAAATAAATTAATCCTTAGACTTATGGATTCCAAGTAGTTACAAGCTTGACTGATTTTATTTCCAATTGTTTATGAGATGCCAGACATGTGCATGGACAAGGGCAATTAAGGAGGGCACCTATCAATCAGAATAGTCACCATGGACCTATCAAAATGTGCGCTGGCTGGTTCACTGCTCCAGTATATTCTGTCAGCTAAATACCACTCTAAGTATGGGACTCTAAAGAGATTCATCTCTTGCATGATGATTATATATTATGAGTTATCACAACTATTTATAACAGATGCATTATATGCCAGGAATTAATAATAATTCAATAATTCCCCTTTGCCATTAATAACAATTACCATAATTATTATAATAGCTATGAATTAGTAGATCTGTTATAAGTGAAATGGCAATGGATTAGTGGGCTTTAAGTGTCTTTTTTAAAGGACCAATAGGGAAAACATTTGGAACATAAAACCGAGGGTGAATATTTGAGAGAGTAGGGATCTGTGTGCCATATGGGAAAACATGTTACTGACTTTAAATATAGGAACTAGCTGTAATCATTTTCATATTCTGATAAAATTCAAAGAAGCAGGAAAGTTTGCTCTTTCGTTTAATAAGACATCTCGGTGGGCATTTTGCTTGTGAAAATGGGGGCTGTCTTGTGCTGGACTGAGTGGCTAAGACAGAGGGAAGACAAACAGCTCTGAGTAATAATGGAGTACTATTTGAGTTTTTGTTTGAACAACATGACAGGCAGGGGTGGAGGCTCTGAGTACCATAATGAAGAAGGCAGAGAAATTATCTATGAGAAGAAAGCTTTAACTCACCACCCCACTAGCAGGCTGGGGCCTCAAGTGAGGTATGATCAAAGAGAGATTCCTTTTAGTGATGACCAGATGATTTGGGGAAGAGTTTGAAGATATTTCTGATCTGTGCTATAATTCTTCTTAGTAGCCCTAAGATTTCAGTCTGAGACTCTTGGTGTTTCAATGGTGGTATTAAGGAGAAGCACAGAATGGGCAGTGTGTGATGTATGCAGTGGGGACATGACCTTCCCACACACTGTCCCCCAAATACACTCTGTCACTGGGAACAGTGTCAGGATAGTAGCATCTTATTGAGGGAGGACTGTAGCTCCCAAAAGTCAGGTTATCGGTGGACAAGAGCTGAGACTTAAGATGGACCTGAGACTGATAGTGGAGAAGCAGGCTAAATGTGGATCAATTCAAGAGCTGTATTTGTCAGTCTTCTCCAGAGAAGCAAAGCCAGTAGCATAGATAGATATAGATATAGATATATAGCTGTATAGATAGAGAAAGAAAGAGAGATTCATTATAGAAATTGACTCATGTGATTATGGAGTTTGAGAGGTTCCACCGTCTGCTGTCTTCAAGCTGGAGAACCAAAAAAGCCAGCAGGGTAAGTCCTGAGCTGTGTCTGAAGGCCTGAGAAGCAGGAGCACTGATGTCCAAGGGCAGGAGAAGATAGATGTCCCAGCTCAAACAAAGAGTGGGCAAATTTGCCCTTCCTTTGTCTTTCTGTTCTATTCAGGCCCTCAACAGACGGGATGATGCCCTCTCATGTCAGTGATCTTCTTTCCTCAGTCCATCAATTCAAATGCTAATCTTTTCTGAAAGCACCCTCATAGACACACCCAGAAATAATATTTACCAGTCATCCGGGCATCCCTTAGCCCAGTCAAGTTGACCCATAAAATGAACAATTACAGGAGTAGATATGAGAAGGTCCACTCTTCCTGAAATATGCTCGGAGATGGAGAATGGATTGGGAGTAAGTCAATGCTGCTGTGATGTGGACTGGGACCAGGCACTGAGAGGACACATGGGTATACACACGTATGAGAGAGAGACTGAGAGCCCAGAGTGCCTTTGTGGTATAAGGTGGCCAAACACAAACTAAAAGTGAAATCTGACAAATGGAGGATTTCAAGTGCTTATCAAAAGACATTCTTTCACTGAGAGGCTTTTACAGAATTCAATCATACCTAAAAATGGAAGCAAAGTAAGCACTGAAAAAAAAAAAAAAACTTCCTGCGTCCACATGATAAGATATCAGGGCTTTCCAGGAAGACTAGAAATCCTAGGCCTACAGAATACTAATGTGGACAGCAGCCATCAAAACAGCTGACAAAATCCTGGTAAGTAGCACACACCAGCTGAACACATATAAGAAAGATATGTAACAGCTTTGGACTTAAAAAAAAAATAGACATGAAATTAAATGAAATGTCACTGGAGCATAATGTCATAACTGCAACCAAAGCTGCCTCAACTTCTCTGTCACCTGCAAGACTACTTCCTGTAGGTCTGTTGTGTAACCAACCAAAAGTAAATAAATAAACTAGGAACTGGACCTGTATATACAAGAGAAGAGAGAGTCTTTGTGTTTGTGTGTGGGTGCGCATGCACAAAAATAAAATGTAGAAGCACGTAAATATATTTGCAAATCAGAATGTTGTTCCTGTTGGTTTTTATGTAAGTTTTTCTCCTTTATTCATTCACTCCATTAACATGTACTGAACACTCAGTAGGTGGCCGGCACTCTCCTGGGCAGCTTCTCATGTCACAATTATTTCTCAGAACTCTGCAAGGTGTACAAACCCTCTTTTTTTCAGACAGAAAAACCAAAGCTCAGTGAGATTAAGTGACTACCTACTGTTGCAGCTACTAAGCGGCTGAGGATTTAGAGCCAGGTCTCCTGATACAGGGGACGCCAACTTGCATGCAAAGGACTTTGGGCTGCAGCCTGCAGGGCAACAGTTCTCAACTTCTTTCAACTGATTCCAAATTCAAAACCCTTTCCACAGCACCAGAGCTGCCTAAGTACAAAAATTATATATTATGTTTAAGAGCTCATTTAAGAAACATTTGTGAAATGCCATCTATGTGGCAGGCATAAATTTTAACATCAAGTTCTTATTCTCAAGTTGCTCATAGAGAAAAACATCAGAAAAAAATAAAATAAAAATGAGCATGTTGTACTAGACTGAATAACAGAAGTGCTAGAGACAATACTGACCAAAGTCGACATGATGACTTCAGCTCAGGGGTCAAGAGGGAAAATTAATCATTGAGAACAGTTACAGAAAAGGTGACGATTAAGTTTAGTCTTGATCGAAAGATAGGAATTTCCAAAGAGAACCCCAAAAAATATTCTAGGGAAAGGAAAAGCCTTGGCAAAGGCAGATGTGTGAAAGCTCTGGGCTGAGAGAATTGCAAGGAGTATTGCTAGGGTGAGATGTGGTCTGAGGGGTGTGACGGGGAATGAGGCCGGTGGAGCAGCTGGGGCTTAGGTAAGTGAGGAATCTGAGAGAGGTGTATTGAGACACTCTGGATCACCTGGAGCTTGTTCTCGGATGGAGCTGAAGGCTGGAAGTAGGTGATTTCTCCCCACATAGGGGCTCACAAACCTCCTGGTAAAAAATGCTTAAACCCTGTCCCCTATTGGGGTTTGGACATGTGCAAACATGATTGATATGACCTCAAAAGACAACAGATGGAATAAAGAAGTTTATTAGTGTAAAGAAGTTTCCAGGGTCGGGCACGGTGGCTCACGCCTGTAATCCCAGCACTTTGGGAGGCCGAGGCGGGCGGATCACGCGGTTAGGAGATTGAGACCATCCTGGCTAACACGGTGAAACCCCGTCTCTACTAAAAATATAAAAAATTAGCCAGGCATGGTGGTGGGGGCCTGTGGTCTCAGCTACTCAGGAGGCCGAGGCAAGAGAATGGCATGAACCCGGGAGGCGGAGCTTGCAATGAGCCGAGATCGCGCCACTGCACTCTAGCCTGGGCGACAGAGCGAGACTCCGTCTCAAAAAAAAAAAAAAAAGAAGTTTCCATTAAGGAATGAGGAGGCTGGCTGAGTCAAACAGCGCAGCCTGAGGACCAGAGTAGAGTGGGAATCTGGACTTGGTGAGGCGGCCTCTTTCAAACCCTGTTCTAACCCAGGCCTCCAGATCAGCCTGAGCCGTGTTCATTAATTGAAAGGACTGGACCATATATTTATGAGAGTGCACAAACTATTCTGGAAGTTTGTTCAAGTAAATAAGATGGAGGAACTGGTGTTCAGGATTAGAGAGACTTGCTTTTCATTGTATCATTTCGTACTGCTGGGATTTTTTTGTTTTTAATCACATACCTGAAGTAGTTATTCTAAAAACTTAAAACAAATTTATACTTAAAAGAAAAAGTTGTATCACTTATATCACTTACTGAAAATATTTAGGACCCAAACAACACCAGTATTGAACAATTTCTGAATAAAACAGAAGAAACACCTTTCTCAGTGCACAAGGGCCTTTCTAGGTGTTGGTTTCCTGCACTAGGTTGATTAAAATCTCAGCAGTGGAGCAGATATTTCAGCTCCCCTGGTGAAGACAGTGTTAAGAACAGCGTTCAACTCAGAGCAGTGCTTCTGAAGCCCATCAGAGACAGTGAGAGAGAGAGAAAGACAGAGTGTGTCTTATAGTTATTTCCAACAGGAAGCACAAGAGTTTTCTGCTGTAAAACTTTTGCATTTAGCAAGTGTCTCCAGAAAGGATCACTTTCCTTTTTAATCTGAACAAGGAAAGGGGTATTCAACACGTGCTGGGGGTGTGAGGAGGAACAATAAATGCTGCATGATGGTAGGAGGTGGAGAACATCATCAGGGGACCTCCAGGTCTGCAGGCTGCTAGGCAACATCAAGGGGAAAACAGTTCCAGCTGAGAGCAGTATCGCCTGGAGCCTGGCAGATCTGCGGGACTATAGGTCCTGCCTTAGGAAGCAACAGTAGTAAATAATATTTGAGAGTGATTTGCATGCACTTAGAAGCCCTGCTGGAGGCTCTCAGAAATGAATAGGGGAAAGTCTGGTTTGGGGGTGAGAATTATAGAGCATACAATAAAGCCAACAGGGACTCAAATAGTCACACGAATATTAACAAAACTACACCAGCTTCAAGGAAAAAACAATGGCTTTGCTCCTTAGGACAGTTTTTCTGCTTTTTTCCTCATTAAGAAAATGGTAGATAATTCAAGACTGGTATCTTGAATGTACGCTATTTTTTCTTTTTTCTTTCTTTTTTTTGAGATGGAGTGTTGCTGTTGTTGCCCAGGCTGGAGTGCAATGGCGCAATCTCGGCTCAGCGCAACCTCCACTTCCTGGGTTCAAGTGATTCTCCTCCCTCAGCCTCCCAAGTAGCTGGGATTACAGGTGCCCACCACCACGCCCTGCTAATTTTTTGTATTTTTAGTAGAAATGGGGTTTCATCATGTTGGCCAGGCTGGTCTTGAACTCCTGACCTCAGATGATACACCTGCCTCAGCCTCCCAAAGTGCGAATGTACCTTTTTTTTTAAGTGCTATGAACCATTAATAAGTATTGGCACCTTTTTGTAATAATTAATTACCCATGGGATCTCAACAACTGATGGGAAGCACCAGGATACAAAACATCATAGTTAGAAATGACTTTTACCAGTTAGAAATGTGTTCAGCTTGAAACTGGTAATCAGAAATAAACTTGGGGATGTGATACAGTTTGGATATTTGTTTGAGTTTCATGTTGAAATGTGATCCCCAATGTTGGAGGTGGGACCTGGTGGGAGGTGTTGGGTCATGGAGACAGATCTTTTATGTATGACTTGATGACTTGGTGCCATCCCCATAGTAATGAGTGAGTTCTGGCTCTGGTAGTTCACGCAAGAGCTGATTGTTTAAGAGTGTGACACCTCCCTCCCTTCTCCTTACCTCTCTATCTGTCTACCTCTTTCTCACCCTGTCTCTTACCATGTGACATGCCTGCTTCCCTTCTGCCTTTAGCCAGGAGTAAAAGTTCCCTGAGGCCCTCACCAGAAGCAGATACCGGCACCACACTTCTTGAACAGTCTACAAAATCATGAGCCAAAATAAACCTTCTTTCTTTATAAATTACTCCACTTCCAGTATTCCTTAACAAGCAATGCAAAACAGACTAACACAGGGTGTCTATGGAAAATTCTCAAAATACTATCAGGGGATGTCTGGATTCTGCGAATTCTACCCCCTAAATATTTTATCTTCTATCCGTCCCTTCTCTTCTCAACCTCCAAGGCCAGCACCATTACTGCCAGCTCCATGTGACAAAAACAACCTCTCTAGAAGCTACACATATAAGATTTATAGTTCTTATATAATAATAAGGCCAGCACTGGCATTATGACTCACAGTAACCATGGGGATCCAGGCTCTTCCCATTCTGATTTTGTGCTCTATGACAGACTGGTTGCAAAATGCCCATAACCATGGCTCCCATCCTGGAACACAGGCCCATTAATCTGAGCTGGTCATGTGACTTGTTTTGACCAATAGAATATGGCAGAGTTTCTTTGTGTGATTTCTGAGCCATATCCCTAAACAAGTCTTGCAACATCTGCCCTCACTTTTCAGCCCTGAAACAATCATGTAAGGATGCCCTAGTCTCCTAGAGAAGGAGAAACCAGATGGAAAAAGAGGCACATACATATGATTGAAGCCATCCAGGACCAGCCACATAGATGACCCTAGGGCAAGAGGTGCAGAAGAACCACTCAGCTTAGCCCAATTCAGAAGGCAGAATTGTGAGGAAATAAATGGTAGTTGCTTCAGAATACTAAGTTTTTGATGATTTGTTGCACTGCAATAAACAAATGAAACACCATCCTTTGTGTTTTTCTTCTATTCTCACGACCAGCAAGATGGCTGCCACATCAAAATCATGTCCCAGGGAAAAGAAAGAAGGATAAAGGACAAAAGGTTAATGCCAGTCAAGTCTATCCTCTTTAAAGCACTTTCTATCAGCGCCACCCAGTAATTTCTGCATATAACTTGTTGTTGAGTATTGGGCCACATGCTATAAAGGAGTCTGAGGAAGTGAATGGGGCACACTACCACCTGAAAAAAGTTGGGAGGTGGATATTCAGTAGGTATCTAGCAATGAGTACCAGATCAGATCACTGCTATTGGCAAAAAGAGAACTCCCTGAAGGGCTTGTGCATGGAAATAATGCGATCAGAGCTGCATTTCAGAAGGGTATGTCTAGAAGATGAATGAAGGAGAGATCAGAGGGGGCCAGATCAGAGACAGAGAGATCAGTTAGGAGGTTGACATATCAGTCTCGGCAAAAGATGAAGATCTAACTAAGGCTGTGACAATGGGAATGGAGAGAAGAGGATGTTTGAGGGGGAGCTTCAAACTTGTTTGATGTGAGGAGTAAGGAAGTTTCTATCTGGCTGGGGTGAGTCAGTGAATGGCAGAGCTAAAATTATCAAGATTAATAATACAAAAGGAGAACCCTGTCTGGAAGAAAGACAAGGAGTTCAGTGTATTACAAACACAGAGTTGATTCTTGTTATTTACAGTAACTATATTCTGTAGTCACTGTGAACGCTGCATTGTGAATACTGAACCATTGCTCCTGAAGCAAATACAGGGATAGGTTCTGAGAAGCCTCTAGTCAAAATATTTTCCATCAACTCATCAATACATAACATTGTGTTATGTGTGTTTTTGTTTAAAGGCATCTTGTTTAATATAGACTGTTGATTCATTAACATTGAATTCACAGCCAGCCTCACTATAACTCATGCCTGAATGAAGCTTATCTAACATATGTATTTTCTCCATAAGGCACATCACAGCCTCCTAGTGCTTAGAAACACTAGACAGCACTTCAGCACTATGATTGGGGGCCATTTTAAATAGTGAAATAACCAAAGAAAAGCATAAAAATGCAAAAAAGAAAAAAGTGGCACTCGATGGACCACAAAAAGAGCATTTACTTACAGTGTGAGAGCTGAAACACGAAGTCAGAGCATTACTTTGTTCAGCCTTAGCTGGGAATGTGCTATCAGGTGACTCAAGCTTTTCATCACTCTATGCATGGCCACAAATGACCACAAAAGCATCTTACATATTGATTTGGGGATTACAAATAAATTTTACCTAGTAGGTACATTCCCAATTGCAAAATTTGCAAATAATGAGGACTGAGCATTTAACTTAAGCTGCCCACGGGATCTCCAAAAAGCAATCGAATATACCAGTCTGGAGGCAGGAGAGAGATGTAAATTAGATGGGTAACACCTCTGCCCAAAGCCCAGCAATGCTTCCCTGTCACTATGAGCAACAGCCAAAGTCCTTGTCACAGCTCATAGGACCCTAAGATAATCTACTCACCCCACATTTCCATTTGATCTCATTTCCTACTTTTCTTCCTTGGCTTCCTTGTCGTGTCCTTGAACACGTCAAGAATACAACTCAAGGAATTTGCACTGTAGTTCCCTCCAAGTGGATGTTCTCCCCACAGAGAACTGCACAGTTTACCCCCTTGGCTCCTTCAGAGTACTCAAATGCTGTCATCTCAATGAAATCTACCCAGACTGCCCTATCTATACTTGCAAACATCCCCCCTGCCCGAGATGTACGCAGTCCTTCCAATACTGCCCATCCTGCTTTGCATTTCCTTTTTTCTTATAATGTACTACATAATTTTCTTATTTTGATTATTATGTATTGTCTTCCCCCATTCCCACCCAGCTACCAGACTGCAAGCTCTATGAAAGCAGTGATCTTAGTATGATCTGTTCAGTCTTATATCTCCAGAACCTAGAATAGTGGTGGGCATATTCCAGGTTCTCAGAAATACTTGTTAAATGAATGAATAAATGAATGGAGGAATTATGAATTGGGCATATAGAACACACTTAATCTACACATAAATACAGGCAAGAGCACTCACAGCGAGTAAACTGAGACGGTGGTCGAGGACAGAACCCCTGGCAATGCCATGCGAAAAAATGAAACAGGAACAATGAGCCAAGAAAGGAAGCAGCATGGAGAAAGGGACCGAGAGTGAGATTCAAAGCCAAGGGAATGGGGGTTTTCAAGGAGGGAGACTTGAACAGTGTAAAATATCACAAACAGGCCAAGCGCAGTGGCTCACGCCTGTAATCCCAGCACGTTGGGAGGCCGAGGCAGGTGAATCACCTGAGGTCAAGAGCTCAAGACCTGCCTGGCCAACAAGGCGAAACCCCATCTCTACTAAAAATACAAAATGAGCCAGGTATGGTGGCGCATACCTGTAGTCCCAGCTACTTGAGAGGCTGAGGCAGGAGAATCGCTTGAACCCAGGAGGCAGAGGTTGCAGTGAGTCAAGATCGCACCACTGCACTCCACTCTGAGCAACAAGACCGAAACTCCACCTCAAAAAAAAAAAAAAAGAAAAAGAAAAAGAAAAAAGCACGAACAAGTCATTGATTTGAGAAAGGAAATCTGTTATCCATTTATGTAAAAAAAAATTGCTGCACATCTTCTATGTACCAGGCATTGTGGGCACGGGAACAAGCCATGGAAAGAGCAGGACTCTAATGACAACGTCAATGCTCCACCCAGGACCCCGGGGTTCACTTTCTGCCATTTTTGCACACCACCCACCTTCAGTATGCCTCAGCAGTAAGGTCACCCCTCCAGCTATTCAGAGGCTTGTCCACACACACTCACACAAAGAAGAGCTGGAATCCTAGGAATTTACTTCCCCCAGGGCAGCCATTGACCAGTAACCATAGGTACTGGGATACTGCAGTCCATCTCCCTGGCCTTCCATGGGCAATTCCAAGGTGTAACTTATACTCCAAAGCTCCCCTGCAGGGTCAGGCTGTAGCTACCACCCTCAGGATGTTGCCTGAGGACACCCTCTTGCTGGGTTTCCTCCCTTCCACTGTCCTGCACCTCCACTCCTTACCAGGCTCCATGGGAGCCCTTCCTTAATATATCACTTATGCATGAACCCTAATGTTAGTCCCTGCCTCTGAGGCCTTCAGGTGTCCAGTCTCTAGAAAGGGAGATGGTCAAGAGAAGAGAAAAAGACAGTGGGAAAGAATGTGGAAAACATATCATGCTGGAAGGGAACATGGGAAGGACCCAAGATCAAGACTCCCAGGACTCGAGAGGGCTTCCAGGAGACAAGGGAGGCTGTGCTGATGCTGGAAAGATGAATAGGAATCAGTCCAGCAAAGGCAGAGGGCATTTGTGACAGAGAAGGCAATCAGTGTAAAGATCCTGAGAAGAGCAACAGCAGAGCTCCTTAGGGAAATTGCAAACAGATCAGTATGGCTGGAGGGCAGAACACCAGAAGGGCTGGGCAGGCCATAAGACCACAGGTGGGCACTGGCCACTTCAAATGGCTTAGTAAGCCAGGATGGGGGATTTGGAGCATCCTGACAAGCCTTGAAGTGCCTTTGAGCATCCCTTTGGCAGCAGTAAAAAAAATGGATTAGCGAGGGGCAAGATAGGAGACAAGAGGACCCATTAGAAAGCTGTTGAAGTAATTCAGCCATGAGACGACAGTGGCCTGAAATAAAGTAGCAGAAGTGGGGCCAGAGGGAGGAAAAGGATTAAAACTGAGAGATCAATTGTGATATCAGGAGGGCAAGGCCAGTGAACTGGGCAAGGCAGAAGGCAGACAGAGTAGGTGGGCAAGTTATGTGCAGTAAAGAGGTGGAGATGATGAACAGAGATTATTTTTGAACAGCTTAACCATAAGAAGAAGGAAACAATTCAGTGTCAAAAAAGGGTTTTGCAGGGGCTGAAGGGGGCAGCCTTTAAGATGAAAGAGAACTGGAACTCATTTATAAAGTTACAAGGAAAGTGAGATCTACCCATCAAAGTTTCTGCCCATTTCTCTCTCTGCCTTTCTCGCTTTTATTTTCCTTTTTACTTAGATGAAGACTTGTTGTCATGTTATCCTTAAGATGAGCACAAGAAATTCCAGCAGCAAGAAGATACCAGGACATAAAAACTATATACTTCAAAAGTTCAGACTTAATTCCTGTTCATATATTGCATTGGATAAAATTTGTTTTTTTTTCCAGTCCAGCCCTGGTAAAAAGGCCACAATAGCACAAGCAGTCCTGTTATGGCTGCAGAACAGAAGGTGGGAGGAAAAGTTCAATTAGAACCATGCCTTCCTCAGCCCGATAATGGGTTTAACATTTGCAGAGGGTTCCCAGGCAACAACCCCTGCCATTCCACACCCTACAAATTGGGAATGGCTTTTTGTTGCAGGCTGAGAAAGCACCACACAAAAGGTCCCAGGCAGCACAGCTTTTTCATGTTTGAAGGGTCGTCAGCCCAGCCCCATCTGCCTCCCAAAGCATATTCCCCTCTTCTCTTTACCTTCCCACAGATGACACTTCGGACAGCTCTTTTCAGGTAAGTCCAAGAGAAAAAGTAAATGCTAGGCCTGGTGAAGTAATTTCTCACTCAGGTTTTGCAAAATGCAGAGAGGCTACAGGTTTCCCCAAATATACTACAAAAATCTTTGAGTCTCAAAAGGGGAGACTGTCGACGGTGTGAAGGGAAGTGTTTTCAAAGATAATTCACCTGGACATTTGCCTAGGAGTTTTGCAATTTACAAAATATTTCACACACATAATTTTATTGGATCCTCACAATAATACTGTATTTTTCTTATTCTATAGATGAGAAAACAGACTCAGGTCTTCTCCTTGGACATGTGGTCCATTGCTCTTTCCACCATTCCACACTGCTTCTAAAAAAAACAAAAAACCAGGATGGCATCTGTTGGGCGGGGCTACGGGGCTTGTGATGCCGCCCGCTGAACTTTGTGACACAGCCGCTTGCGGAGACAGGAAGCGGTCGCAGCACGTCAGGCCCGCCCTCTTCCGCGGCCGCGGTGGGAATGGAAACATCTGCCCCACGTGCAGGAAGCCGGGTGGTGGCCACGACAGCGCGCCACTCCGCAGCGTAACCTCGCAGATCCCCTGCGTGTGTCCTCGCAAGACTAGCTCACCGAAATGGCCGCGTCCAGTCAAGGAAACTTTGAGGGAGATATTGAGTCAGTGGACCTTGCAGAATTTGCTAAGCAGCAGCCGTGGTGGCGTAAGCTGTTTGGGCCAGAATCTGGACTCTCAGCCGAAAAGTATAGCGTGGCAACCCACCTGTTCATTGGAGGTGTCACTGGATGGTGCACGGGTTTTATATTCCAGAAGGTTGGAAAGTTGGCTGCAACAGCTGTGGGAGGTGGATTTTTTCTCCTTCAGCTTGCAAACCATTCTGGGTACATCAAAGTTGATTGGCAACGAGTGGAGAAGGACATGAAGAAAGCCAAAGAGCAGCTGAAGATCCCTAAGAGCACTCAGATACCTAACCAGGTCAGGAGCAAAGCTGAGGAGGTGGTGTCATTTGTGAAGAAAAATGTTCTAGTGACTGGGGGATTTTTCGGAGGCTTTCTGCTTGGCATGGCATCCTAAAGAAGATACCTCATTTTCATTGTTCCTGGTTTTTTCCAGTCAGCAGCCTCTACACTCCATCACAGGACATTGAGTCCCTCCTCCTCTTCTCCCATGCCTTCCTCCCTGCTGTGGCAAATCCGAGTGGCTTCTATAAGCATCCGTTGGTACAAGTTAATGTGGCACCATGAGCCTGACTGGCTTCTATAAGCATCTGTTGGCACAAGTTAACGTGGCACCATGAGCTTGATGGCAGCAGAAGAGACAATAGTCCTTAGCTCTTCTTCCAGTACGCCCCCTACTTAGTCAGTCTGTAGGTCATCAAGAAGGTCCCTCTACCCCTATGCAAGACACTTACAAGAACACATTGCAAGATAGCTGACCGTGGAGGATGAGTGGATCCTGAAATGTTGTCCCGAACTGTTGATTTGGAAAAGAAATAAGCACATAGATAACCTTATTGTGTGCTGCATGGAAAGGAACTGAATACAATTGCCTTTAAGCATTAAAAAAAAAGGATGAAAAATTGGGGTGTCACATTTGCAAAATGGATGGACAAATGTGGTCAGGGCAGATCAAGGTAAGGGATGATCTGAGGCAAAACTGTGAAGGATAAACTTTGGTGACCCTTACATATTTTTTACCCTTACCCCAGGTGCCCCCTGTTTCCCAACCCCTAATGCCCAGGGCCCTCATTCTCTACACTTTTGCTAAACAAGGCAACTCTTCTCTGTTGCCCACATGAGCAGAACCTCATACTTTGGCTTCCGTGACTCCTTCTATCCCTTCAAAACATACCTATCCCTACCTGTGTTCTTCTCCCTCAATTTCTCTCTGGGCAACTGATCTACTTTAACCTGATCATTTGACTTCCTAGGAAGTACCTTCCACTCTGAGAGTCAGAATGCTCTGCATGTGTGCTAAGGCATTAAATGAAGATTGAAAGTCACTCCTGTGTTACCCCTCTCTGGCAGCACTGCTACTTTGACAAGGGTTCTGTTGACTCAACCTGAATTCCACAGTGTTGTGAGAGTTTCAGGCACTGCTGCAGCTAATAGGTACAGCTATTACTGGGTAGGGACTCCCTCAATTGGCGCACCACAGTCTATCCATCAAAAATTTCTCAACCATGGCCCTGGGATTGATTGCCCAAAACCCATTAGAGGACTGCAGGGATCTGCCAGAAGGTGGGACATGAGATATGAATACATTCCTTAAGGCTCTGTAGCCCTGAAAACTCAGCCCCAGAAGATGATCTGTGCAGGAGGTTTTGAGCCTATCCAGGGTACCAGAGACACCAGGACTACCTCCTCCAGCCAAGACTGACCACAGTCCAGAGAACAAAACCCAGATATCAGAATCTATCTCTGACACTGGACTCTTCTTTCTTGCATTGTGGGAAATGTAAGAACTACTCTTGGAAAGAAACAGTAGAGACCAAGAGACACTGCGATGGAAGCTGACTGGTTTCAGGGTTCAAAGGTCTGTGTTCCACCCCAACTTGGCCAGTTATCAGCAGGAGGGGCCATGAACAATCCAGAAAAACCCTCTGGGCCTCTGGTTCCCCATCTGAAAAATTAAGGATAGTGAAACTTGCCTTGCCTACTCACAAGTCTGTCCTGAACTCATGAAACTCTAGCAGCTTTTCTATCTCCTCAGCTTTTCTATCACTTAGGTGAAAAACCTGTGGCCTAAGAAATTAAATGACCCACTTACCTGTTGTCTTAGTTTGTGTGTCCCCAGACCTTGAAACAAGCAATCAAATACAAGTAGTGTATTTAAGACAGGCAAGAAAAACTGTCAGAGGAGTGGAAAAGTGAACCAAGGAAGAGAAGGTAGCCAGTAAAATGATTTATCAGTCTTGCTGCCTTGGGGACAACTGAAAGTTAATTCCCTGAGGAAATTCTGGAAATGGAGTACAATGCAGGCCTTGAAGTTATCCTGCCCATGGAATAAGGGAGCTTGGGTGTTTGCATGCCAGTCTTGCAGAGTCCTTGGTTGAGGCTGCTGGGGCAGGATGTGAGCAGAGTGGACTTCATGGCCCTTTAAAAAAAAAAAAAAAAAAGAAAGAAAAAGCCTGCAGACAAAAGGAAGCAGAGTCTGGCTAGTGGAGGTTGGTCAGAATGCATGGAAATGGCAAGGCCCATTGGGTATGTGTGTGTCATTGCGATGGCTTCAACAGCTAACAGTCAACAAGGCTAAGATCTCAACTTCGGTTCCCTGACATCCCATTAGGGTCTTTCCCACTATCACAACTCCCTCTGACATTATGGCTCAGTTCTCCTGACTCTCCTCCTCATGAGGTTTCTGCCAATGCCCAGACTGCTTCCTGCCAATGTTGTTCTTCCCATACATGGTAACACCATTGGGTCAGAGCTGGGAGAGGGCATCCCTTGGCCAAACTGTCCTCTCCAGGCTCTGGCACTCAGCTCAGAATGCTCAGCATTGCAAGCCTAGAACAAGTTCCTTAACATGAGAATTCACAGATTTGGGTGTCTGTTTCCAGACCTACGATATCTGTCAACAGAATACTAATCCAAGAAGATATTTTGACAGGAGAGAGAATAGTGACCCCAGAAAAAAAGGCAAGTAAGAAGAGAGGGAAGTCCTTGAGTCCAAGTGACAAGACCATCAGGGCAAGACAGGGTACAAGGGGATTCAGTACCTGGTTCGGATACTAAATCTGCAAACAGTGAGCATCCCTGTTGTTTACAGAAGCACATGTCCCGGATGCAGGTCAAAAGCCTAGAGCAAGCTAGATCTGAGCTGTGCATACATTGGCAGACACGTGTGAGTGGCCCAGTGCCCCAGGGACAAGGTTCTTTTCTTAGCTGGGGAAAAACAGGCACCGGACTATCTCCACCGAGGCCTCACCAAAGCAATCAGTGGAGTGCTAAATACCTATCTGACAAGTCCAAAGTCTAGGTGAAGAAACATGGAAATGGTCTTTTCTCTTTGTGTTTTGGTGGTAGAGAGGGGCTGAAAGGACAAACAGTAAAATAAATATTTTAAAAGTCGCAAAACATTAAGGAAAATTCTGACCCATTAGATACAAATTCATAATTAAAATAGCCTAGCCTCACTGCTTCTGCATGTCATCAATTGTAAGATGCACATTTTTTTTCACATTTTAATGTCCCTGAAATTGGAGTTGTCTTTGCAGTAATGGTGGCCCTCAGTCCCTCCTAGCCAGAGAATAGTTACAGCAAAATTGTCATTGCCCACATGTCCCAACATGCACAGAGATACTCCCATTTTCTTTACTCATGTACTGAGTTTAGTTATGCAAGATGTCTTCAAACCAGAAAAATGTCAGTAATTGTTGAAGTTAGATAATGGATTCACAGAGTTTATTATTTTATACTTTCCACTCTTTTATATGTTTAAACATTACTAAAATAAAAAGGAAAAAAGGTCTCCAAAATATGCAATGATTCAGCATTAAAACAAAATGCTTATTGTGTTTTCAGAAAGGGAGAAAAATAGAGCAGTGAGGTATCAATGTGATATTAGTAAAACAAATGCTTGACATTGAAGGAATAACTGAAATTTTACATTTTCTTAGAAAATAACAAGCAAGCCCTTTTCAGGACCTAAGAAAGAAAGCTGTCTACAAGTGGATGTAGCATGTAATATTTTGTTACTGAGATAGAAGGCAGGAGGAATTGCGTAGGCTTTTGGAATTTGTGTAGTAAAAATACGAAAAATTAGCCGGGCGTGGTGGCAGGCACCTGTAGTCCCAGGTACTCGGGAGGCTGACACACGAGAATGGCATGAACCCGGGAGGCGGAGCTTGCAGTGAGCGAGATCGCGCCACTGCACTCCAGCATGGGTGACAGAGCGAGACTCTGTCTCAAAAAAAAAAAGAAATTTTGAAACAATGTAACCAAGTTATGAGTTATGGTAGACTACCATTATGCTGTTGTCATAGTTTAATACATAGAATAATGGTACACCTTCCCTTCTATAGTGTCTTAGAATCAATAAAGCAGCATTTTCAATGTTAAGTATTCCCCATGTTGACTAACCAAGGCAAAATTTTAAAATATGCATATTTACAGAAAGAGATGAAAAAGTTTTTGTTCACCAAAGTTCCTCTTAGGAAGAATCCTGCATTTGTCTAGAAGATATGCTTTAATAAGAGACAGTACAGTCTCGGGGCTGAGATCATGGGCTCTGAAACACGGCTGCGTATGTTTGAATCCCAACTCTGCTGCTTGTTAACTGTGTGACATTAGACAAGTTACTTAACTCTTCTATACCTCAGCAGATAATGAAAGTGGATCTTTCATTGATTGTGTAAAGATTAAATGAAATAATACTTGCAAAGAATTAAAACTAGTACCTGGAACAAAGGAAGTGTTCAATAAGCTGTTATGCCATGTTCAATAAACTGTTATGCCATGAAGGAAAGGGAAAGAACAATCTGTTTCCTCCTGAAGAAGAGACGGTCAGGAGATGGGTGGAGAATTCAGAGAGAGGGATCCCAAGAGACAGCAAAAACCTTTCCTAAACCATGATGTGTATTTATTAGGGAAAATTTGACATTTAAGGTGAATACTAAGTATAACAGGAAAAGCACACGTCACAAAAGTAGAAGGCAGAAGAGGCCCTGAAAAAGCAAGTCCTGGGAATTCACAGAATCAAGTGAGAAGCTATGGATCCTCGTATGCCTTGCATTTTGGAGCTAAACTAGGTTGCGCTAAGTTAAATGTGTATACCTTCCTCCTTCTCAAAGATGATAAATTGATCCCATCTTGGGTGCCAACTGTGATCAATTAGAGTGTTATACTGTGAAGGATTAGCAATATCTGCCCTAAGCATGGGGGGATTCAGTCACAATACATGAATAACATTTCAGCCACATTGGTTTTAGGGCAGACCTGCGTCCCCTTGACATTAGAAATACAGTCAAAATGAAGAAAGCCCCACAAAAACCTCTCTGTTCCATGTGGCTGGTCCAGGACCTAAGTATGTGGGACAGCCCTCTTCAGACTGCACCCTAAGGTCACACAACTGGATAGAGTTTGGGTGACTGATTCAAAGTGCATCGAACAAGTATCACCACATAGGGATTCTCCAACCCAAATCAAGCACCCAGCCGGTGTCCAGGGGATTCTCAACCAATAAAAGATACCGGTATTGCACCCATAGGCAGGGAATTGGTGGCAACCAAATGAATTGAAAGTTGTTAAAGCTATATGCTGGCTTGAATTATGTTCATTGAAATGTGTAGAGAGAAAGGGGAGTGTAGTTCAGAATTAACATTGACTTAACAATCATTCTGTTTAACTCTCTCATTATACAGAGAAAGAAATTGAGTTCCAAAGTTTATAAAATGTCAGAGGCAGGTCTAGAACCCTGAGCTCCTGAGACCTATCTAGCCAGGGCCTTTCTTCTTGTAAGGTTGAAAACATAGGACATGCTGAGGGTTAACTATGAAAAACCAGCCCTTCACACCATCCTTGCTGTCCTCTCCTGCAACTCCAGGGAAAATTGGACCAATTGGGAAACTATCTGCTCCAAGAACATTGACTCCTCTAAAAGTTCAGTCACTCTCTGCCATGTTAGAACCATCCATGTGTGTTTCTTCTGAATTCCAAGCCAGAGGAAATATCTCAAATTGTGCCTGTTAGAACCCTGTCTCAGAGTTTATCAATAGACTGCAGAAGAGCTTCTAGGTTATATGGTCTCACAATGATCAAGCCATTCTTTCTGCTGCAAATGAAAGCTTGTCCCCAAGTCTATCCCCAGTGGCCCACTGTGGCACTCTTTTTGCTTTCTCCAGAAGACTCCTTTTAAATATGCATGCCACTTTTGAGAGCATCTTCATAACCCATTTGGTTTGTGCAATTCAGAGAGAACAGACCAGGCCCACGACCTTGGATGAAAGGTCCAGGGAAATTCTTTTTTATTTATTTATTTTTTTAGAGATAGTTTCGTTCTGTCACCCAGGCTGTAGTGCAGTGGCATGATCACAGCTCACTGTAACCTTGAATTCCAGGCTCAAGAGATCCTTCCACCTCATGCTCTGAAAATGCTGGGATTACAGGTGTGAGTCACCATGCCCAGCCCCAGGGAAATCGTTGAACCTCACCCACTTTATGGTTGGTGAGGATCAGAGGCTGCTCCTTGCCCCTCCCCAGTAGTAAGGAATGTGGTGTTAGGAGGGGGTGGGGTCTGGTATTGGCAATGGCAGAAGCAATGCCTTTCTTATGTTAATCATTCACGTTCATTAATGTTTGTAAAATCCATGCATGTCATTGTGTGTAGCTATAGTGCATTCCTTTTCACTGCTGGATAGTATTTTGTTGTATGCGTGTTATGTTGCATCCAGTTTGGGGCAATTATAAACAAAGCTGCTATGAACATTGTTTGTTTTTTCCATGTGTCCACTTGTACATATATTTTTCCAGGCATAGACTCAGCAAAGAATGCCCTGGGTGTTCTTCATAAAGTGTGAAAATCTTCAACTGAGTTTTCTGCAGCGTTTGCACCATCTTATGTTCCTACCAGTGTGACTGAGCATTTCTATTCTTCTGCATCCTCACCAACACAGCGTATTTCAGAGTGTTTAATTTTAGCCATATTCCTTGGCGGTTTTATTTTGCATTTCCTCGGTGGTTTTATTTTGCATTTCCTCAATGACTAATGAAGTTAAACACATCCTCACATATTTCTTGGCCATTTATATTTTCATTTTGTGATGAATGTATTAGATTCCTTTGCCAGTATTTCTTTTGTATTGTTTGCCTTTTTCTTACTTGGTGAAGGAGTTGTACATGTGTGCTGGGCACTGGTCTTTTGTAGTGATAACTGTTGGAAATACCATTCCCACACTCGTGGTTGGTCTTTTCACTTTCTTGTTGGTGTGTTTTGTTGAACAGAAGTTCTTAGTTTTCATAGAGTTGAACTTATCTGTCTCTTCTTTAGAGTTAGTGCTTTCATGGTCTTATTTAAGAAATATTTCCCTGCTCCAAGCACATAAAGATATAGTTTCATACTCACTTCCAGAAGAATTTAGTTCTGCTTTTCACAATTAGATCTTTTATCCTTCTGGCATTAAATTTTAAAATGTCTCAAACTTCTTTGTCAAATTATAATGGGAACCATAGCACCATGTTCTTGAGCACTGGCTTGGAGGCCGCCTGCGTTTCGGTCATGGCTCAGATGTTCACTAGCTGTGTGACTCTGAGAGTCTGCTTTACTTCTCTGTGCCTCTCTCCCAGCTGTAATAGTACCCACCAGAGCACTTTTCTGAGAGTTAAATGAATTAATATGTAAAAGCGCTAGAAGAAAGAATGTCTGGCACACACTTAATGCTTTATAGGACTTAGCTACGTCTTTTTTCTGCCCTTAATGTTTCTCCTCGGCTTACTCAGACCCAATGATCGTGCTTGCCATGCCCTAACAACAGCCAAGAAACATGACCCCATGGAAGCTGTGTGCTGTCGTGATCAATATTCTGCCTGAAGAGTTTCTTTTCACCATATAATTTTCTTGCATGTGTCAGTATTTATATGCTTCACTTGCCATCTGCAGGCACCTCAGCCTTCTAAGAAAACGTGCCTAGTTCTGTCGACTTTAAGATCAGAGAGATGTGGAATTCAGTTCTCCCCAGATATTTCTTATGCTCCCCGGGAAGTAAAATAGCTCTGAAAGTGGTGGAAAAGAGAAACATTTCTCAACTTTCATTCAACTGGGATGTACATTTCTGGGGACACTGCATGATCTGTCTGTCTTTTTCCTGTTACTGGGTGACACCTTTAAGGCACCAAAAGTAGCTTCAAGCCAGAAAAGGAAAGAAACCAACATTTGTTGAGAGATTTCTAAGTTATAGTAAGTGCTTTACATATGTTATTTAAGCTACCCAATAAGTGAGAGAGGGAGGTAACTAATATGCAGAAGAGTCAGAAATTCTGTATTCAGAACAAAGTCCTTCTACTTTCCAGATGAAAGCTCTTTACAGCAGGCAGCCTCCCAAGAGGCACCATCTAGTAGACTTAGAATCATTCTGGCCTTCTTGAATGCCCCACGTATTTTAGACTTTTTTCTATTTTGTCATCTCATCTGCATCCTGCTCCCTCCTTGCGCTAGCCCTTGGTTGTGCTTTCAGCACAAAAACCTGTTCTCCCAGTGAATGCCGGCACCTGCAGCTGACCACCCACCATGAATCTTAGACTGGACCCCCTCTGCAAAATCTCATGCTAGCAGCTGCCCCTGTGGACTCTCTCTTAGGAATGGCAGCATATGAAGTTTCTCTTCTCTTACAGACATGTTTATACAGGTCAGTTTCTATGTCATTGTGCCTGTATATACATGTAAGCAAGGATGGGCATGTAACAGTAATGACTTGATTAATGAGAATGATCATTATATATAGTTATGCAATGAAACATGTATGATTCAAGTGAACACATAACATAAAATTTCATGTAACCTAACTGGTATTAACTTATATGAATCCTTCTAGTAAGTTGAAGTCCATTTTTAGAGTAATACAAGTAACAGGACATGAGCTATTATTTTTAAGAATTTACTCAAATGAGCAACTTCTAGGTTGAGTCTCTAAAGAACCTACTGGGGTTAAGCTCTCCGACACAGCAGCCCTGATTCAGTATTCTCTGCAGATCTCAGGGTGCATAACACAGGTCTGGCATCCACAATGAGATCTTCAATGAATGCTTGTTGTGTATAAATAGATGAAAGAATGGATTGGATCCATTGACACGCAGCCCAATCATCTTTCCACAGCCAGCTCCAGCCCTGTACCAATAATCACTAGGAATAAGAATTAGTACCCTGAGGCTGTCTAGAAGCCAGTCATCAGGTTCAGTCTTGCAAGCTAACTTAGACTTAATTAGGCAGAAACATTGACTCAAGCATCTCAAATTATTTAAACAGCAAGAGTTCAGATTGGCATCTTTCTTCACAACCCGTAATACAGGGCTTCGCAGGCAGCAAACGTTCAATAAATACTAACTGATTACACTTCAGAAATCTAGATAATTCTATTAACCAAATTCCTCCTTTGCTGTATGTGTATCCATTAATCAAGGTAAACATCCAAAGACACACATCTGTGTGTCCATCTTACCGCCTCCACCAAATTCCTCCTTTGCTGTATGTGTATCCATTAATCAAGGTAAACATCCAAAGACACACATCTGTGTGTCCGTCTTACCGCCTCCACCAAATTCCTCCTTTGCTGTATGTGTATCCATTAATCAAGGTAAACATCCAAAGACACACATCTGTGTGTCCATCCCACCGCCTCCACCAAATTCCTCCTTTGCTGTATGTGTATCCATTAATCAAGGTAAACATCCAAAGACACACATCTGTGTGTCCATCCCACCGCCTCCACTGACCTCTGCCTTCACTGTCTGCATGTGTGGGCTGGCTGCTAAGGGACCAGATTTAATTATCAGATTTTAAGCACATTCCTTCTCTCCAAATTATGTGAGTTTGTTTTTCTATTTGAGAGTTTGGCAAAAGCTATATTCCCACCCTGTCACTTACTCAAGAGGAAATGTGTTACTCTTAGCAAGAGGACATCTCCCACAGTAGGAATCCAACAGCGTCTGCAGAGGTGGTCCCAGCTTGCGGCAGCCTCTACGGATTGCCAAACTCCCACCTCAGGCTGCCCCTACTTGCCTTTTGCAGTGAGCCTCCAGAAAATGTTCAGACGGCCCCAGCAAACAGCCAGAAAAGGCATGGTACTTGGATAGGAAGGTGACATAGGGACCTCAACTCCCTAAATTGCTTTATGGTTTTTGCAGACCTGGAAGGGTATTTCTCAGAATGATTCCTGGCTACTTAATTGTTGGTCAGTCCAAGCACGTTGCTATCACTTCTTCAACTACCAGTAGGCAAGGAGTCGATGGTAAAATAAGCTAGTGCTTAGACTTTAAGCAATGATTAGACAGAATTATATCCCCCCCAAATTTTATGTGTTGAAACTCTAACCCCCAGTACCTCAGACTGTACAGACTATATTTGGAGGCAGCATCTTTTAAAAGGTAATTAAGGTAAGTTGAGTTCATATAGGTGGGACCTAATACAGTATGACTGGTGTCCTTATAAGAAGAAGAGATTAGGATACCAAATGACACAGAGAAAGGACCGTGTGAAGACACTGGAAGAAGACAGACATCTACAAGCCAAGGAGAGAGGTCTTAGAAGAAGCCAACTTGACTGACATCTGGATCTCAGACTTGCAACCTCCAGAACTATGAAAAAATTAATTTCTGTTATTTAAGCCTGTGGCAGTTTGTTATGGCAGCCCAAGCACACTAATCCAGGCAGCAAAGAGCCTGAGATAAACTGTGACCATTTGCCACAATGGTCAACATCTTAAATGGTCACTGGAGGCAAATTGTCACAACTATTGAAGAATAGAGGACATTCAGGGGACAATGCACCCCTGTTCTTTATGTTAACTCATTACCAATATCTCTGTATCCATTCTCTACCCCTACATAACAAACCACCTAAAACTTCGCAGCGTAACACAATCACCATTTATTTGCTCACAACTCTGGGCCAACAATTTGGGCTGGAGCATCTGGGCAGCACTTCTGCTGCTGTCTCTAGAGGCCATTCACATGGATGCAGCCACCTGGCGCTTGTCTCAGGGAGAGATGCTAGAAGATGGCCTGGTTCACATGCCTGGAAATTGGTGCCGGCTGCTCGCTGCAGTGCCTTCATTCTCATGCTCCAGCATGCTGGGCAGAATTGCTTTCCATGGTGGTCTCGGGTCAGCAATCCAAAAGGGCAATTGCAGAAACCCTAAGACTTTTTGAGGCTGAGATTCAGAAGTCTCACAATATCACTTCAACACATTCATTTGGGTAAAGTAAGTCACATGGTATCTTAGTGCACTTATCATTATTATAACAGAATACTACAGACTGGGTAATTTATAAAGAAAAGAAACGTATTTCTTATAATTTTGGAGGCTGAGAAGTTCAAGGGCCCTGCATCTGGCAAGGGCCTTCTTGCTGCATCATCCTATGGCAGAAGCCAGAAGGACAAGAGAGCACCGAGGAGAGAGAGTAAGAAAAAGGCAGTCAAATTTGCTTTTATAACAAAGCCATTCCCAAGATAGCAAAGCCACTCTCAAAATAATTAATCCACTCCTGCAACAATGACATTAATTCAGTCATGCGGGTAGAGCCCTCCTGACCCAATCACCTCTTATTAAGCCCCACCTTCCAACACTACTGCATTAAGGATTACGTTTCCAACACATGAACTTTGGGGGACATAGTCAGACCATCACACAGGGCCAGATTCAACTAGAGGAGAATTAAACCCACTTTTTCATGGGAGGAGCAGTAAAGTCACAGTGCCAGGGTGTATGTGTACAGGATGGGAGGAATAGTTGCAGCCATCTTTATAAACAGGTCACTACACTCTCTTTCTATCATCAGGATCATTTCACTGATTACAAGCCAGGTGCACGCCCTGTCCCAGGCATTTAGAAGAACAGGGGCCAGACTTACATGTGTGAGTATGCCTTAATGATTGCAACACTTGTTCATTATCCATTCATTCCACAAATACAAAATGAAAAATCTATTCTTGGAATACAAAGGTGGGTGTGATATAATGCCCACCTTCAAAGAAAGTTCAGTTACTAGGGTCATAGAGATACAAATAAGCAGATCAAAACAGAATTGTGTACAGAGTAGTCAATTCTAGGGAGGAGCAGGTCAAGAAAGATTTCATAAAGGAGGTGACTCTTGCCCTAAGTTCAGAATGGTGAGGTACTTGTGAGGTGAACTGTGATAAGAGGACAAAGGCCTGAGCGAGAGATGATTTTTGAGTAGGAGGTAGCACCACCTAGTGGCAAGGGAAGGGGGAGGCTTCTCTGCCATACTAAGGAGCATGAGCTTTCTCCACAGGAAACAGACTTTGAAACCTTTCAGGTATGGGCTTGTTATGGTCCTACTTGGAATTTGGGGAAATGTGCAGGGTGTTCTTGAGGCAAGGGGATCAGTGAAGGGGCTTCTACAATTACAGTTTTGTAGTTGCAAACAACAAAATGCTGACCAACTAAAGCAAAAGAGGAGTGAATCAAAGGCTATAGAGGTACTCACAGGGTTGAAGGGGAGGCTGGAGAACGAGGCTTGTAACTCTCAGAATATGGAACAGCTCCAGAAAGTGTGAAGACAAGATCCAACCATCTGTCTGTTCCCCTCATAGAACCTGCTGACAGATGCATAGATTCGAACCATTCCTCCCATTTCGATCCTTCTGTTTCAGGGTCACAGTTTTGGAAGAGAAGATCTAATTGGCTGAACTTATGTCATATGCTGCTTGCTGGAGGTTGTGGGAACTTCCATTTATACCCTTTTGATTAGAAGTACAGGTGACAACCTGGGACTTGTGATTTGGTTTCTGAAGTAGGGGCAGTCTTGTGGGACTCCAGGGCTGGAAGGGAATCCCCAGGGATCTCTCAGAGGAGTCTGTGGCAAGAAGCCCAGCACCCACCCTCATTGCTCCGCAAGACAGAGGTAATTCCCAAGAAGGAAACCAAGATGCTGTTGGGAGGTAGAATGGAAGGTAGATAGCCCAAAATGAACAACACTCACTATAGAGCCATTCTGTCTGTCTTGATATCTGCCTAAGTGACAGACATCAAGGACAATCTGCCTCAGTGGGACAGCATAAGTCTAGAGTGAGAGAATGAACTCAAGGGCCACAGGTAGCCAGAGCCATAATTTGGCTACACCTAGATGCCTATGGCCCCAACTCTAGCTCTTTTCTAGTGGCACTCTCTCTTCTGTAACACAGAATTTAACTAATTTGTTCATTTTTTTCCCAAAGTGAATCAAAAATTTCAAATGAAATAACTACTTCAGTAGTGCCTCTGTGAGTACTTCTGTTGATGAAGATTGAAGAGGCCACCCACCTTCCTCACTAACTTTCCCAAGCATCCAAGACCTAGGTTTAGACACACACACACACTCATGCCCCAAGAACTCTACTAAGAAGAGGTTTCTTGCATAATATCTCATCTTTAAAATTCTTCTGACTCAAAGAAAACTTTTATTTCCCTTAAAATGGTTTCCATTATGAACCAAAAAGACGAGGGCTTGGGACTTTCCCATTAAAGTAATAACCATATTAGCTAACAGCCCAAAGCTATGTCATGGGTCATCAGCTCCCAGCCACCATTAATTATGAGACAATATTATTCATATAGTGCTTTGCAAAGTCACTCAAAGGGTGAGACTCTCCAAATCAAATCTGGATATATAGTTTATCCCCCATTTGGCAAATATTGCTTTTGAGGATGCAGAACATTTTCCTTGTTCCAACCTCTCCAGACATGACCAACCCAAACCTTGGGCCCTGTCTGATCTCTGCCACTGAAAGAGGTGAGGGTGAACCTGGCTTCTGGGGGAGACATGGGACCATAAACTTTAGAGGCCTGACAAACCTCAGAGTTTATGAAAGAATACTAGTAATGAACTTATGAACCTTGTTCAGACATTAGGCTGCAGCACAGAGTCCCAAATTTGACAGCAGAAGTTTTAGTTGTGATTTCTAGCTATCTCCACTTCCCAGCCCTAGAGTCTTGGGATAATTGTTTTTAACTTTCACGCACTTACTGATTTATAAAGTGGGGATAACAATACTGTGATGTTGTGATGTAATAATAAATACATATTTAATCTTCATTCCCAGCTCCTGACCGGAGCTCCTAAAACCCTTATAATTTCCTAAGAGATAAAAGCAATAGGAGCGTCTTTTGCTATGTTTTGTTTTTGTCCCCACTTCCTGAAATAGCTGCTGGGTGATAAAGAGAGAAAAACATCTTTTGTTATTCATAACAAGACTCCTTCAATCACACCTGAGTTTATGTTAATGGAGTGATCTCCAGAAAGCACCTAAGAATGGAGAGCTGTTTGCCAGGAGAGCAAACCTGTGGGTAAAGGGTTTCAGCCACACCCCCTGACCTCCAGGGAGGGGAAAAGGGCTGGAGGTCGAGCTAATCACCAATGGCCAATGATGTAATCAATCATGCCTACATAACAAAGCCACCATAAAATCCCCAACCAAAGGGTTTGTGAACTTCCGAGTTGGTGAACAAGACCATACACAGTTTCTGGGAAGGTCGTGCGCTTCAAAACTCCATGTGGACAGAAGCTCCCGTGCTCAGGACCCTTCCAGACCTCTGTGTATCTCTTTATCTAGCTGCTCATTTGTGTATTTTAAATATCCTTGTAATAAATTGGTAACAGTAGGTAGACTGTTTCCTTGGGTCCTGTGACTTGTTCTAACAAATTATTGAACATGAGGAGAAGGTTGTGGGAACTTCCATTTATAGCCTTTTGATTAGAAGTAGAGGTGACAACCTGGGACTTGTGATTTGGTTCCTCAAGTGGGGGCAGTCTTGTGGGACTCAGCCCTTAGTCTGTGGGGTCTGTGCTAATTCCAGGCAGTTGGTGTCAGAATTGAGGTAACTTGTAGGACACTTAGGGTGTGTTCCAAGAGGTGGTTGATGTTGGGGGAAAAATAAAACCCACACATTTGGTTCCAGAAGTATTGTGTTGAGGCAGGATAGGTAGTCAAGAAGTAACCATGTTCTCAGGGCGCGGCAACCATGGTGGCCATACAGTCAGCACAATAAGCCCCAGCACTCACATTATAGTTAAGCTTATCCCAACAAAGCTATCTCCAGTAGGGAATCCCGCTCCTCACCCACTCCCAGAGAGCATGCACATTTTAATTTCACCTGTCCTCAAACTCACCCTTTGCTCATGACAATAGTAGAAAAACATACCCCAGGGTGGAGATGCTAATTAGACATGCAATATTATCGGGGGAACCAGCCCCCAATATTTCAATGTAGGTTCTTTTCTATTTTCCCTAAGTGTCAGCAGGTCTGAGAAATAAAGAGAAAGAGTACAAAATAAAGAAATTTTACAGCTGGGTCTCTGGGGGTAACATCACATGTTGGCAGGTTCCGTGATGCCCCCAAGCTGCAAAACCAGCAAGTTTTTATTAGCGATTTTCAAAGGGGAGGGAATGTATGAATAGGGTGCAGGTCACAGAGATCACATGCTTCAAAGGCAGTAAAATATCACAAGGCAAATGGGGGCAGAGCAAGATCACAAGGCCAGGGAGAAATTAGAATTACTAATGAGGTTCCATGTCCTGCTGGGCACACATTGTCATTGATAAACATCTTAACAGGAAACAGAGTTTGAGAGCAGAAAACCCATCTGACTACAATTCGCCAGGCTGGAATTTCCTAATCCTAGCAAGGCTGGGGGCGCTGCAGGAGGCCAGGGCATATTTCATCCTTTATCTACATCTGCATAAGACAGACACTCCCAGAGCGGCCATTTTCGAGACCACCCCCTGGGAATGCATTCATTTTCCCAGGGTTATTCCTTGTTGAGAAAAGAATTCAGTGATATTTCTTCTATTTGCTTTCTGAAAGAAGAGAAATATGACTCTTTTCTGCCCAGCCCCACAGGCAGTCAGACTTTATGGTTATCTCCCTTGTTCCCTGAAAATCACTGTTATCTTGTTCTTTTCAAGATGCCCAGATTTCATATTGTTCAAACACACATGCTTTACAAACAATCTGTGCAGATAACGCAATCATCACAGGGTCCTGAGGCAACATACATCCTCAGCTTAGGAAGACGAAGGGATTAACAGATTAAAGAAAGGCACAAGAAAATTATAAGAGTGTTGATTGGGGAAGTGATAAATGTCCATGAAATCGTCACAATTTATGTTCAGAGATTGCAGTAAAGACAGGTATAAGAAATTATAAAAGTATTAATTTGGGGAACTAACAGATGTCCATGAAATCTTCACAATTTATGTTCTTCTGCTGTGGCTTCAGCCAGTCCCTCCGTTCGGGTTCCCTGACTTCCCACAACACAATATATGAGAAAGCACGTATAGCTACTGTGCCTGTGCACCAAGAACATGCTTACTAGTAACACCTCTTCCCACCTACTTATGAATAGTCATGTAAGACTCCCATGAAGGGAGTCTCCCTAGTGCCAGTCTTTGCTGTCTCATCTTTATGAGCAGCTTGCCCTGAATCCTCTCTGTATTCTGCACCTAGCTTTCAGAATATTCTTCTCCTTTGCAATAAGTTGCTGTGTGCTGCATCTCCTTTGCTGTGCATCTCATGTGTAAACTCTTTTAAACTAAGAAACAAGAACTGAGGTTTCACAACAGCCATTGACAGTGTGAGTAGAGCAATAGTTTTGCCTTTTAAATACTTAATCTGCCTGCCTCAGAGGTTGCTTATATAAAGGTCATATAAAAACAGTATACAGAGCTGATAAACTGTAACTCCCATGTGAGTGCATGGAAAGTGGCATTTGTGTCTATTTAGCATTCCCATGGCTCTGAGAAAAATTTTTAAAAATATCATCTTGTTCTCACTACGCAGACACTACCTGTGTCCATTGCTCAATCTTGCATTGGTTTGCTTGCTAAGAAGGAGAAAAGTCACTGGTCCTCAGAATCTTGAAAGACAAAGTTCTACGAGGTGAATTAAGCCATTTATACTTTGAAATCCTCCCATGAGAACTGGTGTTACCAGCCATCCTCCAAACGTGTCTGAATTTCTCCTCTCTTTCCTGTTCTCTTTTTCTTCTTACCCCATTTTTCCCTCATTTTTTTCTGGATTTATCTTGCTGACTCACTGATTTATTTATCCACTCATCAATGCTTGTGCCCACCTAAGTCCCTACTATGCCCTACTAAAACCCTGGACAGGTTCTCTTTCATGTAATGGGTCAACACCACCAGCTGAGGGACCACGGATGGGTTGTTATACAGCAGGTGTTCCAGAAACATAATGTTTTGTTATTCTCCATGCCTTCCCTGTGCCTTGTACTTGAGGATGGTAACATGGGGCTTGTTGAGTCCTCCATGTATGTAAAGTCTAGTCCTTATGTTTTTGTTTGAAAGAAGCTGAGTAAAATCCCTATTTAGAAGCACATAAAAGATATAGCTAAATGCCACAGAGTGTCTGCTATAGGGATCTCTCAGGGGGGATTTTCAATAACTTCTTCCCTAGTAGGATAATGTAATTTGTCTAAACACAAAGAACTAGTACATGGCTAGGATTTGAACCTTGGTCTGACTCCAAGCCCTACACTCTCAATACTAAAATGAGGGCAAAGCCAATGAGAAAATCATGAGTGTCCTCTTGTCAGCAGCTGCCTCCAGGAGAGAGGGAAACAACCAGTGGAACCAGAGCTTAACTGCTCCTCCTACCGGCCCCCCACCACCCTGCCAAGCATTAGCAGCTCCTGAGTCCAAAACAACCACAGCAAACCTTTACCTTTGAAACTTTGAACAATACTTTACCCTCCACCAAGAAATTGCCTAACTTGCATCCTCACAGCAATGGAGAATAGGGGTTCCTGGTCCCCTTTCACAGGATAGTGGGTTGAATGGCATCCCCCAAAAATCCATGTTCATTAGAAACCTCCGTATGTGACCTTATTTGGAAATAAGGTCTTGCAGATGTAATTAAAAATTTCAAGATAAAATTATCTTGGATTTAGGGTGGGTCCTAAATCCAATGACTTGTATCTTTATAAGAGAAAGGAGAGAAATACTTGGATACCCAGAGAAACCCAGAGGAAAAGGCCGTGTAAAGATAGAGGCAGAGATCAGATGGCAGCCCTAAGCCAAGAAGCACCAAGGATTTCCTGCAGCCACAAGAAGCTGAAAACCACCAAGAAGGGATTCTCCCTAGAGCCTTCCCAGGGAGCATGGCCCTGCCCTGTGAATTTCAGGCTTCTAGCCTGGAGAAATGTGAGAGAACATGCTTCTGTTGTTTTAAGCTACGAGGTTTGTGGTCCTTTGATATGGCAGTCTAGGAACCTCACAAACGTGGTGAGAACACTGAGGCTCATAGATGCTACCTGACCAACCAAGAGCACAGGATAAGTGAGAAAACTCAGGGTCATAGCTTGGGTTCCCTGATGAGGATTAGGGCATAGGTAATTTACTGGGGTAAGTACAGCAATGAAGTAAGGGAAGAGAATAAAGTAGGCATTATGAAGCCAGCAGCCACAGTGGAGAACCGAATCATAATTCCACAGGCAGGTTCTAGAAACAGTGCAGATAACTCACCTCGTAGTTATCACCCCAAGGGGTGAAGGAGCAATGGGCATTTATGCCTCAACTCCCATGAGTCATGGGTGAGGACTGCTGGGGCACAAGTTGCTGCCCAGCCTTTCTGGCCTGACATAAGTGCAGGTCCAGTGGCTTTCTGCCGCTTTGGGGCAAGCTCTCAGACAGAGAGAGTGGCTACTAGGAATCAAGTCAGGAGCACCCAGGCATGGGAAGATCTAAAGGGTCCAGGCAGTGTCTGGACCTCTTTTATTCCATCTGGGTCATGGATAAGGAGAAGCTGTGTACTCAGACACCTTTTCCCTAAATGATAGACATAGGCAGAAATGTTGGCTACAATACCTCATAAAGCTGTTAATTTACACTCCTCCAAAGCACTGTGTTACTCACCACTTAAAACCTGCTTATTTCCTGACTGTGCTGCAAATTCAGCAATCAGTGATTTCCGCAAGTTAACACATATTCTAATTCTCCATGCTGGACAAAGAAAGGAGTAAATCAATATCCAGTGACAAACAATACTGCGTAAAACAGATGGATACGTGTAGACCACAGGATATTAGTCCTCATCTGAAATTTTATTCATAAAGTTACAAAATCCCAAAGCTACATCTGTTCACATGAAGCCTTCTAATTCCTAGGGACATAAGAAATTCCATACTGGGCATATCTAATCCAGGAGCCTCTCTCTAAAGGTATAGCCTGGTGTGGATTCTGAGAAGTGAAAATTGCCCTCCATCTAAGTCAAATCATTAGGAATAAGAATACTTAACTTCCCTAAAATCCAGTTGCTATGAATGCTATACATAAATATTTGCTTAAATATTCTTTAAACCTGTTTATCATTTTAAGATATAACCCTCTTTATGAGAAACAAGTTTCATAAACTTAATCTTAACTTCACCTGACCAAGTCTTACCTCCCTTACAATATAAGGCGGAAACTCTTAGTTCTGGTATAAATAGCTAATAGGAAGAACAGTATCTTTAAAGCATTTAATGAGCACTTATAACGTATCAGATACACTGTTAAACCATTTTCATATTTTATTTAATCCTTACATAAACTATACAAGGTAGATACCATTACTTTGTTATTTTGCAGATGAGGAAATTGAGGATTAGAAAGGTGAAGTTGCTTGCAATCACTCAGCTAATGAAAGGCATATGCTTTTCCTGAGGGACTGCAGTAACAGACAGTCCTAAACAAAGTATAAAGAAATGAATAACACACACTCCCTGCCCTCAGGATCACTTATAGCAATGATAACAGAAGACAGACAGCTACCTACAACATACGGCAGAATGCCCTCCGCCTGCTTCTGTCGTAGTTTGCTTATTCCCCACCAGCATGGGGTAGAGTGTTTGTAAGAGGCCCATAAAGCTTTAAAATCCCAGACACCCAGATTACACAGAGGACAAATTAAATCAGAATCTGGGGGAATGGGACAGAGTTAGTCCCGGCATCAGTAATTGTTAATGCTCGCCAGGTGACTTCAGTGAGCATCTAGGATTGAGAATTGCTGTGCTAGGATTGATAATATACAATTCAGAAGTGACTTCCGTAGAGCATAGTATGGGGTTAATTTCAAACTCTATCTGGACATTTTATTTTAGCATATATCACAGCCAGAGCTTGTGTGCTTGATCTCCTGTGCTGAAATTATGCTTTTCCAGGAGACAAATGTGCAGCCAAGGGTGAGAAGCACTATCCTACTGTTGCAGGAAAGTGTTCTGGGATTTCTTGGAGGAAAGGAAGGAGGGCGAGGTCTGAGCAGGTCAGGCTCAGAGCCACATATCACGGCTTGAACCTGAGCATCTCTGTTTTTGTCTTGTTTATATCGTGGGTCTCTGCCTCAGGTTTCTGGAAAAGAAAGGGCTCTGTTGCTGCAGAAATAAGTGTGAAAACCACTGTCTTAAAGTTCTTAGATGTCAAGAGTCCACAGGGTTTTTGTGTCAAGAAAACTATTTCTCAGCATCATCTTCAGGGTTACCTACTGGCACTTTGGTTACTGAAGTTCTTACGTGCAATTGCTGAAAAGCAAAGAATTGCTGGAATTAGAAAAATACCATAATTTAACGAAAGTGTCAATGAATACCATAAACTCAGAGTTTACAGGAGCCTTCACATATTCATACACTGCATATTTATTGTCTACTATGTTTTAGATGCTGAGGATACACCTTGAAGTTGACAGACAAGGTCTGGCTTTTAGGAAGTTTCTATTCTATTAAAATACAATTTAATCAGGCACAGTGGCTCACACCTGTAATCCCAACACTTTGGGAGGCCCAGGTGGGAGGATCACTTGAGTTCAGGAGTTTGAGACCAGCCGGGCAATACAGTGAGACCCCATCTCTAAAAATAATAATAAAAATAAAATTTGTAGCATGCCATTGATTTGCACTGGGTTCCTAGCCCAACAGCTCAAACCAATATGTGGTAATTCATGCTAAATGAAACAAATTAATTTAGAAGTATACTCATGTAACAAACAGCTGAACTTCAGTCAATGGTAGGTGGTCAGCTGATTCAAGTAAGACAAAATGCTGAGCTATAACTAAGTTGTTCTTTTTACCTCACTTCCCTTTTCTGTCCATAAATGCTGCTGTCTGATCATGTAGCACACAGAAGCTCTTTGACCCTGTTCTGGTTCTGGGGGCTGCCAGATTCACTTCACTAATCATTTTTGTTGTTGTTTTTTGGGTTTTTTTGCTCATAGAAACTCTGATAAATTTAAACTTGAGATTTTTCCTTTTTAACAATTCTAATGGGGAAGACAAGCAAGGGACAAATGTATAAATGAGATAATATGCATAATACACATCTTTCATTCTCAGGCCTGTCTGCATGGAGCCCTGTAGAGGAGGGGCTCTGCCAGGTGGTGCTCCTGCTCAGTCCCCCCTGCTTCAGAAGAGTCACTTTCCTTTCTAGCAAGGCCGGCGGGTCCTCTGCAGCTCAGTCCATGGGGGTCAGCTGGCATGTGCCACTACTGCTGCTGCTGTGGCCCCCTGTCCTCAGAAGCTTATCTGAGATCTGATGGAGTCTGAGAACCAGCTTGCCTTTGAGGGGCACCCAGAGGTCTTGGTTTCTCTACATCAGAAGGGTCCTTTGCTAATGAGGAGTTCACCTTGAGAGGTCTTTACCTCCCCAAGGCTACTTGGCTTCCATACATTTTTGAAGTATCCAAAAGCCCATCCTGTGAGAGATGATCACTTAAACACATCTTGTTGCTTCATATCTGCAACCTCAGATATCCAAGCCATTAGAGGTGTTCTGGGATTCACCCTAGAAAGAGGATTCCTGAATGTGTCATTTCTGTATGTGTCTGAATAAACAGTCACAAATGATTAGAGCTTACTGGGTATACTAATATATCCCACAGTCTGATTTTAAAGCTACAGATAGGTGTTAATGTAGAGAGACACCATCTATAATCCGATGAATGAATTGAATGAATATATAAGAAAAAATTTGTAATAAGCACATCAGTGTTAGCATACACATGAGAATGTCAAAGGTAGTTCAAACTCCGTTTAAACAATCTGCTCTCCTAAACATTGCCTTGTTCTTAATATCCTTTTGTAACCTCAGTAAAAAAAACAAACAAAAAAATACCACCTATCTCCTATGGATATAAGCACAAATATCAAATGAATAAGCTGAAAATTAATGAGTTTTCTTTTTCTTTAAATGGCTATACAAAAGCTTCAGTCTTCCCTTGTCAAATCATCAGGAATTTCAGGCACATAACTTTCATTCTGATGGGTTCATCTCACAGAATAAAAGACTTGCTTATAAAACAGCATTATTTTCTTCTCTTATTGAAAAATGTGTACACACTTCAAAGTTAAAAACAAAAGTTTCTTAAAGCACAAAGAAGCAACTTAAAATCACTCCAAAATTCTTAGCTAAAATACAAAGATTAATTATATGGAGTCTTTCCTTCCAGTCTTAAATGTTATATTTTTACAGGAATAACAATTTTTGCTAAGAACCTGAACTAGCACACATCAGGACAGAGTTGCATAATTAGTGGCTTGGAAAAAGATAGCAGTCACTCTTTAGCTACCAAATTGGCAAGATCAGAAATGAATGGCACCATAAAGATCTCACGTCTTTCATTAATGCTTAAAGCTGAGACTTTATTTATAAGGAGATTCTAAATTCCAGGCCAGTCTCACCGGGCTGTCCTTGATAGAGGTAGCCTGTTTGTCATGTTAATGAAGAGAAAATTTCCAGTTCTGAGTTCCACAAAGACTGTTCTCCCCCACCTACAGCTAAAGAGGGAGAAAAATGTCAGCAGGTAAGGGGTAGAATTGGAGTGAACCACTTCCTTACCTTTGGGAGCAGCTGGCCTAATGTCAATGTCAAGGGTGGGGCAGTTCCAGCTCCATCAGAGGTGACTGCACCATGACAGGCAATGCTCATAGGCAAATCCACAGCTCAGCACTTGACAGGCTGGAATATTATCTATCCCAGTGCTTCTCAAACTGGAGCAGCATCAGAATCCTGGCAGAGGGCTTTTAAAGCACAGATTGGGGCCAGGAAGGGTGGTTCACATCTGTAATTCCAGCACTTTCGAAGGCCGAGGTGGATCACTTCAAGCCAGGAGTTGGGAACCAGCCTGGGCAACATAGCAAGACCCTGCCTGTACTAAAATATATATTTAAAATTAAAACACACACACACGCACACACACACACTCACACAGATTGCTGAGCCCCACCCCAGGGTTTCTGATTCAGTAGGTTTGAGAATTTGCATTTTTTTATTATTATTATATATTTTTTTAAAAGATGGAGTCTCACTCTATTGCCCAGGCTGGAGTGCAGTGGCAGAATCTCAGCTCACGACAACCTCTGCCTTCTGGGTTCAAGCAATTCTCCTGCTTCAGCCTCCCATGTAGCTGATACTACAGGCATGTGCCACCATGCCCAGCTAATTTTTGTGTTTTTAGTAGAGACGGGGTTTCACCATATTGGCCAGGCCTGTCTCAAACTCCTGACCTCAAGTCATTTGCCCACCTCGGCCTCCCAAAATGCTGGAATCACAAGTGTGAGTCACTGCGCCTGGCCAAGAATGTGCACTATAACAAGTCACCAGGTGATGCGAATCCCAGGGGGTTCCAGGACCACGCTTTGAGAACCACTAGTCTATCCTGATGTTTGCACTGTTTAACATAGAAGTTCAAAACCCGGGCTTTACAGTCTGTCAGACCTGGTTTTTATTCCTAATTCCATCAATTAATAGCTATGTGAACTTGGGCCAGTAACTCAATTAATCTGAGCCTCTATTTTCTCACAAGTAGAATAGGAATAATTGCAGGGTTGTTCTAAGAAATGGATCATGTAATGTGTAAGTGCTTACACTTATGAAGCATTGCCAGCTTCATAATAAACATTTAATACATGATTATTAGTCTTTCTATTCAAGCCCTACCTCAACACCCTCCTGGAATCTTTCTGCACCTGTTCCTATTGATCTCTTAGTCCTCTAAAATGTTGGTTCACTTGCTTTCCAACCCGCTCTGTGGTAAGGAAACTCCATTTCCCCACCCCCATAGAGCCTCCCGACTCCACTAGCAAGTGGGTAATCCTCTGCTGCCACCTTGTGGCCTTCCTTCGCCTCACGCATTGCAGGCTAACCTTGTCAAGGTGGCGTTTCTGGGACTGCAATCCAGTAGCTGAGCATAAGCAAAGGAGCCAGACGTGGTGCCCGCTCAGTCTGCTCAGTCGATGTGAGGACTGTGAGGAAGGGTTCCCAACAGGACAGTCCGAAGGACACCCAAATCCTGAGGGCTACAGAATAACAGAAAGGAGCTGGAATCAGCACCAGGAGAGCAGGAGAGCGACCTGGCTGTGATCTCAGGTGAGTCTAGAGGCCCCGCTGAGCTCACTCAAGGCCTGGCCAGTGCCCTTCTATGCAGGACCCCAGGACACCTGCCTGTAGACATTTCTGAGGATTCCAGGGATCTCGAGCATATCCCTTCAGATCCCTCTTGCTACTGAGGTGGCCAAAGTCATGTGTGTCTAGGACAAGGCTATTAGAGGGTCCCCAGTAGTCCCATGTTGAGACCATAGTCCCAACTCCGAATGAAGACTGTTCATTGTAGCTGGTTTGGAATAGAAACCCAGTACTTCGGTGAAGAAAGCAGCAGGACAGAGCGATGTGAGCAATGAAATGAAGACTCAAGTTGCTCTTGTCTTTTATTCCCATTACTCCTTTTCCCTGGTACAAGTGTCTTAATGAGGGGGGTTGACAGCTCGATGGTGGGGGGTGGGTACAAATACAAACGGTATTTTTTTTTTTCAGGGATAGTAGGAAACACCTCTTTCCAGGAGCACATCACACCTGAGGTTCACGGTAGTGATAACTCTCTCCCCTCCTTGTGTTCTCATCCCTTAGAGCAATGAACAATGAACCAGAAGGTAGGGTGGAGAGTGAGGATGACACCTGGGATGGCAGCCACAGACCAGGAAGGCTGAGCTGGGAAATTGGTGCATTTTTTGGCTTCTCTCTTTAGAACATGGGTTATTTGGGGCCTTTTCATCCTCATTTTTGGGCCCCCAGGCACCAATTCTGAGAAACAGGAAAAGTTGCACTCAGCATCTCCTCCCTAGACCATGCAATCCGGCACACACTCAGACCCCTGAAAGAAATAAAAAGCAAAGCATTCCGATCCTTCTCCAGGGGATGGCATTTGTTCTCCTTCTGCAGAGGCTCATTTTAGATTTGCCTCAATGTAATATGCATAAGAAGTTAAGTCACCAGGGGCACCCCTTCCCCTCTCTAGAAGAAAGCTAAGACAAGGAAGGGGTTAAACAAAGGAGTAGGGCAAAACAGACACAGGCAGAGGAATGTAAGTTCTGCTGGTGAATCTGGGAGTAGGGGGGGTTATCTACCAACAATTTTCTACCCCTTAACCAGACATAAGCCTTGAAAATTGACTTCTTTAAGGCATTTAATCATGCTATCTCACTTATTATAAAGCATGCAACAGTTTGACCAAGGTCTTTTTTACATTCATTAATTCACATGGGTTTTAAATCTTGCAACAATTCTCTTGCATTGGTAGAGCAAACATCACTTATTCACTGATAAGAAAAATGGAAGCTCCAAGATACTAAATGGCTTGTCCAAAATCACAGAGCATTAGTCTCTCTCCGAGGGCAAAGTATTTATATCCAAAACTATAAACTTATACAGCATCTAGCTAGTTAACCAGCTTCAAGCACTTCAAGCAAGGCCTTGAAGGAATAAGGAATAGGGAGTGTGTGAACATTGTGCATATAAGTTTGGGTGAAGGAAGCAAAGTTGCAGAATCAAGACTGATGTGCAGGAGAGTGGCTTGATTTGCTAGCAGTGGGCAGTCAGAAAGGAATATGACTCCTGGGTGCTGGGACAGAAGGTGAGTGGAAGCTTTGTAGATTATCAACCAACAGAAGGCAAACTCTTCATTTACCTTATTTTACTTTTCCTCCTCATATAGATCCAAGTATGCCCAGTTGCACCATGGGAAAAATCTCTTCTCAAAGCCAAAACTATCTGAGGTGGGGGAAAAGATCCTAAAATACTTTTAACCATTTTTGTGTGGTTCTAACTTGTCTAAGCAGCAAAGAAACTTTCCTTTGTTAACTCGGGGGCGTCAAAGCCAGCTTTGTTTTCATGCCTAGTATTGATTTGGATCCTCCGGGGGGGGTCTCTTGACATCTCTCCACACCTTGCCTGATGAAGCCAGCAAGTCCAATAGGCTTCTCACTCACTGACAGACTGAGATGTTCAGAGCCCCTGTCTGGCATAACAAAACCTCTCTAGGGCAGAGTGAGGAGCTGAATGCCAAATCTCCACACAGGGCTTATGAGATCCTTCTGACATCATCATTTTTCTAGCCTGGAGAAAGGACTGGTGAAGGGAACACAGGACTTTTGTGTTCTCTGCTCCTAACAGACATAAACTCTTGAGAGGCAGCCCTTCACCGTGCGCTCCCTGAAAGAGGCTAGGCTGGACCAGCCATCAACCATCCTAGTTCCCAGCCTGACCCTGCCCTCCACAAGCTAGGTTACTCTGCCACTTCCCTTCTGGCCTCAGTTTCCACATCTGTCCAACAAAGGCTGGATGGAAGATTTCTAAAGCCCTCCTCAGCTGTCTTTTCTCTTTGGTGCTATGACTGGTTAAATTCCTCATTTCTTTCATACCTGCCTTTGACACAGTGTTTAGGTTTTCAGCCATTAAACCCTGGTGTGTCTGAAGGAGTAGCAAGGAGAGATCAGCCAGCCAGAGGGTTTCAACAAAAATACCTCACATGCTTGACAAATATTTACCAGCCAAAATGATATAAACTTATTCTACATACAAAGTCTGATGTTTTCACAATATAATACTCAAAAGTGGTTTTCTTTTGAGACGGAGTCTTGCTGTGTCACCCAGGCTGGAGTGCAGTGGTGGGATCTCAGCTCACTGCAACCTCTGCCCCTCCAGGTTTTAAGCAATTCTCTGCCTCAGCCTCTGGAGTAGCCGGGACTATAGGCATGTGCCACCATGCCCGGCCAATTTTTTGCATTTCTAGTAGAGATGGGGTTTCACCATCTTGGCCAGGCTGGTCTCAAACTCCTGACCTCATGATCCACCTGCCTCAGCCTCCCAAAGTGCTGGGATTACAAGCGTGAGCCACCATGCCTGGCCTCAAAAGTGGTTTTCAATGTTTGATACAGACACCTGGCAACCAGAGCTCAGAAGAAATGTGTACTTTTTTTTTTTTTTTTCTGAGACGAAGTCTTCGCTCTCGTTACCCAGGCTTGAGTTCAATGGTGCAATCTCAGCCCACTGCAACCTCCGCCTCCTGGGTTCAAGCAATTCTCCTGCCTCAGCCTCCCTAGTAGCTGGGATTACAGGCACCTGCCACCAAGCCCAGCTAATTTTTTTTTGTATTTTTAGTAGAGACGGGGTTTCACCATGTTGGCCAGCCTGGTCTCAAACTCCTGACTTCAGACGATCCACCCACCTCGGCCTCCCAAAGTGCTAGGATTACAGGCGTGAGCCACCGCGCCTGGCCCTAAGTGTGTACTCTTGGGGCGCTCGTTTAGCTTTGTGGGCTAGGGATTATGGTGCATTATCTGATAAATTAGAGGAAAATTTTACTTTATCTGAGAAACATATTTGCAGCCAGTCTCAGACACACTAAGTCACAGAAGAAAGAAGAATCAAAATAAAGAGAATTCTGCTGTCAGCTGTTTCCCCTCTTGCTTTACCTAAAAAAGCAGCCATCTGTGCCCTGAGGCAGACATGGCAGAATGTGCTTACTCAACACCTGACCCCCGACTCCTGACCCCTCAAAACACACACTGGGAGCTTAGAGCCTGCCCCCAGGCTGCCTCTCCCCACCCTTTACTCCTCAAAATACATACTGAGAGGGAAGGGGATGCCTGCAGCTGGTCCAAACTGCTTCTCTTGGACTAAGATATATTTACCCGGGGGTGTCAACAGCGTGGGAGTGGAGAGAGCAGGCAAAGGGGAGCAGGGAGGTCCTATGGCCTTGCAGAGGACAAAACCACAAATCCCTGGCAAGTGACCTGGGTTTTAAGACCAAATGAAGCAAGGCATTTATATTTTTACATTTTTAATGGACAAATAGTAATTGTGTATCTTTATGGGGTACAATGTGATGTCACAATATATGTATACACTGTAGAATGATTAAATCCAGCTACTCAGCACACACATCATCTCACATACTTAGCATTTATTTATGGTGCAGGCAAGGCGTTTAACCTCAGTTTTGTCATCCATAAAATAGGAATAAAAATAGCTATCGTGAATAGTGCCGCAATAAACATATGTGTGCATGTGTCTTTATAGCAGCATGCTTTTTAGTCCTTTGGGTATATACCCAGTAATGGGATGGCCGGGTCAAATGGTATTTCTAGTTCTAGATCCCTGAGGAGTCGCCACACTGACAGCATGGCACATGTATACATATGTAACTAACCTGCACATTGTGCACATGTACCCTAAAACTTAAAGTATAATAATAATTAAAAAAAGGAAAAAGAAAAAAAAGAAAATAAACAATAAACAATAGTGAAAAAAAAATAGCTGTCACACAGGACAGTTGGGTTTCTCCTCCCTTCCTCACACTCCAAGCAGTGCCTGGCAGAGGGAAATAATTTGATCCACATTTAGTGAGTAAACTTCACATTTTGTCCAGAGCCAGGTTGAAGCCCACAGATAAAATCTCGTTATCTTCCCCTGGAGGCTCTCTCTCTAAAGCTGAAAGATGAATCCAGGGTACATCAGTTGGGATTTTACCTAGGTCTGTAGCTCCTGTGTCATCCTTTTCTCTTTTGTAGATCTCAGGCCTCCCAGCAGAAGCCTGTGTTTTCCAAAACAGAAGACAGATGAAAAGACCCGCAGGCTACAAAGAGGGCAGATGCTGCCCTTCTGAGAGAACGGCCTCCTCTCGCGTCTACGGAGCCCACAGTTCTCATTGTTCTGGATGTGGGGTAGAAGATTCCTGTGTGGTATAAATGTGCCATCTCACATCAGTCACAGGATAAATGTGGGCTCTCAAGTGCCAGATTTTATCTAAGGGACAAAAATGAGAGGAAGAGAGGAAGAGGGAGAGAAAGCTCCAGCCTCCCCCCTGCCAAAGCCTCAAGAATCAGCAATTTTTGCCTTTTGCCATTTGATTGACTTTAAGTCACCATTTAGAAGGGAAAACAGAACATCAACAGGAAAACCTTGAACCACCTGTAACCCTTCATCTGGAGCTAAAAATGAATTTTATTTCACTCTCTCACAGCAGCCTGCAGGTAGAAGCAAGGTCTCTACTTCAAAGGGACTGAAGGAAAGATGGGGTGATTCTTCAGAAAGCCCCACACAACCAGGCAGGGCTCCATTCAATAATATAACTGCAGGAAGAGATATACTCTTGTTCTCTGGCTGGACCTCATGGTGATATGGTTGTTAGTAATGAAAAAGCAATAGTCCTGCTAATTTCCTTTAATTCAACTCACCTGTTTTCCTAGTAACTAAAGCCACAGATAATTATCTCCTTTGCCTGGAAAGCTCCTATTTCCCCTCCACCTTCCTTTGAAGTCTTCCCTAACTCTGGTTCCACTGTGCTCCCAAACCAGTAATGGGGCACTGCTCAATGAAAATATAATGTTAGCCACAAGTAATTTTGAATTTTCTTGTAACTACATTTTAAAAAGAACAAAGAATCAGATGAACCTAATTTTAATACTACATTTTATTTAACTCAATATATCCAAAGTACTATCAATTTAATATGTAATCAACATTTTTAAATATTAATATTTTAGGCCAGGTGTGGTGGCTCGTGCCTGTAATCCCAGTGCTTTGGGAGGCCAAGGCAGGAGGATTACTTGAGCCCTGGAGTTAGAGACCAGCCTGGGCAACATAGCAAGACCCCATCATTACCAAAAAATTGAAAAATAAATTAGCTGTGCATGGTGGCATTCGTCTGTGATCCCAGCTAGTCAAGAGGCTGAGGCAGGAGGATCTTGAGCCCAGGAGTTCAAGATTATAGTGAGCTATGATCGTGCCACTGCATTACAGCCTGGAGGACAGAGTGAGACCCTGTCTCTTAATATATATTTTACATTCTTTTTTTTCATTCTAAGACTTCAGAGTACAGTGCGTGTTTTACACTTGGAGCACATCTCAGTTCAGACTAGGCACATTTCCAGCACTCAGTAGCCACATGTGGCTAGAGGCTGCTGAATGACAGCACTGCCCTAATAGAACACTTAGCACATTTTTCTGAAATGCTTTGTTTACAAGTTCATCTGCCCTATTACAGTGGAGCTCCTTAAGAACAGAACCATTAACAGTGATCAATTCATTGCAGTTACATCATAACTCTATGTAGAATGATAGACCAGAGTAATTCATAAATCAATGTCACTACTAACCACAGATAGAAGAGGAGAGAAAGGGAATGTATTTGGCATTAAGGATTTTAAGTTAGAAGCACTATGAGACCCTTGCAGTATGATGCTCAGAAATAAGTCAGAGATAGAGATGGGAGATCAGAAAAGGAACAGGATGAAAAATAAAGGTTAGGGAGGCATGGTTTGGGAAGGTTACTTTCACCATAGAAAGCACAAACACTCATCCACGCATTTCACATAAAAATGCTGTGGGCCACCTCTGTGGAAAATCATAATATGTATCATGAGAAATTAACCTCAGCATGCAGATGCACTGCTTCCCTCCTGTAGTTAATTACTTGGGGCAGGTCCTGGACAAGCCTGGGATATGGGTGAGATTCATGTGCAATGTCCTTCTATACAGCAGGGTTCTCCCCCTCTGAGTAGAAGTCCTCCCTCTTCCTCTCACCCCACTCCCACAATGGTCAATACCCTCAACAGAAAAACAAGTCTCTGGCAGACTCTCTCACATTACGGCAGAGCTTCTCAAACATTAATGTGCATATGTACCCGGGGACCTTGTTAAAATGTAGATTCTGACTGAGTAGGTCTGGGGTGAAGACTAAGATTCTACTTTTTAAGATGTTCCAGGAGATGCTGATGCTGCTGGGCCATGGGCCACACTTTGAGTAGCAGGGCACTGGGGGTTAAAGACCTATGTAAAGCTTTATCCAGCCTTAGGTTTTAAGAAGAGAATCCCAGAGAGAGCACTTTAGCCCACAGGAATACAAGAAATGATAGCATTTAAGTGATCAGATGGGACTCATGAGACATAAAATGTCCCCCGAATTCTGCAAAAAAAATACTACAGAAGCATTTCTGTTTATAGGTAAGGCCGTCTCATTAGTAAGCAGCACTTGTGGAATATTACAAATCATGCTGGAATCGAGGTTGAATTTGAATCCCCATCTGTTATACTTATTAGCCATTACCAGCCATGTGATGTTATGATTTATCACTTCGCTTCTATAAATCTAAGTTTCCTTATCTATAAAATAGGTATAATATCACAGAGGTTCTTTGAGTCTCAAACAAAATAGCATATGTGACATTACCTGGTATAGTACCTGACATATGTCTGAGTCTCAACAAATGCTTAGTAAATCTTAAGCAAAATATTTTCCAGTTACCTCTGTGAAGACAGCACTGGCATAAAATTGGTGGAGTATGAAAACAATTTTTAAGATGATACATATCTGCTTTTAAGTTGATCCAACCTTAGAGTTAGAATATTTGTCTTGAACTAAGTGTATCCACCTGTATAAAAGCAATGCAAACACATTTCAAGCAGATGCCTCAGGGAGCAGGCATAATTTCATCTTTACCTGTTTTTATATTTCTTTACTGTTGCCATGAGAGCATTTTAATAACCTCCGTGGAGTTGAAAGTGATGCAGGTAATTGCCATAAGTAATTGAAGGGCTATTAAAGCTAACAAACCTCTTCTGTGGAATACCTTGTTAAGCAGTGATCAGCAGAAAACACATAATCATCATGCACACTGTAAATTCAAGCCCCTTTTCCAGTTAAACTGAAGGGGGAATGTAGCCACATTACACATAAGAAGGGTGCAGATATTAAAGCCTTTCCTGTTCAGGTCTTGGGGTAGCTCAAGCCACAGATGCCCTGGCAATCTAATGAGACCCACTCCCTTCAGAAAAGGCAACTCCATCTCTGCTATAACTTCCCATCACCTAAACTGGCTGCTGATGTTTCCATGCATGCTTCTTAAGATATAAATCAAAGCATGTTTTAGCACAAAGCCCCAAAGTCCTGGGTTCTAGCCTTGGATCAGCGAATTGCTAGCTGTGTGACCTACAGCGATTCTTTTCACCTCTCTAGGCATGAACTGCTGCAGCTACAAAATGAAAAGAATTTATTGTGTGTCCTCAAAGATCTCTTTCAGCTCTATAATCCTTTGATCCTAAACAAATTCTATAGTTAGAAGCACTTTTTCTGACTATTTTAACTATCAAAAATATAACCATGAATCAAAAATAGGGTGCAAAGAAAGGAAAGAGAAAGATCCATGAAAAGCATAGGTCAATATTGCAAAGTCCACACGTTAAGCTTCCCAGAACCTCATAAGTCTGTACTCAGCATGAAGTTATTCTTCCTTCATATGCTGGCCTAATGAATTTGATTTCCTTTTTCACAAGGCTCACAACACAGTAGAAGAGGCAAAAAAAAAAAAAAAGGCAAGAATACTGACAATAATAAGTAAAAGGCCATAGGAAAAAAAAAAAAAACAGATAGAAAACTTCGAAAAGGCAGGGACTTTTTCTGGTTCACTGCTACATACCCAGTGTCAGGCACATAGTATGTGCACAAAACATGTTGGGTGAATGAATGAAAACAATACTTACAGAAAGCAGATAAAATTTGTGTAAGTACAGTGATCTGGGAGAGGCTCCTAATGATTGTTTCACATGCTGCAATTAATATTCATGCGGGTGGCTAAGACTCAGCAAGGAAAATTTAAGCTATGCTCAGCAAGCTCTCATTTAGATGAAAAATTACTATTTCTGGTTAAACATGGTATATTGAGCACTTGTTTATCTCTGTTCCCTCCAAATACTCTACTAAAAATCAAAGTGTGTCTGTGTGATCTCCACAAGGAAAAAGAAGAAAGGATCGACAGTGGACAAGAAATGCCAGCCAACATATGCAGGACTAGAAAACATCAAATAAAACTGTCAGAGCTGATAAAGCTGAACAGCAAGGGCCTGCAGAAGGGATCCAGTGAGAAACCAGCCAGGTGCACCTCAGATCTGTGGAAAACTCAGAAATCAGAGGTAGCCACACAAGAGGCACGAGGAGCTGGACTACATCAGGAGAATTTGTTTAAAGTCTGTTAAGAAAGCAGTTAAATTCTCAAGTTTCTTCTCCTACCTTGGCAGTAAACTAGAAATTTATTCAACAAAGAAAAGGATACAGAGGAAGTTTAGCCCAGGATTGCAGCAGATGGTAGGGAGAGGGACACATCTGAAAACAAGGGTGTGAGTGAGTCTACATACAGAACAAGGAGGCTCCAGGTTCCCTGACTCTCTGGGCTTAAAAATACTGGCAGCTTAGGGATATACCTCTCCCACTACCACCTTCCCAGGCAGGAAACTGGAGGATTGTTAGATGGCGAAATGGAATATACTCAGAATCTCCAGATTCTGACACTCAGGGTTCTCCCACAAACAGCTGGATCCCAACTAGCACATTATAATTGACAAGCTCTCCTCTACCCAAAAAGAGTGACCAGTCAGCTCTAATGTAATATTCTCAAGTATCAACAGACAAAAAAATACTAAAATTAAGCTCCAGGAAGAAAAAACAAGACTAAAACAAATTAACAGAGAAAACTCAGAGGAAATCAAGACAATGGATAGAGAAGAAAACTTTGTACAGAAATAATATCTTTAGAGAAATATAAATATTCATCCTTGGCAAAATAACAAGACATCATTTTTTAAGGAATAGAAAACAAATTAGAACTCTTAAAATTGGAAAATATGATATTTGAAATAAAAGATTCAACAGAAAAAAATTCAATAGAAAGTTTGGAATACAAAGTCAAGAGAATCTCTCAGAACAAAAAGACAGAGAGATAAAACAGTAGTAGATAAGAGGAAATTTGAGCGTCAATCAGTCCAAGAAGCCTAACCACAGTATAACAGAGTTCCCAAAAAAAGAGAGAACAGAGTAAAATAAAGAGAATTATCAAAATATTGATGCCCAAAGTATTCTTTTAACTGAGAAACATGGGTTTTTGGATTAAAATAGTCTATTGGCTCTTTATGACATATGAACGTATAGCACAATGAATAAAGAGGTTGCCCACACCATGTCACACTACTGCAAATTTTCAGAGCATCTAGGATAAAGAGAAGATACTAAAATATTCACGTCATAAATACCTAGTTCACAGAAAAAAAAAGACTGGAAATATGAATGTCATCAGATTTCTCAACAACATGTTCAAAGTTGGAAGTCAGTGGAGCAAGAGCTTCAAATTTGTAATGAAAACTTGCATCCCAGTATTCTACATTCAGCCAAATTACCAATTAAAGTGCGAAGAAAGAATAATACATATTAAGACTTTCAGGTTGTCAAAAAATATTGCTCACACATGCTTTCTCAAGAAGCTACTGGAGATGCTCTACTGAAATCAGGATATAACCAATGAAGAGAAAGAGATGGGGAGGCAGGAAATAAGAGATACATCCCGGGAGACAGGTAAAGAGAAGGGCCAGGGGACCAGCTGTAGAGAACACCCAGAGCACAGCCTGGAATAGGAGAGAGGACTCCTGAAGGAGTGTTTCCAAGAATAATGAAAAGCTGATGCTTCTGCCTGGTTGAGAAATAACAGTCATTGGTGTTGGGGAGTTTGAAAATAGTGATAGGAACACAGACAAACAATCAAGTAAGGAAAAAAATGAGTTAAGTATTAACTCTAGAAAGCAAAACATTCTGAACAAGAAAGGAAATGTAAGCACAAAATGCTAGGTGGAAAATTAGGAAAACATTTTACATTGTTTTATCTAAACTTTTTTTTTTTTTTTTTTTTTTTTGAGACGGAGTCTCTCTCTGTCACCCAGGATGGAGTGCAGTGGCGCGATCTTGGCTCACTGCAAGCTCCACCTCCCAGGTTCAAGCCATTCTCCTGCCTCAGCCTCCTGAGTAGCTGGGACTACAGGTGCCCACCACCACACTCGGCTAATTGTTTGTATTTTTAGTAGAGACGGGGTTTCACCATGTTAGCCAGGATGGTCTCGATCTCCTGACCTCATGATCCACCCGTCTCAGCCTCCCAAAATGCTGGGATTACAGGCGTGAGCCACCGCGCCTAGCCCTTATCTAAACATTTTTATATAATTTTACTTGGAAAACAGGAGGGGGAGCAAGGATGTTGGATTATGTAAGTATGCTAAATCCTCATCTTCGTAATAAGCCAATGAAAAGTGAAAAAATGATAAAATTTTATAAACCAAGAGCTAGCATTTGATTCAATAGAGTTTAGGGAGAAGTGGATCAGGAAACTGCTATTTTGTGTTTGGTTTTTGTTTTATTTTTCTTTTAACTTTAATTGTTTGATTTTGATAAAAATTTACTTTGGTAAAAAATTTTAAGCTACTTTAAAAATGAAGTCAGATATCATAAAGAGCCTAATAATTGCATGATGCAATCAAGTTAGAATGACTCTAGTGTGGGGATTATGGAAAACTGACCAGATCAGCAAAGTTGAGGGTGACCTGAGACACCATCAAAGTCCAAGAGGTCTTGTCCAAAGGGATGAGGCAAGATGCAATGAAAATAATCTGAGTTTTGTGCTTCTTGACATCAGGTAAGAGCACAAGTTTTTAATTCAGGGGCCCTAAATACGTCAAGAATTGAAGCAGGCCTCTGTCTTAAGAAAAATGGCCACGGAGAGTCATGGATTGGCCTCCAGTTCTGGAGACAATAGTTAGTCATTCAGGTCAGTCTCCGAAGTCTCTAATGGGGTAACTGAGCAGGAGGCACAAAGAAAAAAGGCCAAGAACAGCTACTGTCCAGGCACAAGATAGTATCAGCCTGGGAAGCAACAGCTCAGTGATTATGAAGGCATCCAAAGGCTTAAATCCAAACAACTGTAGCTGCAAACTCGGATTACAATTTCCACAGTGGCAGGGACTACATATGCACACCCAGGTCCACAGTCATTGGTCCTGAGCCTATGCAGGGTTGGGTCTGCAGATGGCAGACAACACCGGAGACAGAGAAAATGGAGCTGGCACAGGAAGTGACCTACAGAAGAAAAATATCTAACGCAGGCCAAAAAGAGTCCCTTCAAAATGGTTAAGTTTTATGCTAAGCTTTGGTACTTAAAACTTCCATTACATGAAATATTCACTTATGTAGAACAGCTCATTCCCCAGTAATATGAGATTAATGAGGCATCACTGTGCATAAAAACTACCGAACTGGCTCAGATCAATGGTCTGTCTTGTCCAGTATTTTGCCTTTTAAAGGACTTAAAAGAATATGCAATTTGGAGACAGAAGTATCTGGATTTGGGGCTTGTTTCTACCACTTTGAACTGCAAGACCAAGTTATTTATCTACTCCCAGCCTCAATGTACTCATCTGTAAGACCGCACTAATAATACCTTCTTCTTGGTGATATTGTGAAAATTCAACCAGATGCTATCTTTAAAAATACTTTATAGACTGTTCTGCAGTCTAAGTATGTGAATTAATGTAGCGGAATGATGTGCGAAAGCTTGCTTTTCATATGTATCCTGAAGATCATTCATCTCTTTTAAGAAATTCAATTGTTGACTTTTGTAGGAATGTATCTTTAAAAAATCCCAAAGCTGTGAATAATTTGGGGTCTCTGACTTTCAGAGGAAATCTTAGCATATTCAACTTCAAAAAAAATTAGCAGGGAAGTTAACTGAAATCTTGTGGTGAACAAAGTTAGGTCACAGAATCTAATGCCTTCCTGTGTCATCTCACTTCTTCACCCTTATATCTGAATCCTCCCCAGACCTGGGCTCTCTGCTTACTCGTGCTCTTAGCAAAGACCTCATGAACTGGGGTATTGTGCATGGGTCAGAGGCTTAATGGGGGCTAGAAGGAATTGTTGGGCTAAGTTAAATGGTTCTTCTTCATTACACATTCAATGAAACACTTTCTGGAAGGTCACATGAAGCCTAGGCCTTCTCACACTTCTCCAGATGGTGGTCTGCTGTGTCAGTCAGGCAGCTGACTGAGCAGATTCTGCTGTTTGGAGCTCATCACAGGATGGGGATTCTGAAGGTACAGGTTAGAAAGTGGGGAGCATTCAGCAATGTTTTGGTTAACAGTCTAATTTAAATTTTCACTTTTTTCTGCCTCTGTTAAAACACCATGGTAAAGTGGAAAAAGCACCCTAGTAGAAGCAGAGTTGAGTAAAGAGTCTGTCCTAACGCTGTCTTTGTTACCAGCCATGAGACTTTGGACAAACTACTTTTCCTCTGTGGGCCTCAGTTAGTACAAACGGTAAGTTTGGACTAGATCGCAGTTTTTAAATATGCCTTGCAGATTCTGGATTCCCCAGTGATACTTTGGGTCACATCTGGAAAGGTGGAGAAGAGAACAGTAAGGGCATGGAGGTAAAGGAGTGTGAGTCCATCCTCCAGATCCCATGTAAGAAGAACAGATTTATCACTCTCTATCTATTTCACACTAAGATTTTTGAAGGCAACACTCCCTGGATAAGACAACATTTGAAAACCACTGGATCATAGGTCCCCAATATTCCTTCCAATCCAATAGTTCTCTGACAAGCTAACATTCTCTGGCACTGGAGACATGAAATACACCACACAAGAAGATAAATTCTGGTCTTGGAAGTATAAGCTTCCAAGATGTGTCAAAACTTGCACACCTAGGGTAGCAATCCTGGCTGGAACTGTCTCATACATCTCCAAGAAAATAAATCTGTACTCAATAAGCATTTATTATTGCATAAACCATCATAATGTGCTAATGGGAAAAGATACAGCCTGCCCTTGTAGGGTTTGTACTATTAAAGAGGTGAGATTGAAACACCCAGAACAATTCCAGCTCAAATTGCCCCTCTCCCAAACAAAGAATATAAGTAAGTGACACTACCATACACAAACTCTGAATGTGTTTGCATGTAACAGTAGGGGAAAGCATAGGAGAAAATGGTTCAAGCAGTGAGAAAAGTCTTTATGGAAGAGGAAACAGTTGAGCTAAGCCTTGAAGAAAACATCTGAAGTCCAAGAACTAACCACTAGTTCTCAGACCCTTACAGGTTTCTAACTCTTTAAAGGTTTCTAACTCTGTAAACTTCAGTTTAGAAATGAGATCAGTGTTAACTAATCTTGCTGACCTGAAAAATATATTTTACAGCTGAACAGAGTTTCCTTCCCTCTGAAAAGCCTACATCCTTTAAACTTTATTCCTAAAAAGGTTTGAAAAGGGTTCTATGGCAAAGAGACACAAGCTTTATTAACCAATTATTGGCTACAGGGGTGCTTACATCATCACAACCCCCAGTTCCAGGTGGCTCAGCAGAGAGAGGGACTCCATCTGTTTGGGAGAAAGTAAGGAAAAAGACAAGAGTTCCTGCCTGGTAATCCAGATAATTCTTCCAGATTTTACCAATGATTCATATAAGTTATACCAGAAGAGGTGTAAATATTAGCAAAAGTAAGGTGTGTCTTACATATTTTCTTACCAAGGAATCTGAAAGACCTGATTTTTGGACAGGATAAAACTGTGATTTTATACAGAACCTTCATTCACACCAAAAACAGCATACAAGTGTTAACCTCACTCACAAACACCATAAATAGAACAGGGCTTGCACTACTGAGGATGTGAGATTGAAACACACAGAACAATTGTGGCACAACACAAGAACAGCTGAAGGGCTGAAGCCATGGATATATTGGGCTTGGGAGAGATAACGGTCCCCAAAGATGTTGGTATATCAAAGCCAGGCCCCTGGAGTAAAACTGGAGGTGGGTTTGGCATCTCTGTCTGTTACCTGGAGGGTAACAAGGCTGTGGCCAGTACCATATCCATGACTGTAACATGATGCTGCCTGAGAAGGCTAGAAGAAGCAGAGGCAGCTACCAGTGAACTCATAAATCTGCAATGTCCCTAAAAGAAAGCTCTAAGCCACCAGTATAACCCTGGTTCTGGAGCTTTGAGACGAGTGGAGGAAGCGACAGGGATGGGCACAACAAGAAAAAGGTCATATATATAAATATCCACCCCCTTAAACTCACAAACTAAAATTTCAAATCACATCAGCAAAACTAATGTCAGAAAAGATAGTCAACAAACTGAACAAATAACAGAGTTCCCTTTTGTAAGATTGTAAGAAATAATGCATGCTTCTGTAAAAGATGACTTTAAAATAGTATAAATCCTCAATGAGATAAAGAAATGACTAATATCCATATACCAAGAAAAATAAATTCTGCAACAAAAACAAGCAATTATGAATCAAGAACAGTTTAAGATTTTTAAAAGAACCCATCAGAAATACCAAAAATTATACCATAATTACTGAAGTAAAATAATCTTAGTAGGAAAGGATAAGTAAATGAGAAGAAAGTATTAAGATAAATTAGAACATATCAAGTAGAAAACATTTTTTAAAAAATATGTAAATTAGAAGTTATATACATAGGAAAATAGGCTACCAACAACCCACATATGGCCAAAACATGTTGCAGAATAAGAGGCCAGAAGAAAGAGGTGGAGAGTCAAGATTGATAGAGTTAATGAGGGAGAGGGAGCAAAGCAAGATGGAGGAATAGAAGCCTGTAACATTTGTCACCCCTCCATGCTGGAATACCAAATTTAAACAACTATCTGCATACAGAAAAGCACCATCTCAAGAACCAAAAATCAGACAGAGTCACTGGACACACCTGGGACCTGGGGATACTCACTTCCCTGAAAGGAAGAGCCTTAGGCAAGGCCCAATGCTATGCTGGTTTCAGGTCTGACCAAGCACAATCCCACTGGTGGTGGCCACAGGGGTGCTTACATCACCACACCCCCAGTTTCAGGTGGCTCAGCACAGAGAGAGAAACTGTTCATTTGGGAGACAGTAATGGAAAAGAACAAGAGTCCCTGCTTGGCAATACAGAGAATTCTTCCAGATCTTGTCCAAGATCAACAAGGTGTTACTTTGGTGCAAAACCATACCATTATTGAGCTTGGAGCCCAAGTCCCTTCAAATAACAGGAAAGCCTTCCCAAGAAGGACAGGCACAAACAAAGCAAGACTGTGAATACAACAATAAATACCTAACTCTTCAATGGCCAGACACTGACAAATATCTACAAGCATCAACCCAATCCAGGAAAACATGACCTCAGCAAATGAACTAAATAAGGCACCAGGAACCAGTCCTGGAAAAACAGATATATGACCTTTCGGACAGAGAATTAAAGATAACTGTGTTGAGGAAACTCAAAGAAATTCAAGCTAATATGGAGAAAAAATTCAGAATTCTATCAGATAATTTTCACAAAGACATCAAAATAATTAAAAAGAATCAAGGAGAAATTTTAAAGTTGAAAAAGGCAAATGACAGTGAAGAATGCATCAGAGTCTCTTAATAGCAGAATTGATCAAGCAGAAATAATTGGTGAGCTTGAAGAGAAGCAAATTCAAAATACACAGAGGAGACAAAAGAAAAAAGAATAAAAAACAATAAAGCATGCCTATAAGATCTAGAAAATAGCCTCAGAATTGTCTAGCTCTGTGTCCCCACCCAAATCTTATCTTGAATTGCAATCTGAATTGTAATCAGGAACTGCATGCAGCCATGCAGAACTGTGAATCAATTAAGCCTCTCTCCTTTAAAAATTATTTAGTCTTGGGTGGTTCTTTATAACATTATGAGAATGGACTAATACAGCCTCAAAGGAAAAAATCTAAGAGTTATTGGCCTTAAAGAGGAGGTAGAGAAAGAGATAAGGGTTGAAAATTTATTCAAAGGGATAATATCAGAGAACTTCCCAAATCTAGAGAAAGGTTTATTTTATCAATATTTAAGTACAATAAAGTTATAAAACACCAAGCAGATTTAACCCAAAGATGACTACCTCAAGACATTTAATAAGCAAACTCCCAAAGGTCAAGGATAAAGAAGGATCCTAAAAGCAGCAACAGTGAAGAAATGAATAACATACAACTGAGCTCCGATACATCTGACAGCAGCTTTTCAAGGGAAACCTTACTGGTCAGGAGAGAATGGCATGACATACTTAAAGTGCTAAAGGGAAAAAAACTGTTACCCTAGAATAGCATATCTACCAAAAATATTATTTAAGCATGAAGGAAAAACAAAGCCCTTCCCAGAAAAACAAAAGCTGAGGGATTTTATCAACACCAAACCTGTCCTACAAGAAATGCTAAAGGACATTCTTCAATTTAAAAGAAAAGGATGTTAATGAGCAGAAGAAATCATCTGAAGGTATAAAACTCACAGGTAATAGTAAGCACACAGAAAAACACAGAATAGTATGACACTGTAATTATAGTGTGTAAACTACACTTAAGTAGAAAGACGAAATGACAAAAAAATAAAAAATAACAACAACTTTTAAAAACATAGACCGTACAATAAGACATAAAGAAATATAACAAAAAGTTAAAAAGTGGGAGGACAAAGTTAAAGTGCAAAGTTTTTCTTTTCTCTTGGCATGTTTGTTTATACAATGACTGTTAAGTTGTCATCAGTTTAAAATAATGGGTTACAAGATAGTATTTACAAGCCTCATAATAATAACTTTAAATTAAAAAACATACAACAGATGCACACACACACAAAAATGAAAAGCAAGAAATGAAAGTATACCACCAGAGAAAATCACTTTCATTTAAAAGAAGAAGGAAGGAAAGAAGGAAGGGAAGGGAAGGGAAGGGGAAAATGAAGGAAAGGAAGGAAAGGAATGAAGGAAGAAAAGAAGAAAACCACAAAACAACCACAAAATAAATAACAAAATGGCAGGAGTAAGTCCTTGCTTTTCAGTAATAACATTGTATGTAAATGGTCTACAGTCTCCAATCAAAAGACAGACTGGCTGAATGGATTACAAAACAAGACCCAGTGATCTGTTGTCTATAAAAAATATTCTTTACCTGAAGAGACACATATAACTGAAAATAAAAAGATGGAAAAAGTTATTTCTTACCACTAGAAACCAAAGAAGAACAGGAGTTACTATACTTATATCACACAAAATAGATTTCCAGCCAAAAACAATAACTAGAGACAAAGAATATCATTATATAATGATAAAGGGATCAATTCAGCAAGAGAATATAACAATTGTAAATATATATGCACCTAACACTGGAGCACCCAGATATATAAAGAAAATATTATTAGAGCTGAAGAGAGAGAGAGAGAGACTCCAATATAGTAATAGCTGGAGATTTCAACACCCCCCTTTCAGTATTGGACAGATATTCCAAATAAAAAATCAACAAAGAAACATCAGACTTAATCTGCACTATAGACCAAATGGATCTAATAGAAAATTACAGAACATTTCATCCAAAGGCAACAGGATACAGATTCTTCTCCTCCACACATGGATTATTCTCAAGGATACACCACATGTTAGGTCACAAAACAAATCTGAAAACATTTAAAAACATTAAAATAATATCAAACATCTTCTCTGATCATAATGAAATAAAACTAGAAATTAATACAAGAGCAATTTTGGAAACCATACAAACACATGGAAATTAAACAATATACTCCTGAATGACCAGTGGGTCAAAGAAGAAATTAAGAAGGAAATTGAAAATTTTTTGGAAACAAATGATAATGGAAACACAACATACCAAAACCTATGAGATACAGCAAAAACCGTACTAAGAGGGAAATTTATATCTATAAGTGCCTACAACAAAAAAGAAAAAAAACTTCAAATAAATACCTAATGATGGATCTTAAAGAACTAATAAAGTACAAACCGAACCCAAAATTAGTAGAAGAAATTATAAAAATCAAAGCAGAAATAAATGAATTTAAAATGAAGAAAACAATACAAAAGATAAATGAAACAAAAAAATATTTTTTTATGATGAACAAAATTGACAAACCTTTAGCCAGACTAATGGAGAAAAAAAGAGAGAAGACCCAAATAAATAAAATTAGACATGAAAAAGGAGACTTTACAACTGATACCACAGAACTTCAAAGGATCATTAGTGGCTACTATGAGCAACTATATGCCAATACAATGGAAATTTTAGAAAAAAAGGATGGATTCTTAGACACATACAATCTACCAAGATTGAACCAGGAAGAAATCCAATACCTGAGCAAACCAATAACAAGTAATGAGATCCAAGCTGTAATAAACAGTCTCCCAGTAAAGAAAAGCCCAGGTCCTGATGCCTTCACTGCTGAATTCTACCAAACATTTAAAAAAGAACTAATACCAATATACTCAAACTGTTCCAAAAAGTAGAGAAGGAATAAACACTTCCAAACTCATTCTGTGAGGCCACTATTACCTTGATACCTGAACCAGACAAAGACAAATCAAAAAAAAAAAAAAAGAAAGAAAAAAGAAAACTACAGGCCAATATCTCTGATGAATATTGATGCAAAATCCTCAACAAAACACTAGAAAACTAATCAACAATACATTTAAAAAGATAATTCAATACAATGGACTCTGGGGACTCAGGGGAAAGAGTTGGTGGGGGGTGAGGGATAAAAGACAATACATCGGGTACAGCGTACACTGTTTGAGTGATGGGTGCACCAAAATCTCAGAAATCATCACTAAAGAACTTATTCATGTATCCAAACACCATCTGTTCCCCCAAAAAAACCTATTGAAATTAAAAAAAAAAATCATTCATCATGACCAAGTGGGGTTTATCCCAAGGATTCATGGATGGTTCAACATATGCAAATCAATCAATGTGATACATCCTATCAACAGAATGAAGGACAAAAATCAGATGGTCATTTCAATTGATGCTGAAAAAGCATTTGATAGAGTCCAACATCCCTTCATGATTAAAAAAAAAACCTGAAAAAACTAGGTATAAAAGGAACATACCTCAATATAATGAAAGCCATATTTGACTGACCCACAACTGGTATCATACTGAATGGGAAAAAAAATGAAAGGCTTTCCTCTAAGATCTGGAACACGAGAAGGATACCCACTTTCATGACTGTTATTCCACATAGTACTGGAAGTCCTAGCTAGAGCAGTCAGACAAGTGAAAGAAAAGTCATTTAAATTGGAAAGGAAGAAGTCAAATTACCCTTGTTTGCAGAAGATATAATCCTGTATTTGGAAAAACCTAAAGACTCCACCAAAAAACTATTAGAACTGATAAATTTAGTAAAGTTGTAGGATACAAAATTAACATACAAAAATCAGTAGCATTTCTATATGCCAACAATGAACAATCTGAAAGAGAAATGAGAAAAGCAATCCCATTTATAATAGCTACAAATAAAATGGAATACCCTGGAGTTAACCAAAGAAGTGAGAGATCTCTACAATGAAAACTATAAAACACTGAGGAAAAAAATTGTAAAGAACACCAAAAAGTGGAAAGCTAATTCATGTTCATAGACTGGAAGAATCGATATTGTTAATATGTCTACACCACTAAAAGCAATCTACAGATTCAACACAATCCCTATCAAAATGCCAATGACAATCATCACAGAAATAGAAAATAATTCTAAAATTTATATGAAACCACAAAAGACCCAGAACAGTCAAATCTATTCTAAGCAAAAAGAAAAAACTAGAAGAATCACATTACCTGATTTCAAATTATACTACAGAACTATAATAACCGAAACAGCATAGTACTAGCATAAAAACAGATACATAGACCAATGGAACAGAATAGAGAACCCAGAAACAAATCCTACAGTTAACTCGTTTTGGACAAAGGTGCCAAGAACATACGCTGGAGAAAAGACAGTCTCTTCAGTAAATAGTGCTAGAAAAACTGGATATCCATATGCAGAAGAATGAGACTAGACCCCTATCTCTCATCACATATAAAAATCAAATAAAATGGATTAAAGACTTACATCTAAGACCTCAGACTATGAAATTACCACAAGAAAACTTAGGCAAACATCTCCAGGATATTGGTCTGGAAAAAAAATATTGAGCAATACCCCACAAGCACAAGCAACCAAAGCAAACATGGACAAATGAGATGATATCAAGTTAAAAACCTTCTGCACAGCAAAGGATACAATCAACAAAGTGAAGAAACGACACACAGAATGGGAGAAAATATTTGCAAACTACTCATCTGACAAGGGATTACTAACAAGAATATATAAGGAGCTCAAACAACTCTGTAGGAAAAAATCTAACAACAAAAAATGGACAAAAGATTTGAACAGACATTTCTCAAAAGAAGACATACAAATGGCAAACAGGCATATGAAAAAGTGCTCAACATCATTGATCAGAATAACGTAAATCAAAACTACAATGAGAGGCCAGACACGGTGGCTCACACCTGTAATCCCAGAACTTTGGGAGGCCAAGGCAGGTGGATCACCTGAGGTCAGAACCTCAAGACCAGCCTGGTCAACATGGTGAAACCCCATCTCTACTAAATATACAAAAAAAAAATTAGTCAGATGTGGTGGCAGGTGCCTGTAATCCCAGCTACTCAGGAGGCTGAGGCAGGAGAATCACTTGAACCTGGGAGGTGGAGATTACAGTGAGCCGAGATCGTGCCTTTGTGCTCCAGCCTGGGCAACAATAGCAAAACTTCATTAAAAAAAAAAAATGCAATGAGATATCATCTCACTCCAGTTAAAATGGCTTATATGCAAAAGACAGGCAATAACAAACACTGACCAGGACGCATAGAAAAAGGAACACTTGTACACTGATTGTGGGAATGTAAATTAGTACAACCACTATGGAGAACAATTTGGAGGTTCCTCAAAAACGTAAAAATAAAGCTATCATACAACTCAGCAATCTCACTGCTGGGTATATACCCAAAAGTGAGGAAATCAGTATATTGGAGAGATATCTGCACTCCCATGTTTGTTGTAGCACTGTTCACAATAGCCAGGATTTGGAGGCAACATAAGTGTCAATCAACAGATGAATGGGTAAAGAAAAATGTCTGTTGTGGTACATATACACAATGAAGTACTATTCAGCCAAAAAAAAAAAAAAAGAGATATTCTGTCCTTTGCAACAACATGGATGGAACTGAAGGTCATCGTGCTAAGTGAAATAAGCCAGGCACAGAAAGACAAATATGTTCTCATTTATTTATGGGATCTAAAAATCAAAACCATTGAACTCATGGAGATGGAGAATAGAAGGATGGTTACCAGAAGCTGGGAAGGGTAGTAGGGAGATGGCAGGAGCAGTAGGGGGAAGTTAATTGGTACAAAAAAAAATATTTAGAATGAACAAGACCTAGTATTTGTTAGCACAACGGGGGGGACCATAGTCAATAATTTAATTGTACATTTTAAAATAACTAAAATATAATTGGATTGTTTGTAATACAAAGGATAAATGCTTGAGTTTATCATCCAATTTTCTATGATGTGATTATTCTGCATTCATGCCTGTGCCAAAATATATCAGTACCCCATAAATATACATGCCTGCTATATACCCACAAGAAAAGAAAAATAAAAATAAGAGTCAATGATGGCTTCTGCTTAAAGAAGCCCCTTTGCCCCTCTCAAAACTCTACTAAAGTGATCATGAATGGATTTGTAAAGGCACAATCCCACAAAATGGAAGGAGTGACTAAATACATACACTATATACATATGTGCATACATACATATAAAAGCTGAGAAGCAGATAGAAAAATATGGAAACCAACAGATCCAAGAGTGCTGAAATATGCCAGGAAAAGGCAAGCTCATCTGTACTGAAGAACCCCAAATGGGTCAGGAATTTCAGAGCACCAAGTAGTTCTGAAAGAGGAGGTATAGGTAGTGCTGAAAGCAGAAGGACTGATTGAAAGTCAGTTTAATATGTAGTCAGTGGTCCCAGCTAAGGGAGGGCTGGAAGTTGATGCTCTAGTGAGGTTCGACCATCAAAACCAAGTGCCCCTCTATGTCCTTAGAACCACCAGAGTGGAGGGAAGGGTCAGCAAGTGAGGCCCAACTTCAACAGTGCCACTAGGATGTCTTTTATATATGGAAGCACCATGTAAAATATTGTGTGAAGAAAGATACTGTCATTGAGGATAAATATTTCTCTCTAGGCCACGATCTTACACCATCACAGATGGAGGGTATTGGGCAGGCCTGCCATCTGGCACTTAAATATCTTACTGAGTAATCAGGCAAATATGTGAGGGTTCTGGCCTTAATTAAAAACATCAGAAAGATGTTAAAATAAGAGCACGAATCTGGGAATGTCAGCCAAAAGCCTAAAGATAAAAATTCCCCATTTTGTCTTAAAGTTAAAAATAAGAGTTAATTTTGGAGACAAATCTACCTAGGGTTATTCTTTTTCCATCCCCTGTTCTGACTCATCCTGTTGCCTAATGATCCTTTCTGGGTGCTTTTGACACAGAAAGGGAAGTTTGAAAATGCGTAGAAGGAAGGAGAGGATTTCAAGTTTAATCGTAAGCCTAACCTGAGTTTTTGCACATTATTCACAGTATTTAACTGCCTGGATTCAGAAGCCAGAGTTTTAGCCTCAATGCTGACATTTACAATCCAGGTAAAATTAGGCAATTTTACCTCCCAGGGCCTTGGTTTTCTTGACTATAAGAAGATGAGAATAACAATGCCCACATCAAAGTTAGGATTAAAATTAATTTGTTGACATTAGTGTTGAAGTTAAGATTTAATAAGATAATGAGCAATAAAAGGTTTTAACATGACATCTGGGATGTAGTAAACACTAGTTACATTTATTGTTTTTCAAGGAATCACAAACTGTAGAAGGAAAACAAGCTATTAAAGAGCATCAGTGGTTAGGGTTCCTAAAGGAATAGAAAGGAATGAGTTGGACATTTAAGATATAGTTGATTTTTGTCTGCACCGTAAATGAAAATTGCCTTCAATATATTCTGTTTTGTCTTAAGAAAATCTACAAACCTATACCTTATGGACTAAATCAACATGGCTCAGTCTGCACCAGACTTTTTACTTCATTCTGGACCCAATTCTTCTGTAAGGGTGGCTCCTTTTGTGAGAGTAGACAGCTGGAGGTAGGAGGCTGATGCTCTAGGGAGGGTTTAATCCCATTATTTTTCTACCAAGATCAGCTCTTGGTAGAGACAATGTGGCCCCCTCATTAATCAATAAAAGCAGTGCTGAACTCCACCATGGTTAGAGCTCCAGCTTGAAAATATTGTTTGCCTTACACCGCATGTTCTCACTCATAGGTGGGAATTGAACAATGAGAACACATGGACACAGGAAGGGGAACATCACACACCAGAGCCTGTTGTGGGGTGGGTGGAGGGGGGAGGGATAGCATTAGGAGATATACCTAATGTTAAATGACGACTTAATGGTGCAGCACATCAACATGGCACATGTATACATATGTAACTAACCTGCACGTTGTGCACATGTACCCTAAAACTTAAAGTATAATAAAAAACAAACAAACAAACAAAAACAAAAAAAAGTAAAAAAAAAAAGAAAAGAAAATATTGTTTGCCTTGCTCCTAACATCATCACAAAGACCTCAGGAAATCCAAACATCACGACTCCTACTCCTGTGGTTTTTCTTTCCAAATACCCCCCAGTATTCTTTCTCTCCCTGGTGTTATATACACAATTCCCATGAACTGGAGCTGGACCTAACAGTATCTAGTGAGTATAGGAAGACTAGCATTAAAGCAGATGACAATGCTCCATGTCATTAGGGACCAAAGCTGGTAAAACAGTAGTTCTTGAAGTGTGGTCCCTAGTATCACCTGGCAACTTGCTAGAAATGCAAACTCTGGGACCCCACTCAAGACATGTTGAATAAGGATTTCAGGTGGAGCCCAGCAATCTGGTTTTTTAATTTTTTTTTCTTATTTTTGCCTTGACAAATTAAAATTGTACATATTTATATGTACAACATTATGTTTTGAAACGTCTATACATTATAGAATGGCTAAATTGGCCTCACATATCATTTTTTGTGGTAAGAACACCTATAAGTCTACTCTCCATGATTTTCACATATATAATACATTGATATTAACTATAGTAACCATGTTGTGTATTACATCTCTTTGACTTATTCCTCCTAACTGAAATTTTATGTTCTTTCACAAACACCTCCCAGTCTGTATCCTCCCTGCCCCTGATCCTGGTAACAACCATTCTACTCTAATTCATCTTTTTTTAGATTCTACCTATAAGTGAGATTATAAAGTATTATTGTCTTTCTGAGCCTGGCTTATTTCACTTAACATAATGTCCTCCAAGTTCATCCATGTTGTTGCAAATGAGAGGATTTTTTTAAGGCTGAATAATATTTCATTGTCTATATACCACATTCTCTTTATCCATTCATTGCTAAACACTTAATTTGATTCTGTAACTTGGCTATTGTAAATAATGCTTCAGTGAACATGGGAGTGCAGCTATCCCATCCCATGCTGCTTTCATTACCTTTGGATATATACTTAGTAATGGAATTGCTGCGTTGTATGGTAGTTCTATTTTTAATTTTTTGAGGAAACTTCCTACCATTTTCCATAATGGCTATACAAATTTACATTTCCACCAACAGTGTACAAGGGTTTCCTTTTCTCCACAACTTTGCCAACAATTGTTATCTTTCACTTTTACTGTCAATTAATTTTTGGCAAGGATACCAAGAACACAATGGGGAGACAAGGGTCTCTGCAATAAATGTTGTTAGGAGAGCTGAATATCCTCAGGCAGAAGAATGAAATTAGACCCTTATCTCACATCATATACAAAAAACAACTGAAAATGGGTTACAGATTTAAACATAAGACCCAAAACTGTAAAACTATTAGAAGGAAACACAGGAGAAAAGCTAAGTTCCGTAACATTGGTCTGGGAAAAATGTGCTCCCAAAAGCATAGGCAAAAAAAGTGAAAATAAACAAATGTATTACATCAAGCCAAAAAGCTTCTCCACAGTGGAGAAAAATAGAGTGAAGAAACAACCTACAGAATGGGAGAAAATATTTCCAAATCATACATCTGATAAGGAGTTAATGTCCAAAATATATAAAGAGCTCAAACAACTCAATAGCAAGAAAACAAATAACCTGATTAGAATATGGACAAAGGACCTCAACAGACATTTCTCAAAAGAAGACATACAAATACAAAACAGGTGTATGAAAAGATGGTCAACATCACTAATATCAAGCAAATGAAAATTAAAACCATGATGAGCTGTCACTTCACACCTATTAGAATGGCTGTTATCAAAATTTCTAAGAATAGATTTTAAATATTCTTACCATAAAGAAATAAGTCTGTAAGGGGATGGATATGTTAATTTGCTTGATTTAATCATTCCACAATGTATACATGTATCATAACATCATATTGTACTCTATAAATATATACAATTATTGTCAGTTAAAAATATAATTTTTTAAAAAAACTGTTTTAACAAGCCCTTCAGGTGATTTTAATGAATGCTTTCCCTTGAAAGCAACTTAAATAAAACAAATGTTTTTAATAGCAACTGAAAGGACTTAGGTAAGATAAAATGGAAGCTTTTGTCAAAGAGCTAATAGCACTTGACAGTGTTAAATGCTAAATTGTAAAGACGTAAGAGCTACTACAGAAAAGCCTTCTGTAATTACTTTTCAGTGTTTATCTCCCCCACTCAGCTATGAACTTTAAGAGATCAAGAACTACATCTGTCTTGTTCTTTGTTTTATTTCTTCTTAAAAAAAAAATACACGTGCAGAATATGCAGGTTTTTTATGTAGGTATATGTGTCCCATTGGTGGTTTTGCTGCACCTATTGACCCATCTTCTAAGTTCCCTCCCCTAGCCCCCCACCCCCCAACAGGCCCTGATGTGTGTTGTTCCTCTCTGCGTCGATGTGTTCTCATTGTTCAACTCTCACTTATGAGCAAGAACACGTGGTGTTTGATTTTCTGCTCCTGCATTAGTTTGCTAAGGATGATGGCTTCCAGCTTCATCCGTGTCCCTGCAAAGGACATGATCTCTTTCCTTTTTTATGAGTGCATAGTATTCAGTGGTGTATATGTGCCACATTTTCTTTATCCAGTCTATTCTTAATGGACGTTTGGGTTGGTTCCATGTCTTTGCTATTGTAAATAGCTCTGCAATAAACATACATGTGCATGTGTCTTTATAGGAAAGTGATTTATATTCCTTTGGGTATATACCTAGTAATGGGATTGCTAGGTCAAATGGTATTTCTTGTTCTAGATCCTTGAGGAATCACCATACTGTCTTCCACAATGGCTGAACTAATTTACATTCCCAATATTGTAAAAGTATTCCTATTTCTCCACAGCCTCGCCAGCATCTATTGTTTCTCGACTTTTTAATAATCACCATTCTGACTGGCATGTGATGGTATCTCATTATAATTTTGATTTGCATTTCTCTGATGATCAGTGATGTTAAGCTTTTTTCATGTTTGTTGGCTATGTAAATGTCTTCTTTTGAAAAATGTCTGTTCACATCCTTTGCCCACTTTGTGATGGGGTTTTTTTCTTGTAAATTTGTTCATGTTCCTTGTAAATTGTGGATATTAGGCCTTTGTCAGATGGGTAGATTGAAAAAATTTTCTCCCATTCTGTAGGTTGCCTGTTCACTCTGATGATAGTTTCTTTTGCTGTGCAGAGCTCTTTAGTTTAATAAATCATTTGTCAATTTTGGTTTTAGTTGCAATTTCTTTTGGCATTTTTTTCATGAAGTCTTGGCCCATGCCAATGTCCTGAATGGGATTGCATAGGTTTTCTTCTAGGGTTTTTACGGTTTGTGGTTTTACATTTAACTCTTTAATCCATCTCAAGATAATTTTTGTATAAGGTATAAAGACAGGGGCCAGTTTCAGTTTTCTGCATATGGCTAGCTCGTTTTCCCAGCACCATTTATTGAATAGAGATCCTTAACCCATTGCTTGTTTTTCTCAGGTTTGTCAAAGATCAGATGGTTGTAGATGTGTGGTGTTATTTCTGAGGTCTCTGTTCTGTTCCATTGGTCTATATGTCTATTTTGGTACCAGTATCATGCTGTTTTGGTTATTGTAGCCTTGTGTATAGTTTGAAGTCAGGTAGTGTGATGCCTCCAGCTTTGTTCTTTTTGCTTAGGATTGTCTCATCTATACAGGGTCTTCTTTGATTCCATATGAAATTTAAAGTTTTTCTAATTTAAAGAATTAGAATTTTTCTAATTATGTGAAGAATGTCAATGGTAGTTTGATGGGAATAGCATTGAATCTATAAATTACCTTGGGCAGTATGGCCATTTTCATGATACTGATTTTCCTATCCATGAGCATGAAGTGATTTTCCATTTGTTTGTGTCCTCTCTTATTTCCTTGAGCAGTGGTTTGTAGTTCTCCTTGAAGGGGTCCTTCATATCCCTCGTAAGTTGTATTCCTAGGTATTTTATTCTCTTTGTAGCAATGGTGAATGAGAGTTCACTCATGATTTGGCTCTTTGCTTGCCTATTGTTGGTGTAAAGAAATGCTTGTGATTTTTGTACATTGATTTTGTATCTTGAGATTGCTGAAGTTGCTTATCAGTTTAAAGAGTTTTGGGGCTGAGGTGATGGGGGTTTCTAAATATAAAATCATGTTGTCTACTGAGAGAGATAATTTGACTTCCTCTCTTCCTACTTGAATACGCTTTATTTCTTTCTTTTTCCTGATTGTCCTGGCCAGAACTTCCAGTACTATGTTGAATAAGAGTGGTGAGAGAGGGCATCTTTGTCTTGCACCAGTTTTCAAAGGGAATGCTTCCAGCTTTTGCCCATTCAATATGATATCGGCTGTGGGTTTGTCATAAACAGCTCTTATTATTTTGAGATATATTCTATCAATACCTAGTTTATTGAGAGTTTTTAACAGGATGGGATGTTCAATTTTATCAAAGCCCTTTTCTGTATCTATCGAGAGAGTCATGTGGTTTTTGTCTTTGGTTCTGTTTATGTGATGGATTATGTTTCTGATTTGCATATGTTGAACCAGCCTTGCATCCCAGGGATGAAGCCGACTTGATTGTGGTGGATAAGTTTTTTGATGTGCTGCTGTATTTGATTTGCCAGTATTTTATTGAGGATTTTCGCATCGATGTTCATCAGGAATCTTAGCCTGAAGTTTTATTTTTTTGTTGTGTCTCTTCCCAGTTTCGGTATCAAGATAATGCTGGCTTCATAAAAGGAGTTAGAGAGAAGTCCCTTTCTTTTCAGTTGTTTGGAATAATTTCAGAAAGAATGGTACCAGCTCCTCTTTGTACTTCTGATAGAATTCAGCTGTGAATCCATCTGGTCCTGGGCCTTTTTTGGTTGGTAGGTGATATGGTTTGGCACCACCCAAATCTCAACCTGAATTGTATCTCCCAAAATTCCCACATGTTATGGGAGGGACTCAGGCGGGAGGTAACTGAATCATGGGGACCAGTTTTTCCCATGCTATTCTTGTGATACTGAATAAGTCTCACGAGATCTGATGGGTTTATCAGGGGTTTCTGCTTTTGCTTCTTCCTCATTTTTTCTTGCTGCCACCATGTAAGAAGTGCCTTTCCCCTCCTGCCATGATTTTGAGGCCTCCCCAGCCAGGTGGAACTGTAAGTTCAATGAAATCTCTTTTTCTTCCCAGTCTCAGGTCTGTTTTTATCAGCAGCATGAAAACAGATTAATACAGTAGGTCATTAATTGCTGCATCAATTTCAGAACTTGTTATTGGTCTATTCAAGGATTCGACCTCTTCCTGGTTTAGTCTTGGGAGGGCATATGTGTCCAGGAATTTATCCATTTCTTCTAGATTTTCTAGTTTATTTGCATAGAGGTGTTTATAGTATTCTCTGATGGTAGTTTGTATTTCTGTTGGATCAGTGGTGATACTCACTTTATCATTTTTTACTGTGTCTGTTTGATTCTTCTCTCTTTTCTTATTAGTCTAGCTAGCAGTCTATCTATTTTGTTAATTTTTTCAGAAAACCTAGATTCATTGATTTTTTTGCAGGGTTTTTCATGTCTCTATCTCTTTCAATTCTGCTCTAATCTTAGTTATTTCTTGTCTTCTGCTAGCTTTTGAATTAATTTACTCTTGTCTCTCTCTTTTAATTGTGATGTTATGTTATCAATTTGAGGTCTTTCCAGCTTCCTGATGTGGGCATTTAGTGCTACATATTTCTTAACACTGCTTTAGCTGTGTCCCAGAGATTCTTGTACATTTTCTGTTTGTTTTTATTGGTTTCAAAGAATTTCTTGATTTCTATCTTAATTTCATTATTTACCCATGAGTCATTCAGGAGCAGGTTGTTCAATTTCCATGTAATTATTTGGTTTTGAGTGTGTTTCTTAATCCTGAGTTCTAATTTGATTGCACTTTGGTCTGAGAGACTGTTTATTATGATTTCTGTTCTTTTCATTTGCTGAGGAGTGTTTTACTTCCAATTACATGGCTGATTTTATAACTGCCATTGGCACTGAGAAGACGTATATTCTGTTGACTTGGGGTGGAGAGTTCTGTAGATATCTATTAGGTCCATATGATCCAGAGCTGAGTTCAAGTCCTGAATATCCTTGTTAACTTTCTGTCTCGTTGATCTAATGTTGACATTGGAGTATTAAAGCCTCCCACTATTATTGTGTTGGAGCCTAAGTCTCTTTGTAGGTCTCTAAGAACTTGTTTTATAAATCTGAGTGTTCCTGCATTGGGCACGTATACGTTTAGAATAGTTAGCTCTTGTTGTTGAATTGTTCCCCTTACTATTAGGTAATGCCCTTCTTTGTCTCTTTTGATCTTTGTTGGTTTAAAATCTGTTTTGTCAGAGACTAGGATTGCAACCCCTGCTTTTTTTTTTTTTTTTTTTTTTTGCTTTCCATTTGCTTGGTAAATTTTCCTCCATCCCTTTATTTTGAGCCTATGTGTGTCTCTGCATGTGAGCATGTGAAATGGGTCTCCTGAATACAGCACACTAATGAGTCAGGACTCTTAATCCAATTTGCCAATTGGTGTCTTTTAATTGGGGCATTTAGCCCATTTACATTTAAGATTAGTATTGTTATATGTGAATTTGTTCCTATCATCATGATGCTATTTGGTTTTTTGTGCACTAATTGATACAGTTTCTTCATAGTGTCATTGGTCTTTATATTTTGGTGTGTTTTTGCAGTGGCTGGTACTGGGTTTTCCTTTCCATAGTTAGTGCTTCTTTCAGGGGCACTTGCAAGGCAGGCCTGGTGGTAATGAAATCCCTCAGCATTTGCTTGTCTGGAAAGGATTTTATTTCTCTGCTTATGAAGCTTAGCTTGGCTGGATATGATATTCTGGGTTGAAAATTCCTTTCTTTAAGGATGTTGAATATTGGCCCCCAATTTCTTCTGGCTTGTAGAGCCTCTGTTAAGATGTCTATTGTTAGCCTGATGGGCTTCCCTTTGTAGGTAACCTAGCCTTTCTCTCTGGCTGCCCTTAACACTTTTTCCTTCATTTTGACCTTGGAGAATCTGACGATTATGAGCCTTGGGGTTGATCTTCTCATGGAGTATCTTAGTTATGTTCTCTGTACTTCCTTAATTTTTATGTTGGCCTGTTTTGTTAGGTTGGGGAAGTTCTCCTGGATAATATCCTGAAATGCGTTTTGCAGCTCTTTTCTATTCTCCCCATCTCCTTCAGGTACTCCAATCAATTGTAGGTTCAGTCTTTTTATGAAATCCCAAATTTCTTGGTACCTTTTTTCAGTCCTTTTTGTTCTTTTTTCTCTAGTCTTGTCTGCATGCCTTATTTCAGCAAGGTATCTTCAAATTCAAATGCCTTCTTCCACTTGGTCAATTTAGCTATTGATACTTGTGTATGCTTCAAGAAGTTCTTGTGCTGTGTTTTTCTGCTCCATCAAGTCATTTATGTTCCTCTCTAAACTGAATATTCTACTTAGCAGCTCCTCTAACCTTTTATCAAGGTTCTTAGCTTCTTTGTGTTGGGTTAGAACATGCTCCTTTAGCTCAGAGTAGTTTTTTATTATCCATCTTCTGAAGCCTACTTCTGTCAATTCATCCATCTCATCCTTTGTCCAGTTCTGTGCCCTTGCTGGAGAGATGCTGTGATCATTTGGAGGAGAAGAGGCACTCTGGGCTTTTGGGTTTTCAGCGTTTTTCCATTGATTCTTTCTCATCTTCGTGAGTTTGTCTAGTTTGGATCTTTGAGGCTGCTGACTCTTGGATGCGGTTTTTGTGGGGGCTTTTCATTGTTGTTGATGCTTTCTACTTGTTTGTTTTTCTTTCAATGGTCAGGTTCCTCTTCTGTAGGGCTGCTGCAGTTTTCTGGGGGGTTCATTTCAGGCCTTATTCATCTGGTTTGCTCCCGCACCTGGAGATGTCACTCAAGGAGGCTGGAAAACAGCAAAGAGGGGTGCCTGCTCCTTCTTCTGGGATCTCTGACCTCAAGGGGCATCAACCTGATGCCAGTAGGACCACTCCTGTATAGGGTCTCTGCCAACCCCTGTTGGAGGGTCTCACCCAGTTGGGTGGCATGGGGAATGGGACCGTTTAATGAAGCACTTTGTCCCTTGGTGGATGGGGTGTGCTTCACTGGAGGAAAACCTACTCATCTGGGCTGCCTGGATTCCTCAGAACTACCAGGAGGAAAGGCTGAGTCTGTTGGTCCACAGAGACTGCAGCCACCCTTCCCCGTAGGGGCTCAGGCCCAGGGAGATCTGGGTTCTGTACCTGAGCCTCTGGCTGGAGTTATTGGAGTTCCTGCCTGGAAGCCCCACCCAATGAGGAAGGATGGGTCAGAATCAGGCCTGAAAAGGCACTCTGGCCAGTCTGCCCCAGCTGATATGTTGGGCTGTGGGGGACACATCTTGGGACCAAGCCATCCAGCCTCCCTGGCTCTAGCAGGGGAAAAGCACAGCCTGGAGCTATGGAGATGGATATCACCTTTCCCCCACCCAGGGATTCTAGTGTGTTAGGCAGTTGTGAGTCCCAGTGCTGGCTGCTGCCTCTCCACCAAAGAATGCAAATGGCTTAGACAGCAGGTAGCCACAGCCGCAGCTGTGGTGCTGGTCACCCACTCCTCCCAGGAGCTCGGTAGGCTTAAGCAGATTCCAGCTGAAAGGCTGTTGAGAATCTGCATGGTTCCAGGGTTGGGACACTAGGCCCCGGTGGCATGAGTTCACAAGTGGAATCTTCTGATCCATGGGTTACACAGTTCCATGGAAAAAAGCATGGTTTCCCTGGCTGGGGAGCATGCTCACTCACTGCCTTCCTCTCTGTGGATCACGCCAGCCTCCTACTCAGTGCTGATGAGAGAACCTAAATACTTTGGTTGACAGTGAAGGAGTCACATGCTTATTATGGTTCTTTTCAATGGGAGCCTCTGAACACCACTGTTTCTAGCCAGCCATCTTGGCCCCACTACCCTGTCTTGTTCTTAGTGCAAAGATGTAACAATCAATGTAGGCTCCGTTGTGCTACAGTAACAAAACTATCCTAAAATTCAGTCTTTAAATAACAAAAGTTTATTTCTCACTAACATTACACATCCTTCAAAGATGGGTGAGACTTTGCCCCATGTCATTCTTTCTGCCAGAGAGGCCACCATTGTGAACAATGCTGTTGTGGCTTTTAACTGAGCAATGGAACCTGTCACCTCAGCTCCCATTTCATTGACCAAAGCAAATGGCCAGACTGAGTTCAACCGGACAGGTTAATATAGCCCTCCTATTTACCTACAAGGAGAGAACTAATATCTGTAAACAGCTAATAGGTTCACAAGAAGTATCAGCTCCTCTGAGGTGGGTATGCTCACTTTGCAGGTAAGAAAACAAACATAGAGAGAGGTTAGGTAATTTGCCTAAAGTTCTTCGGCACATAATTATAAGTGCTGGATTTCTATTTGTCTGATTCCCAAGTTTGTGCTTAGAAGCACCATGCCTCACTGTTAGAAATAGAGACCATGGGAAGGGGAAATGGTTTTCCAAGAGATTAGTTAAGCTTTAAATGGTTGTGGAACTTTGAAGTGGAAATCTCCCAGGGCAACTCAAAATGTGGAACTAGTGTAGAAGAGAGACAAGAGAACTAGAGGTGCATATTGATTTGGAATTTCTAAATCAGAACATTCAGTGAAATATTTGTGTGACTTTTTTTCTCTAAAGACAGAAGAAAATGGGAAAAAACAGTCTTCAGGGATATCAACAGATTGGCAGAGAGAGAAAAAGAGCTAATAAGAAAGTTGTAAAAGAAAGAACACTGAAGAGGAAAGGCCTTTAGGAGGAGTATAAGGTCAGGAATACCTGTTACAACAGGAAGTCGGAAAGTGATAATACAAGTTTTTTAAAAAGCCATTCTATTTGTATAGGAAGAATTCTGGGTGTCCTCTAAGGGAAACAGTTCATAAAGTAGTGAAATGAGTAACTTCAAATTTCTAGGGCCAGAAAAAGAAAAAAACTGTGGGCATGAGACACAAGATTGAAGTATTTAGTAGCAGAAAGACTCATAGAAAAAAAATTATGATGGATTAAATGTCAGGGCTGTGGTTTCAGTTTGCGAAGAAAAATGTACAAATGTTTAGAGGCAAGAGGATAAGAGAGATTGAAAATCAGAGTAAGAGAGACAGAGGCACACAGACAGACTACAAGAACATTATAGAGCTGGAATCAACGGGGTCCACGGTGCAGGGGCAGACTGCAATTATGACCTCAATAGACATCAGGCCTTTTCTGCCTCTGAGACAGGGAAAGTGTGAGAGTATCATGGGAGGAAAATTGCTGATGGGAGATAAAGTCCAGGGCTCTTAGAATGCACAATTGATTACTATATCTTACAACAGGTCAAGCCCAAAATCACAAAAGATAGCATCTTCCCATGTCCAGATGGACTGCTCTATATGCCTGGTCCTCACCTGGGTAAGAATCTCCTGGGAGTTTTCCCTCTATGAACCATTTTTCTTTTCTTTTCCTCATTTGAAGCATTATACCTGGTTTGGGAAATTGATCACACCTGTGGTAGATACTGCACTTGATCACCCAACATCCATATTTCTTATCTTCCTTATTAAATTGCCCAAGTTTTTTCAAAGTGGCAATAACCCACATAAATTATTTCCTTCTCAACTTCCTTTACCTTTTTAGCCAAAGAGACATCAGATGCATCCCGTAGTTGGAATATGAGGGAGGGAACCCTTGGGACCCCATGTTAGGGTTGGGAACTTCAGGGCATCACCGTGTATGACTTTCATATGAAGAAAGTCATAATGCAAGGAAGTGGGAGATCACTGATTGAATGCACCTGTCTGTGGACAGCTCTGAGCAGCAGCATCCTTGTTACTGATTCTTTTTCTTGCCTGATCTGCAGGTGACATTTTGTGACCAGAAGAGAAAGGCCAAGAGAAACGAACATCAGCTTCTCTAACCTATTTATAGCCAGGATGATAGAATCACAAGATTTTCAAGGTTTACAGGTGATGGGCTGCTCTCAAAAGGAGCTTTGTTGTGAAAACGTACCAAAAGAAAATGGATGAGTGATTCTCCAGTACGTTGCTTTTCAATCCTATGACATCCTCACCTCTGCCCTATGGGTAGATTCTTTGATGTCTGAAAAGTTTCTGTACATAAAGAGGAACATTCATTACTATTGTTTAATGCCCCATTTGTTAACTGTGTGACTTTATTAAAAAATTATTTTTGAAGGAGTAAACCATCACTATTTTAAGTATTCACATAGTACTTTCAAAACTAATAAATATAGACTTGGAATAAAACAAATTAGATTTACTAAAACTTACTTGTTGGTCACAAACATTTTTAATAGTATGCCCCAAATGCATGGAATCAACCTATATGCCCACTGCTGACAGACTAGATAAAGAAAATGTGGTACATATACATCATGGAATATTATGCAGACGTGAAAAAAAAACAAGATTATGTCCTTTCCAGGGACATGGATGGAGCTGGAGGCCATTATCCTTATCACCTAATGCAGGAACAGAAAACCAAATACCACATGTTCTCACTTATAAGTGGGAGCTAAATGATGAGAACACATGGACACACTGAGAGGAAAAAAGCACACTGGGGCCTATTGTAAGGTGGAGGGTGGGAGGAGGGAGAGGATCAGGAAAAATAACTAATGGGTATGAGGCTTAACACCTGGGTGATTAAATAATCTGTACAACAAACTCCCATGACACAAGTTTACCTATGTAACAAACTTGCACATGTACCTTGAACTTAAAAGTTTTAAAAAGTCCTAATTTAAAGTATTATTCTAATATTTTACATTTTCTGAAAAATCAGACAAAATACAAAAATAAATGCTTTAAATCTCTATTATACTTTCATTTTAAACCAGTTATAAAGGTACTGAAATCAAGATAAATTTTATCATATGTACTTATGCTTCTTCCTTTCTAGGATTTTTATGTATTATCAAGGTTTCTCAAGGCTGAAGTAGTTTTACTAGTGACAAAAGCAAAAGAATACCACCTTAGACCAGCTGAAATGACAAGTCGTAGAATTTTGAAACTGATAAATCTTGGTTGGCCAAGAATCCTGATTGTGTAAACCTTTGTGATTTAAACCCAAGCCTTGGGGCATTAGACTGAGCTTTCTTTTATAATAAAGTTTTATGCATTACATCAAGGGACTTTTATGTCTCTGCCTTTCAGATAGGTTTTAAACTTTTGAAACATGTTGTATTCCCAGAAATATGTTATTTATCCTTGGCATGGCTGACATTTCTTAACACATAGGTATAAAATATCTGCATGTATGTATTAATTAGAAGCTTATGTAATCAGTAAAAATTAAATATATCCCACAATGTTCACCTTTTTTATTAAAGCTAAATTTTGTATACTTCCATTAACTTTTTATTTGAATATCTGAATGACCTCATAGCTTTTATAGTCATAATTATTCTCTTTTTGATGCTTAAATTTTCTCAATTTAGCCAGTATGAATCCCTTTAAATCAGTTTCTTTATACTTTTTACACTGCCTTGAATATCTTTGAGAAAGTGAATATCAGCCCTCCTAGCTGGCTATCAAGCTATGATAAACAGTCTCCAACAAGCATAGTCAAAGCTGTAATTCAGCTAGAGGAAAAAATATATCTGAGTGATTTTTGCTTTCTTACCAATGACATCCCAGCCTAGCCTCACTCCTACCAAATTTTGTAGAAAGATTACTAGATACTCAATTGCCAAACTGCTCCTACCTTCTTGACATTACCCAATCCAGAGATGGTCCCTGCTTCTTCAATCTCTTCCTAAAATTACTCAACATAAGCAAAAATCTTATAATAAGGTCTTCTCAATTACCTATTTCCCTGACACCACAAAATTCCCCTGGAGTGTGTTCTTCCTTGCAAGCTAAAAAAAAAAAAAAAAAATCTAAACATGTTCCTGATGGTCTTTGACTAGTGGTCTTTCACACTTTGAAATAATCCTCGCTTTCTAATAGCAGAAAGACATTTCAGACCCATCCTCAGTTTTCCTGATTAAAATATGGCTATCAGTTGTCCTTTATTTTAGTTGAGAGATGAAAATAAAAAATAAAAATGTGGGCACTAGAGTTGAGCATGAGAGTTAGTGATGATTAAAATTGCTGCTGCTGCTGCTGTAACTATTGATGTCATTGAGCTACTTTTTAAGGAGGAGTATCTATTTGTTTAAGATTACATCAAACACCCACATCTAGCCTATTTTCACATCAGTCATTCCAATCTGGCCTATTTTCTTGCTGTACCCAATATTCTTTTAGTGCATCATTTTATTAAGTAAGACTTCCTTTGACATGGACTTTTGGAGGTTTGAGATTCACCCACTGTCCTGCATTTCAAGTTCTCACAAATTAAGAAAAACAGGGAGACAAATTACACTCTTTATTTAAAAACAAAAACATTACAGAACATATATCTGTGGACAAAACGGAGGCTTTCATCTCTTTTTCTATGCCTTGAATTGAATCACACTTGTTAAGTACATGGAAGATTTCATAATAGCCAAGAGGTCCTAACCTGTTGTTCCTAACATACAAGAAGAGAAAATGAAGAAGGTGGTGGAGAGGAGAGAAAGTGAGGAGGGAAGGAAGAAAAGAGGAAGAATGGGAGGAAGTAAAAGGAAAGCAAGAACAATGGAGGGCTGTTTACTTGTACATAAAGAGGGGCAATGATAACTACCTGATTGGGTTGTCATTGAAACCAACTCAGACACTGTCTGTAAAGTGCAAGGTATATATAAATCCTCATAAATGACAGCTGATATGGCCATTTATCATTCATTTTGATCATTTATCCGAACATAGTTATGCTTTACTCTTAGGGTCAATTTCTAGAAATAGAAATTGGGGATTCTGAACACAAAATTATATAGCTTAAATTTTAACAGCACTTCAGAAAAAAACTGTCAATGTTTTTAAACTTTTCCAATCTGATAGATAAAAATAAGTCATTATTTTTATTATCACTTCTTTTCTGAATTTAATAATGTTATGAAAGTTATTTATAAACATAATTTAAAGAGTCAAATAGGAGGGGCTGGTCAAGATGGTTGACTAGAAGCAGTTAGCATGTGCTAGTCTCATGAAGAGAAATAGAAGGGACAAGTAAATACAGCACCTTCATCTTTGAGTACAGGAGATGCTGGCAAGATGGCTGAATAGGAACAGCTCTGGTCTGCAGCCTCAGCGAGATGGATGCAGGTGGGTGATTTCTGTATTTCCAACTGAGGTACCTGGTCCATCTCATTGAAGCTGGTTGAACAGTGGGTGCAGCCCACGGAAGGTGAGTGGAAGCAGGGAGGAGCATTGCCTCACCCAGGAATTGCAAGGGGTCAGGGAATTCATTCCCCTAGCCAACGGAAGCTGTGAGAAACTGTATTGGGAAAAATGGTGAACTCCAGCCCAAATACTGCGCTTTTCTCACAGTCTTCGCAACAAATAGACCAGGAGATTCCCTCCAGTGCCTATGCCACCAGGGTCCTGGGTTTCAAGTACAAAACTGGGTGGCCATTTGGGCTGACACTGAACTACCTGCAGGAGTTTTTTTGTTTCCATACCCCAGTGGTGCCTGGAACACCAGAGAGACAGAACCCTTCACTCCCCTGGAAAGGGGGCTGAGCCAGGGAGCCAAGTGGTCTGGCTTGGCGGGTCCCACCCCCATGGAGTCCAGCAAACTAAGATGCACTGGCTTGAAATTCTTGCTGCCAGCACAGCAGCAGTCTGAGATCCACCTGGGATGCTGGAGCTTTGTGGGGGAAGGGGCGTCCACCATTGCTGAGGCTTGAGTAGGCAGTTTTATCCTCACAGTGTAAACAAAGCCCCTGGGAACTTCAAACTTGGTGGAGCCCACCACAGCTCAGTAAGGCTGCTGTGGCCAGACTGCCAGATTTCTCCTCTCTGGGCAGGGCATCTCTGAAAAAAAGGCAGCAGCCCCAGTCAGGAACTTATAGAGAAAACCCGCAACCCTCTGGGACAGAGCACCTGGGGGAAGTGGCGGCTGCGGGTGCAGCTTAGCAGAATTAAGTGTCCCTACCTGACAGCTCTGAAGAGTGTAGCAGACCTCCTAGCTCAGCGTTTGAGCTCTGCTAAGGGTCAGACTGCCTCCTAAAGTGGGTCCCTGACCCCCGTGTATCCTGACTGGGAGACACCTCCCAGTAGGGGCTGAAAGACACCTCATACAGAAGAGCTCTGGCTGCCATCTGGCGGGTGTCCCTCTGGGACGAAGCCCCTCTGGGACAAAGAGGAAAGAACAGGCAGCAATCATTGCTGTTTTGCAGCCTTTGCTGGTGATACCCAGGAAAACAGGGTCTGGAGTGAACCTCCAGCAAACTCCAGCAGACCTGCAGCAGAGGGGCCTGACTGCTAGAAGGAAAACTAACAAACAGACAGAAATAGCACGTCCACTCAGAGACCTCATCTGAAGGTCATCAACATCAAAGACCAAAGACAGATAAATCCACAAAGATGGGGAGAAACCAGTGCAAAAATGCTGAAAATTCCAAAAAAACACAACACCTCTTCTCCTCCAAAGGACCACAACTCCTCACCAGCAAGGGACCAAACTGGATGGAGAATGAGTTTGACGAATTGACAGAAGTAGGCTTCAGTAGGTAGGTAATAACAAACTCCTCCAAGCTAAAGGAGCATGTTCTAACCCAATGCAAGGAAGCTAAGAACCTTGAAAAAAGGTTAGATGAATTTCTAACTAGAATAACAAGTTTACAGAAGAAAATAAATGACCTGATGGAGCTGAAGAACACAGCATGAGAACTTCATGAAGCATACACAAGTATCAATGCCCAAATCAATCAACCGGAAGAAAGGATATCAGAGATTGAAGATCAACTCAATGAAATAAAGAGAGAAGACAAGATTAGAGAAACAAGAATAAAAAGAAATGAACAAAGCCTCCAAGAAACATGGGACTATGTGAAAAGACCAAATCTATGTTTCATTGGTGTACCTGAAAGTGATGGGGAGAATGGAACCAAGTTGGAAAACACTCTTCAGGAGATTATCTAGAACTTCTACAACCTAGCAAGATAGGCCAACATTCAAATTCAGGAAATACAGAGAATGCCACAAGGATATTACTCAAGAAGAGCAACCCCAAGACACATAATCATCAGATTCATCAAGGTTGAAATGAAGGCAAAAATGTTAAGGGCAGCCAGAGAGAAAGGTTGGGTCACCCACAAAGGGAAGCCCATCAGACTAACAGTGGATCTCTTGGCAGAAACCCTAAATGCCAGAAGAGAATGGGGGCCAATATTCAACATTCTTAAAGAAAAGAATTTTTAACCCACAATTTCATGTCCAGCCAAACTAAGCTCATAAGCAAAGGAGAAATACAATCTTTTACAGACAAGCAAATGCTGAGAGATTTTGTCACCACCAGGCCTGCCTTACAAGAGCTCCCAAAGGAGACACTAAACATGGAAAGGGACAAGTACCAGCTGCTGCAAAAACAAACCAAATTGTAAAGACCATCGATACTATGAAGAAACTGCATCAACTAATGGGCAAAATAACCAGCTAGCATCATGATGACAGGATCAAATTCACACATAACAATATTAACTTTAAATGTAAATGGCCTAAATGCCCCAATTAAAAGACACAGACTGGCAAATTGGATAAAGAGTCAAGACCCATCAGTGTGCTATATTCAGGAGGCCCATCTCACTTGTAAAGACACATATAGGCTCAAAATAAAGGGGTGGAGGAATATTTACCAAGCAAATGGAAAGCAAAAAAAAGCGTGAGTTGCAATTCTAATCTCTGATAAAACAGACTTTAAACCAACAAAGATCAAAAGAGACAAAGAAGGCAATTACATAATGGTAAAGGGATCAATGCACCAAGAAGAGCTAACTATCCTAAATATATATACACCCAATACAGGAGCAACCAGATTCATAAAGCTAGTTCTTAGAGACCTACAAAGAGACTTAGACTCCCACACAATAATAGTGGGAGACTTTAACAACCCACTGTCAATATTAGACAGATCAACGAGACAGAAAAATTAACAAGGATATTCAGGACCACAGAACTGGAAGAAAAACACTCCTCAGCAAATGCAAAAGAATGGAAATCATGACAAAGAGTCTTTCAGACCAAAGTGAAATCAAATTAGAACTCAAGATTAAGAAGCTCACTCAAAACCGCACAACTACATGGAAACTGAACAACCTGCTCCTGAATGACTACTGGGTAAATAATGAAATGAAGCAGAAGTAAAGATGTTCTTTGAAACCAATAAGAACAAAGACACAACATACCAGAATCTCTGGGACACATTTAAAGGAGTGTGTAGAGGAAAGTTTATAGCACTAAATGCCCACAACAGAAAGCAGGAAAGATCTAAAATTGACACACTAACATCACAATTAAAAGAGCTACAAAAGTAAGAGCAAACAAATTCAAAAGCTAGGAGAAGACAAGAAATAACTAAGATCAGAGCAGAACTGAAGGAGATAAAGACACAAAAAACCCTTCAAAAAAATCAATGAATCCAGGAACTGGTTTTTTGAAAAGATCAACAAAATAGACCACTAGCCTGACTAAAAAAGAAGAAAAGAGAGAAGAATCAAATAGTTGCAATAAAAAATGATAAAGTGGATATGACCACTGATCCCACAGAAATACAAACTACAACCAGAGAATACTATAAAAACTTCTACGCAAATAAACTAGAAAATCTACCAGAAATTGATAAATTTCTGGACACAAACATCCTACCAAGTCTAAACCAGGAAAAAGCCAAATCCCTGAAAAGACCAATAACAAGTTTTGAAATTGAGGCAGTAATTAATAACCTACCAACCAAAAAAAGTCCAGGACCAGACGGATTCACAGCCAAATTCTACCAGAGGTACAAATAGGAGCTGGCCCCATTCCTTCTGGAACTATTTCAAACAATAGAAAAAGAAGGAATCCTCCCTAACTCATTTTATGAGGCCAGCATCATCCTGATACCCAAACCTGGCACAGACACGATAACAGCAACAACAACAACAAAATTCCGGCCAATAGATGAACATCAATGCAAAAATCATCAATAAAATACTGGCAAACCAAATCCAGCAGCACATCAAAAAACTTATCTACCATGATCAAGTCGGCTTCATGCCAGGGATGCAAGGCTGGTTCAACATATGTGAATCAATAAACGTAATCCATCACATAAACAGTACTAATGACAAAAACCACATGATTATCTCAATGGATGCAGAAAAGTCCTTTGATAAAATTCAACACCACTTCCTGCTAAAAACTCTCAATAAACTAGGTATTGATGGAACATATCTCAAAATAATAAGAGCTATTTATGACAAATGCACAACCAATATCATACTGAATGGACAAAAACTGGAAGCATTCCCTTGGAAAACTGGCATAAGACAAGAATGCCCTCTCTCACCACTCCTATTCAACATAGTATTGGAAGTTTTGGCCAGAGCAATCAGGCAAGAGAAAGAAATAAAAGTATTCAATTAGGAAAAGAGGAAGTCAAATTGTCTCTGTTTGCAGGTGACATGATTGTATATTTAGAAAACCCCATCATCTCAGCCCAAAATCTCCTTAAGCTGAAAAACAACTTCAGCAAAGTCTCAGGATACAAAATCAATGTGCAAAAATCACAAGCATTTCTATACACCAATAACAGACAAACAGAGAGCCAAATCGTGAGTGAACTCCCATTCACCATTGCTACAAGGAGAATAAAATACCTAGGAATCCAACTTACAAGGGACATGAAGGACCTCTTCAAGCAGAACTACAAACCACTGCTCAAGGAAATAAGAGAGGACACAAACAAATGGAAAAACATTCCATGCTCATGGATAGGAAGAATCAATATCATGAAAATGGCTGTACTGCCCAAAGTAATTTATAAATTCAATGCTATCCCCATCAAGCTACCATTGACTTTCTTAGCAGAATTGGAAAAAAAACTACTTTAAACTTTATATGGAACCAGAAAAGAGCCCACATAGCCAAAACAATCCTAAGCAAAAAGAACAAAGCTGGAGGCATCATGCTACCTGACTTCAAACTCTACTACAATGCTATAGTAACCAAAACAGCATGGTATTGGTACCAAAACAAATATATAGACCAATGGAACAGAATAGAGGCCTTAGAAATAACACCACACACCTACAACCATCTGATCTTTGACAAACCTGACACAAACAAGCAATGGGGAAAGGACTTCCTTTTTAATAAATGGTGTTGGGAAAACCGGCTAGCCATACACAGAAAACTGAAACTGGATCCCTTTCTTACATCTTATACAAAAATTAACTCAAGATGGATTAAGGACTTAAACATAAGACCTAAAACCATAAAAATCATAGAAGAAAACCTAGGCAATACCACTCAGAACATAGGCATGGGCAAAGACTTCATGTCTAAAACACCAAAAGCAATAGCAACAAAAGCCAAAATTGACAAATGGGATCTAATTAAACTAAAGAGCTTCTGCACAGCAAAAGAAACTATCATCAGAGTGAACAGGCAACCTACAGAATGAGAGAAAATTTTTGGAATCTATCTATCTGACAAAGGGCTCATATCCAGAATCTACAAAGAACTTAAACAAATTTACAAGAAAAAAAACAACCCCATCAAAAAATGGGCAAAGGATATGAACAGACACTTCTCAAAAGAAGACATTTATGCAACCAACAAACATAAGACAAAAGCTCATCATCACTGTTCATTAGAGAAATCAAAATCAAAATCACAGTGAGATATCATCTCATGCCAGTTAGAATACCAGTCATTAAAAAGTCAGGAAACAACAGATGCTGGAGAGGATGTGGAGAAATAGCAACACTTTTACACTGTTGGTGGGAGTGTAAATTAGTTCAGCCATTGTGGAAAACAGTGTGGCGATTCCTCAAGGATCTAGAACTAGAAATACCATTTGACCCAGCAATCCCATTACTAAGTACATACCCAAAGAATTATAAATCATGCTACTATAAAGACACATGTACACATATGTTTATTGTGGCACTATTCACAATAGCAAAGACTTGGAACCAACTCAAATGTCCATCAATAATAAACTGGATAAAGAAAATGTGGCACATATACACCATGGAATACTATGCAGCCATAAAAAGATGAGCTCGTGTCCTTTGCAGATACATGGATGAATCTGGACACCATCATTCTCAGCAAACTAATACAAGAACAGAAAACCAAACACTGCATGTTCTCACTCATAAAGTGGGAGTTGAACAATGAGAACACATGGACACAGGGTGGAAAATATCACACATCAGGGCCTATTGGGGTAAGGGGCTGGGGAGGGATAACATTAGGAGAAATACCTAATGTAGGTGACGGATTGATGGGTGTAGTAAACCACCATGGCACGTATATAACTATGTAACAAGACTGCACTTTCTGCACATGTACCCCCGAACTTAAAGTATAAAAAAAAACCCAGCATCTTCAATGGTGAAACACCCAAGTACACGCACTGGGGCTCATCAAGAAAACAACTCCACCCACAGAGAATGGAGAAAAGCAAGGCAGGGTGACCACACCCCTGGGAGCAACACAGAGCCAGGTAAACATCCCCTGCCCAGAGAAGCAGTGAGTGAGTGAGTGACCCCAGGGACAGACACTTCTCTCATGGATCTTTGCAACCCTTGAGTCAGGAGATCCCCTTGAGAACCCACCCCATGAGGGCCTTCAGTCTGATACACAGAGCTCTGCTGGGTCTTAGCAGAGCAGCCACTCAGGCACACACAGCGACCCAAGAGTTTAGATACCTGGGCTTCCCAGCAAAAGCAGCCGCAACTCCAGCTGAGCAGGAGGTTATTCCCCTGTACAAACCCATAGGAAAGGGGCTGAATCCAGGAGGATAAGCAGGGACAGTCTGCAGGCCCTGCTTCCCTAGCACCTCAGAGGATGAGACCCACTGGCCTGGAACTCCAGCCAGCCATGGGTAGCAGTGTTACACCTCCCTGAGACAAAACTCCCGCAGGGCAAAGCAGGCCACCATCTTTGCTTTTTCACAGCCTTAGCACTCTGAAGAATCCAAGGCAACAAGGGACTGGAGTGGTCCCCCAGCACAGCACAGTAGCTCTGTGAAGCAGCAGCCAGACTGCTTTTTCATGCTGGTCCTGGTTCTCTTCACTGGCTGAAATCTCCCAACTGAGGTCTACAACCACCCCTGCTGGTGTTTTCAAGTAAGCAATGGTTTAAAACCTCCCTGGGAGCTCCCAGACGGAGGAAGGCTGTCGTCTTTGTTGTTTTGCAGCCTTAGCCGTTGTCACCTTCAGGCTTTGGAGAGTCAAAGATGACTGGGGGCTGTAGTGGAACCCCCAACACGGCACAGCTGCTCTTAAAAAAAGCAGCCAGACTGTTGTTTTGCACAGGTCTCCAATCCCATTTCTCCTCACTGAGTGGGACCCCCAACAGGGGTCCCCAGCCACCCCTACCAATGTGTTTGAGCCATAGCTCCCGTATTGCTGCCTTGCCACCTTCACTGTTGATATATTCATTTGCTGGAAAACCCAAGGTGACTAGGTACTGGAGTGGACCCCCAGCATACTACAGCAGCGCTAAGGAAAAGTGATCTGAATGTTTCTTACATGAGTCCCCAGTCCCATATCCTCTCAGTGAGCAGGTCCTCCCAGCCTGGATCACCAGCTACTCCCACTGGGACTATGCAGCCATTAGCAGCTCCACAACTCACTGGGACAGAGTTCCCAGTGGGAAGGATGGATTATCATCTTTGCTGTCTCACAGCCCTTGCCTTTGCTGTCTCCAGGTTCTAGAGAGTCCATGGGACTAGGGGCTGATGCAGACCCCCAGCCCAGAGCACCCATCTCACAGAAATGTGGCTGGACTGTTCTCCATGCAGGTTCTGGTCCTCACTTCTCATCACTGGGCAGGGCCACCTGACCTGGGACTCCAGCACAACTACTCTGCCCCAGCCTGATGACTTCAATCAGAGGCAGTCCAGCAGTGAAAGAAACACCCATATGCAGAGATGAGAAAGAACCAAAGCAAGAACTCTGGCAACTCAAATAGCCAAAGTGTCTTATGTCCTCCAAATGATTGCACTAGTTCTCCAACAAGTGTTCTTAACCAGGCTGAGAAGGATGAAATGACAGAAATAGAATTCAAAATATAGATAAGAATGAATATCATTGAGATTCAGGAGAATGCCAAAATCCATCCAAGGAAACCAAGAGTCACAATAAAATAATACAGGAGCTGACAGACAAAATAGCCACTATAAAAAAAGAGCCTGGCCAGGCACAGTGGCTCACACCTGCAATCCCAGCGCTTTGGGAGACCAAGAGGGTGGATCTCCTGAGGTCAACATTTCAAGACCAACCTGGCCAACATGGTGAAACCCCATTTCTACTAGAAAAAAAAAAAATTAGCCAGGCATCGTGGCACATGCCTGTAATCCCAGCTGCTCAGGAGGCTGAGACAGGAGAATCACTTGAACCTGGGAGGCAGAGGTTGCAGTGAGCAGAGATCATGCCACTGCACTCCAACCTGGGTGAGAGAGTGAGACTTGGTCTCAGAAAAAGAGCCTAACTGATCTGATAGAGCTGAAAAACACACTACAAGAATTTCTCAATGCAATCTCAAGTATTAACAGCAGAACAGACTGAGCTGAGGAAAGAATTTAATAATTTGAAGACTGGCTTACTGAAATAAGACAATCAGACAAAAAGAAAAAAGAATAAAAAGAAATGAAACCTTTGAGAATATGGGATTATATAAAAAAGGCTAAATCTATGAATCATTGTCATCCCTGAAAGAGACAGGGAGAAAGCAAACAACACTAAAGACATCTTTTAGAATATCACCCACAAAAACTTCCCCAACCTAACTAGAGAGACCAACAATCAAATGCAGAAATACAGAGAACACCTGCAAGATTCTACAAAAGAAGGTCTTTGGCAAGACACATAATCATTGATTTTCCAAGGTTGAAATGAAAGAATGTTAAAGGCAGCTGGAGAGAAACGGCAGGTCGCCTCCAAAGGGAACCCCATCAGGCTAACAGCAGACATCTCTGCAGAAATCCTACAAGGCAGAAGAGACTGAAGGCCTATATTCAACATTCTTTAAGGAAAAAAATCTTCAATCAAGAATTTTATATCCAGTCAATCTAAGCTTCCTCAGAGGGGAGAAATAAGATTCTTCTCAGATAAACAAATGCTGAAGGAATTTGTTACTAGCAGACCTGCCTTACAAGAGATCTTGAAAAGAGCACCAAATATGGAAAGGAAAAATCATTATCAGCCAATACACAAACACACTTAGTTACACAGACCAGTGACACTATAAAGCAACCACACAAACAAACCTGCATAATAGCTAGCTAATAACACAATGACAGGGTCGAATCTACATATATAAATACTAATCTTCAATGTAAACAGGCTAAATGCCCCATTTGAAAGGCACAGAGTGGCAAGCTGGATAAAATAGCAAGACCTAATGGTCTTCAATAGACCCATCTCACACACAATGACAGTCACAAGCTCAAAATAAAGGGATGGAGGAAAATCTACCAAGCAAATAGAAATCAGAATAAAAGCAGGGGTTCCAATCCTAATTTCAGACAAAACAGACTTCAAACCAACAAAGATCAAAAAAGACAAAGAAGGGCATTACATAATGGTAATGTCTTCAACTCAACAAGACCACCTAACTATCCTAAACATATATGCACCCATAGCCAAAGCAATACTAAGCAAAAAGAACAAATCTGAAGGCATCAATTAACCAACTTTATACTACAAGGTTATAGTTTCCAAAACAGCATGGTACTAGTATAAAAATAGTCATGTAGACCAATAGAACAGAATAGAGAATCCAGAAATAAAGTCAAATACCTATAGCCAACAAATCTTCAACAAAGCAAACAAAAACCTACATTGGGGAAAGGACATCCTATTCACTAAACGGCACTGGGAAAACTGGCAAGTCACATGTAGAAGAATGAAACCGAATCCTCATCTCTATCTTATACAAAAATCAACTCAAGATTAATCAAAGAATTAAATCTAAGACCAGAAGCCATAAAAATTCTAGAGGATAAACATCTGAAAAACTCTACCAGACACTGGCTTAGGCAAAGAATTCATGACTAAGACCCCAAAAGCAAATGCAGCAAAAACAAAAATAAATAAACGGGCTCTAATTAAACTCAAAACTTCTACACAGCAAAAGAAATAATCAGCAGACTAAACAGAAAACTCACAAAGTAAGAGAAGATATTTGCAAACTATGCATCTGATAAAAGGCTAATATCCAGAATCCACAAAGAACTCAAACAAATCAGCAAGAAAAAATAATAATAATCCAATCAAAAATGGGCAAAGAATATAAATAGACAATTCTCAAATGAAGATAAACAGGAAATAAACATATGAGGAAATGCTCAGCATTACTAATTATCAGGGAAATGCAAATTAAAACCACAATGAGATATTATCTTACTTCTGCAATAATGGCCATAATTAAAAAGTCAAAAAAATAGATGTTGGCCTGGATGTGGTAAAAAGGGACAGTTTTACACTGCTGGTGGGAATGTAATGGTACAATCACAATGGAAAACAATATGGAGATTCCTTAAAGAACTAAAAGTAGAACTACTATTCAATCCAGCAATCCCACTACTTAGTATCTACCCAAAGGAAAGGAAGTTATTATATGAAAAAGACACATGCACATGTATGTTTATAGCAACACAATTTGCAATTGCAAAGATATGGAGCCAACCTAAGTGCCTGTCAATCATGCAATACTACTCAGCCACAAAAAATGAACAAAATAATGTGTTTTACAGAAAGTTAGAATAATGGTCTTGAGCCCCATCCAAGTGAAGTAACTAAGAAATGGAAAACCAAATATTGTTATGTTCTCACTTATAAGGGGGAGCTAAGTTAGGAGGATGCAAAGGCATAAGAATGTTATAATGAACTTTGGGGACTCGGAGAAGGGTGGGAGGAGGTGAAGGATAAAAGACTGCACATTGGGTACAGTGTACACTGCTCAGGTAATGAATGCACCAAAATCCCAGAAATCTATACTAAAAAACTTATCCATGTAACCAATAACTACCTGTACCCCCTAAAACTATTGAAATAAAAATAAAATAAATAAATAAATATTCACCCAACACAGGAGTACCCAGATTCATAAAGCAAGTTCATGGAGACTTACAAAGAAACTTAGACTCCCATACAATAATAGTGGAAGACTTCAACACTCTACAAACAGTATTAGACAGATCATCAAGTCAGAAAATTAACAAAGATATTCAGGACCTGAAATCAACATTGGACCAAATGGATCTGATAGACCTCTGCAGAACTCTCTAACCCAAAACAACAGAACATTCTTCTCATCACTACATGGCACATACTCTAAAATCGACCACACAATTGAACATAAAACAATCCTCAGCAAATGGAAATAAATCAAAATCATATCAAACACACTCTCAGACCACAATAAAAATAGAAATTGAGACTAAAAAAATTGCTCAAAACCATGCAATTGCAACTACATGAAAATAAAAAACTTGCTCCTTAATGACTTTTGCATAAGTAATGAAATTAAGGCAGAAATCAAGAAGTTCTTTGAACTAATGAAAACAAAGATACAGTATACTAGAATCTCTGGGACACAGCTAAGGCAGTGTTAAGAGGGAAATTTATAGCATTAAATGCTCACATCAAAAAATTAGAAAGATCTCAAATTAACGATCTAACATCTCAACTAAAAGCATTAGAGAACCATGAGCAAACCAGTCCCAAAGCTAGCAGAAGACAAATAATAACTAAAATTAGACTTTAACTGAAGGAGACTGAGCAAAACCATTCAAAAGATCAATAAATCCAGGAATTAGTTCTTTTAAAAAAAATTATAATATAGATAGGCCACTAGCTAGACAAAGAAGAAAATCTAAATAAACACAATGAAAAATGACAAAGGGGATGTTACCACTGCCCCACAGAAATACAGCTAACCAGAGACTATTATGAACACCTCTAGTCACACAAAACTAGAAAACCGAAAAAAGGATGGATAAATTCCTGGGCACATACACTCTCCCGAAACTGAAACAGGAAGAAATTGATTCCTTGAACAAAACAATAATGAGCTCCAAAGTTGAATCAGTAATAAATAGTCTACCAACCAAAAAAATCCCAGCACCAGACAGATTCACAGCTGAATTCTATCAGATGTACAAAGAGCTGTTACCATTCCTACTGAAACTATTCCCAAAAATTGAGAAAGAGGGACTCCTCCCCAACTCATTATGTGAGGCCAGCATCATCCTGATATGAAAACTGGCAGTGGCCAGGTGTGGTGGCTCACACCTGTAATCCTAGCACTTTGGGAGGCTGAGGCAGGAGGATCCCTTTTATTCCAGGAGTTTGAGACCAGCCTGGACAACATAGGGAGAGGAGACACTGTCTCTATATAGAAGAAGAAGAAGAAAGAAAAGAAAATCTGGCAGAAACACAACAAAAAAATAAAACTTCAGGCCAATATCCTTGATGAACATTGATGTAAAAATCCTCAACAAACTGAATTAGCAGCACATCAAAAAGCTAATCCACCATGATCAGGTAGGCTTTATCCCTGAGATGCAAGGTTGGTTCAACATATGCAAATCAATAAATGTGACTCATTACATAAACAAAATTAAAGACAAAAGTCACATGATTATCTCAATAGATTCAGAAAAGGCTTTCAATAAAATTGGCATTCCTTTATGTTAAAAGCTCTAAATAAACTAGGTATTGAAGGAACGTACCTCAAAATAATAAGAACCATCTACAACAAAGCCACAGCCATCATCATATTGAATGGGCAAAAGCTGGAAGAATTCCCCCTGTGAACTGGCACAAGAAAAGAATTCCCTCTCTCACAACTTTGATTTAACATAGTATTGGAAGTCCTGGTCAGAGCAATCAGGCAAAAGAAATAAAGGGCATCCAATAGGAGGAAAGGAAGTCAAACAATCCCAGTTTGCAGACAACATGATTTTATATCTAGAAAATCTCATATTCTCTACCCCAAAGCTCCTTTAGCTGATAAACAACTTCAGCAAAGTTTCAGGATACAAAATCAATGTGGAAAAATCACTAGCATTCTTATACATGAACAACAGCCAAGCCAAAAGCCAATCAGGAACCAAATCCCATTCACAATTGCCACAAAAAGAGTAAAATACCTAGGAATACAGCTAACTTGGGAGGTGAGAGATCGCTACAGTGAAAATTACAAAACACTGCTCAAAGAAATCAGAGATGACACAAATGGAAAAACATTCCATGCTCATGAATAGGAAGAATCAATCATTAAAATTGCTATACCACCTAAAGCAATTTACAGATTCAATGCTATTCCTATCAAACTGCCAATGACGTTCTTCACAGAACTAGAACAAAAAAACTATTTAAAAAATTTTATGAAACCAAAAAAGAGCCAAAATAGCCAAGGCAATCCTAAGCAAAAAGAACAAACACCCAGTCTACACTTACAGGACTTCAGTCACCAAAACAGGATGGTATTTACTGGTACAAAAACAGACACACAGACCAACGGAACAGAATAGAGAGCCCAGAAATAATGCCACACACCTACAACCATCTGATATTCAACAAAGCTGACAAGAAACAAGCAATAGGGAAAGGACTCCCTATTCAATAAATGGTGTTGGGATAACTGGCTAACCATATGCAGAAAATTGAAACTGGACCCCTTCCTTATATAAAAAAATCAACATGAGATGGATTAAAGACTTAAATGTAAAAACCAAAACTATAAAAAGCCTAGAAGACAATCTAAGCAATACCATTCTGGACATAGGAACAGGCAAAGATTTCATGACAAAAACACCAAAAGCAATCATAACAAAAGCAAAAATTGACAAACGAGATCTAATTAAACTTAAGAGCTTCTGCACAGCAAAAGAAACTATCAACAGAGTAAAGAAACAACCTACAGAATGGGAGAAAATATTTGCAAACTATGTATCTGACAAAAGTCTAAAAAGTCCAATATTCAACATCTATAAGGAACTTAAATTAACAAGAAAAAAACACCATTAAAAAGTAGGCAAAGAACATGAATATTCTGCAAAAGAAGACATATATGCAGCCCACAAGCATATAAAAGAAAGCTCAATATCACTAATCATTAGAGAAATGTAAATTTAAACCACAATGAGATACTATCTCACATCAGTCATAATGGCTATTATTAAAAAGTCAAAAAATAACAGACTCTGGTAAGGTTGCGGAGAAGAGGGAATGCTTATACACTGTGGGAGTGTAAATTAGTTCAACCACTGTGGAAAGCAGTGTGGTGACTCCTCAAACAAAAACAGAACTACCATTGGACTCAGCAATTCCATTACTGGGTGTATACCCAAAGGAATATAAATTGTTACCATAAAGACATATGCACACATATGTTCATTGCAGCACTGTTCACAACAGCAAAGACTTGGAATCAACCTAAACGTCCATCAATTGTACACTAGATAAAGAAAATGTGGGACATATACCATGGCATACTATGCAGCCATAGAAAAGAATGAGATCATGCCTTTTGCAGGAACATGGATGGAGCTGGAGGCCATCATCCTTAGCAAACTAAGGTAGGAACAGAAAACCAAATACCACATGTTCTCATTTATAAGTGGGAGCTAGATGATGAGAACCGACCTGGACACAAAGCGGAGAACAACAGATACTGGTGCCTACTTGAGAGTGAAGGGTGGGAGGAGGGAGAGGAACAGAAACAATAACTATTGGGTACTAGGCTTAGTACCTGGGTGACAAAATAATCTGTATAACAAACCCTCAGGATACAAGAGTACCTATATAACAACCTGCACATGTACCCCTAAACCTAAAATAAAAGTTAAACAAAATAAAGAGTCAAATAGTTCTATGAGTTTGTTTTTGGTGTGTATGTGTGTTTGTGTGTGTGTGTTTTAGAAAAAATAGCCCCTTGACCTGCTACCCCCACTCCCACCCACCACTCTCACCCCCACTCCACCACTGCAAAATACTGAGTTGAGTACTTTGATATTTCCCTCCATTAGAAGTTTTTGAGGCTTCCTCTTTATCATTATAGATTTTCCATACTTAGAGATGAAGTTTTAGCTATTTCACATGATTGCCTCTTTTCCTAACCACACACATGCCCATTTCCCATCTGCCCAATACAGAACTGTGTACCTTTGGTTATATCAGTATTTGGTGTTAACTTTGTAATGACATTAGTACTACTGAGAGCTGAGTAACCTAAAGTAATATGCTTTTTCCTTTCCTGCATAACAATTTGTTTCTCATGAAAAAAATAACTGCTTTGCTGCTTCTTTTTCTTAGTTTCCCTGTTTAGTTGTGACTGACTTGTCCCCAAACTCTGACCCCACCTTTTGCCTCTCTGTATATTTTCATGCTCATCTTCTTAAAGCCAGTCCCCCACCTTCTGGCCAGCTGCAATCTGAGCTGGCTGCTCTCTGGGCCTGTTGCTGTTGTCTTAGGTTTTCCCTTCAGCATCATTCTGGGATTCCCTTCATGTATTACCTCTCTCTTGATTTACTCCATCATTTTCATTAAACACATCTTCCAGTAGCTTCCTGAGAAAGTGTGCATGAAAGACAATATATTTTAGACCTTACCTGTTATAAAGTTTTTATTCTATTCTTTTTTTTTTTGTTAGTACTTTTAGTTTTATTTTAGAGACAGATTTTGTTACTGGTTTTACTAAGAACAATGTGTTCTTTTTTTTTTTTTTTCCTTTTCTTTTTTTTCATTATACTTTAAGTTTTAGGGTACATGTGCACATTGTGCAGGTTAGTTACATATGTATACATGTGCCATGCTGGTGCACTGCACCCACTAACTCGTCATCTAGCATTAGGTATATCTCCCAGTGCTATCCCTCCCACCTCCCCCCACCCCACAACAGTCCCCAGAGTGTGATATTCCCCTTCCTGTGTCCATGTGATCTCATTGTTCAATTCCCACCTATGAGTGAGAATGTGCGGTGTTTGGTTTTTTGTTCTTGCGATAGTTTACTGAGAATGATGTTTTCCAATTTCATCCATGTCCCTACAAAGGACATGAACTCATCATTTTTTATGGCTGCATAGTATTCCATGGTGTTATTCTGAATAATGCTGCAATAAACATACGTGTGCATGTGTCTTTATAGCAGCATGATTTATAGTCCTTTGGGTATATACCCAGTAATGGGATGGCTGGGTCAAATGGTATTTCCAGTTCTAGATCCCTGAGGAATCACCACACTGACTTCCACAATGGTTGAATTAGTTTACAGTCCCACCAACAGTGTAAAAGTGTTCCTATTTCTCCACATCCTCTCCAGCACCTGTTGTTTCCTGACTTTTTAATGATTGCCATTCTAACTGGTGTGAGATGGTATCTCATTGTGGTTTTGATTTGCATTTCTCTGATGGCCAGTGATGATGAGCATTTTTTCATGTGTTTTTTGGCTGCATAAATGTCTTCTTTTGGGAAGTGTCTGTTCATGTCCTTTGCCCACTTTTTGATGGGGTTGTTTTTTTCTTGTAAATTTGTTTGAGTTCATTGTAGATTCTGGATATTAGCCCTTTGTCAGATGAGTAGGTTGCAAAAATTTTCTCCCATTTTGTAGGTTGTCTGTTCACTCTGATGGTAGTTTCTTTTGCTGTGCAGAAGCTCTTTAGTTTAATTAGATCTCATTTGTCAATTTTGGCTTTTGTTGCCATTGCTTTTGGTGTTTTAGACATGAAGTCCTTACCCATGCCTATGTCCTGAATGGTAATGCCTAGGTTTTCTTCTAGGGTTTTTATGGTTTTAGGTTTAACGTTTAAGTCTTTAATCCATCTTGAATTGATTTTTGTATAAGGTGTAAGGAAGGGATCCAGTTTCAGCTTTCTACATATGGCTAGCCAGTTTTCCCAGCACCATTTATTAAATAGGGAATCCTTTCCCCATTGCTTGTTTTTCTCAGTTTTGTCAAAGATCAGATAGTTGTAGATATGCAGCGTTATTTCTGAGGGCTCTGTTCTGTTCCATTGATCTATATCTCTGTTTTGGTACCAGTAGCATGCTGTTTCGGTTACTGTAGCCTTGTAGTATAGTTTGAAGTCAGGTAGTGTGATGCCTCCAGCTTTGTTCTTTTGGCTTAGGATTGACTTGGTGATGCGGGCTGTTTTTTGGTTCCATATGAACTTTAAAGTAGTATTTTCCAATTCTGTGAAGAAAGGCATTGGTAGCTTGATGGGGATGGCATTGAATCTGTAAATTACCTTGGGCAGTATGGCCATTTTCACAATATTGATTCTTCCTACCCATGAGCATGGAATGTTCTTCCATTTGTTTGTATCCTCTTTCATTTCCTTGAGCAGTGGTTTGTAGTTCTCCTTGAAGAGGTCCTTCACATCCCTTGTAAGTTGGATTCCTAGGTATTTTATTCTCTTTGAAGCAATTGTGAATGGGAGTTCACTCATGATTTGGCTCTCTGTCTGTTGTTGGTGTATAAGAATGCTTGTGATTTTTGTACATTGATTTTGTATCCTGAGACTTTGCTGAAGTTGCTTATCAGCTTAAGGAGATTTTGGGCTGAGACGATGGAGTTTTCTAGATATACAATCATGTTGTCTGCAAACAGGGACAATTTGACTTCCTCTTTTCCTAATTGAATACCCTTTATTTCCTTCTCCTGCCTAATTGCCCTGGCCAGAACTTCCAACACTATGTTGAATAGGAGTGGTGAGAGAGGGCATCCCTGTCTTGTGCCAGTTTTCAAAGGGAATGCTTCCAGTTTTTGCCCATTCAGTATGATATTGGCTGTGGGTTTGTCATAGATAGCTGTTATTATTTTGAAATACGTCCCATCAATACCTAATTTATTGAGAGTTTTTAGCATGAAGGGTTGTTGAATTTTGTCAAAGGCTTTTTCTGCATCTATTGAGATAATCATGTGGTTTTTGTCTTTGGCTCTGTTTATATGCTGGATTACATTTATTGATTTGCATATATTGAACCAGCCTTGCATCCCAGGGATGAAGCCCACTTGATCATGGTGGATAAGCTTTTTGATGTGCTGCTGGATTCGGTTTGCCAGTATTTTATTGAGGATTTTTGCATCAATGTTCATCAAGGATATTGGTCTAAAATTCTCTTTTTTTGTTGTGTCTCTGCCTGGCTTTGGTATCAGAATGATGCTGGCCTCATAAAATGAGTTAGGGAGGATTCCCTCTTTTTCTATTGATTGGAATAGTTTCAGAAGGAATGGTACCAGTTCCTCCTTGTACCTCTGGTAGAATTCAGCTGTGAATCCATCTGGTCCTGGACTCTTTTTGGTTGGTAAGCTATTGATTATTGCCACAATTTCAGATCCTGTTATTGGTCTATTCAGAGATTCAACTTCTTCCTGGTTTAGTCTTGGGAGAGTGTATGTGTCGAGGAATTTATCCATTTCTTCTAGATTTTCTAGTTTATTTGCGTAGAGGTGTTTATAGTATTCTCTGATGGTAGTTTGTATTTCTGTGGGATCGGTGGTGATATCCCCTTTATCATTTTTTATTGCGTCTCTTAGATTCTTCTCTCTTTTTTTCTTTATTAGTCTTGCTAGCAGTCTATCAATTTTGTTGATCCTTTCAAAAAACCAGCTCCTGGATTCATTAATTTTTTGAAGGGTTTTTTGTGTCTCTATTTCCTTCAGTTCTGCTCTGATTGTTTTTATTCTATTCTTATACCTGCTTGATAATTTTACTGAGTTTAGACTTCCAGGGTAGAAATACTTTCCCCCAGAATTTTGTAAAGTTTTGTTCCATTGTATTCTAATATCCAGCATTATATTGAGAAGTTCAGTCACTGTGAATTCCATGGGGCTTCAAGTAGTGTAATATGGCTGGGATTTGGGGAGAATAAACCTGGATCTCAGCATCTTAATGTCTTTTCTTTTGGACTAGTCAAAATTTCTAGAAAAGGCTCTTACAATGTCCCAGCTGGAAGATATAATCCTGGAAGCCCACATTCTGAGGGCTAGGTGGGAAAGAAGGCTGGAGATCTCCACATTCAGTAGACAATCCTGTACTTATGTTGTTCCTGCCGTCGACTGCGACTGGTGTTCCAGACAAGAGACTTTCTCTTTTGCTCTCTTCAGAAGACAAACTTCCAATCTTCTGCCAGGGTGAAAAGGTAACACTCACTCAAAGGTGAGTAAGCTCTGTGTCTAATGGCTTTTTCAAAAGTTTATTAAAATGGCCTCAAAAATTCCTCCTTTTAACAAAAGGGCATCTATGAAAAACCATCCACAAACATCATATTTAATGCCAAAAGACTGATCTGGAACAAGACAGGGATGTCCACTTAGGCCACTTCATTCAACATTGTACTGGAGGTTCTAGCTAGGTCAGTTAGGCAAGAAAGGAAGTAAAAGGCATCCAGATTGAAAAGAAAGAAGTGAAGCTATATTTTCAGATGACATGATTTTGTATATAAAAAGTTCTAAGAAATCCACACAAAATAATTATTAGAGGCAATAAGATTGAAAAATAGAAGATCAATATACAAAACTCAGTTATATTTCCAAACACTAGCCATGAATAATCTGAAAATAAAATTAAGACAACTGTAGCATCAAAAAGAATAAATTACTTAGAAATAAATTCAATGAAAGACACGTAAGACTTGTACACCGAACTGCTATAGATACTTCTCTTAATGACCCTAAAAATAATTCTTCCTGTGGGATTTTACTATCATTAATAAAAGTGTTAGCATAAATAATACAACCTGAATCAATACCATGTGACCTTTCTCACTGCAAATAGTTAGGTCCTGAAATATTAAACGATAAATTCCCACTACTGGAGGAATCCTGGTATTGCAAGTTCTTCAAAAGGAATGTTTACATCTCTAATTAAAGGTGGAAAAAGCACAAACCCCCTACCTTAAGTTACAACCAGGGACTTTGAGAAGTCTTTACCACAAGGACCACCCACACTGGAGCCATCCCTCCCTCCTGTCACTGTGTACTCTCCACTTAATCATTTGTCCCTCAAACATTTTCCTAATCACGTAACCCTCTCCTGAAAAACATTCCATTGTGCTTAGTGATCTCTGGGATGAAAATAGGAGTCTTCATGATCTGACCCCAACTTACATAAAACAGGAGTCTTCATAATCTGACCCCAACTTACATACACAAACACATTCTTCCCAAATACTGAAGGAAAACATTACTGCATCAATGGAAATATCTTCAATGATGTAGTCCCCACAAACTCTAAGAGGATCTACAAATAAAAAGTTTTTGTCTGAAATTATCTCTCCCATCTATTCCCTCTACAACAATGTACATTTTACGTGGTTTCCAAAGCTCAAACCCACCTGTTTCAAAGAGCTTTTCATGATGCGTATTTATTTTTTCCTGAAATGTTACCTCCCTTGGTATTTGTTGGTGCAAAAGTAATTGCAGTTTTTGCCATTGAAAGTAACGGCAAAAACCGCAATTACTTTTGCACCAAACTTAATAGTTATGCTATTTAACACATAATCATGTCTTTCTATTTTCGTAAATCTCAAGCTTAGGAAATAAATTATTGATCTGCTTCTGGTACTGGAGTTAATACTTGGATATGCCCAACACATGGGCTTCACTGTAAGGTAATCAGGCCAAGCCATATAGTTTACATCCATTAATTTTTTAAAGTGGTGAGAAAACTTCTGTGGGGAAGAAAATGTACTTTATTCCCATCCATGACTCAATTTCAGAGATGTACAGATATTTTTGATTGTCTACAGAGAAAATCATGGGGCACTTGGAGACAGACCCTATTATGGGTTGAATTGTGTCCCCTGTGTCCCTAAACTCATATGTTGAAGTCCTAGCCCCCAATACCTCAGAATGTGATCTTAATTGGAGATAAAGTTGTTATTGAGAAGCTTAAGTGAGATCATTAGGGTGGGCCCTAATCCAATATGACTGGTGTCCTTATAAAAGGGGAAAATTTAGAAACAGAGACATGCATAGAGGAAGACAATGTGAAGAGACACAGAGAGAAGACAGCCTTCCACAAGTCAAGGAGAGAGGCCTGGAACAGGTCCTTGCCTCACAGCCCTCAGAAGGAACCAAACCCAGCTGACACCTTGATTTCAGACTTTCAGCCTCAAGGACTATACAAAAAATACATCTCTGTTGTTTAATGCATCAGTTCATGGTACTTTGTTATAGGACCCCTAAACTAGTACAGATGCAACCTGTAAGTGTTTCACCTGTTTGGAAAAGCTAACCCTCTCCACTCTGTAATGGCTATATTTTTCAAATCCATTTCACCTTGTTTGGTTTTTGTTTGTTTGATATTTAAAGCAGAAGATAATTAGAAATACCCCAGAGTTAGTATCTTTTAGCCACGTTGGAAGGCTACAAGAGGGCAGCTTTGACCATATCCATATTCTCCCTTGGGAATCTTAATACTTTTCATTTGGTGCAGTGCCTGGAATTTATATACTACTTGGTTTCTTCACACCAGTCCCAATAAGACTTCCACTGGATCTCAGGGACTAGAGAGAACTGGGGGTACCAATTATTGACTCCTCTGTGGGATTCTGTTTCCATTCTTAAGGCTGTGGCCTTGATGTGAATATCACCAGAAACATACGGGTGTTTTTGGTGACGTAAGCACTTCTTTTTACCCTTTCTCACACATACCTCAATACTTAAAGAATTTAAATTCTCACAGAAATGGATAGCACAGGGTTCTCCCACAACCTTCAGTCTTTGGTCAGGCTCAGAGATTATAAAACACTAGGCATTCGGTGAGTCTAGTTCTGAAAAACTCTTGGCTGGCTGTAGAGTATGCAATATAGTAAGCTCCAGGGACAAGACATCACCCTGAACATGGAGAGTAAGCAAGGCTTACCTCCTGAATCCATAATGAACCCCACAGGCTAAGCCCCTATCCTGAAATAGAGCACCCAAAATACCTTATACGGAAGCACAGTCCTACTGCAGGATCTGTCAGGGTGCAATGTCTGCCTGATGCTGGAGACAAGACAGCAGTCAGGACCCAGAGCACCTTCCTGTCTTTAGACCTAGCTGACACAGCAGTCATTTGATGGGGTTTAGAGAAAGGACTCAAACTAGGCAGCTGTGAGGGCCTCTGACAGCCACAGACAACCTCCTCGAAGTCTGTAAACCCTAGGGAAGCTATTTTCAACACAGGCTATACAATGCGATCAACTGAGAACTTTTCAGAACTATTGAAGACAACCCTTTCCCCATATAATTTTTTTAAAACATAGCACAGGTGCTTAAAGGAAAAAAAGAAAACAGTCAGTACCCCCAACAATTAAATGAGAATTCCTGGAGGTGAGAAAATGTAAATACCCCAGGTTATTCCAATGTGATCTGGGTTGCTAATCCGTTTCTCTGAGCAACTTATCAACTCTGGCATTGCATTAGAACTGCTGATAACACAATAGATGTGGCCAGGCGCAGTGTCTCATGCCTGTAACCTAAACGTTTTGGGAGGTCAAGGCAGGAGGATCGCTTGATGCCAGGAGACCAACCTAGACAACATAGCAAGATCCCATCTCTATCTAAAAAAATAGCCAGATGTGGTGTGACACACCTACAGTCCCAGCCACTCCGGAGGCTGAGATTGCAGGATCGCTAGAGCCCAGGAGTTCCAGGTTACAGTGAGCTATGATTGTGTCATCGCACTTCAGCATGTGTGACAGAGTGAGACCCTATCTCAAAACAATGATGTAGTGCCCTACCTGAGACTGATTGAATCTGAATCTTTAAGGTTGGGGGCCCAGGCATTTTTTAACCCCTCAGGTTATTTTTTTTTTTTTTAACATAGCCAGGGTTGAGAATCACTGACTCTAAGAAAAAATTCCACTTAAGTGAAATGGCCAGGGTTTGATGTGCCCAAGGATACCACTGTGATATTGCCCAAATCTATAGTTTTGGACTCTAAAGCCTCAACTCAAAAAGAACATGGACAAACCAAGTTCTTCTCAGGTCAAATTTCTCACTGTGTACAAACCAACCTCACCTGAGTTTTTTCCTCCAGGACCAGGTCACCTTTAGGTGGACAGCCAGAGAGCTATCTGAGGCAGAGGCAAATAGCCACTCTTCCTTGGCCCAGATATAATTAGAAGTTCAGTCAGGGCCTGAAGACTTATTTAGAATTAAAATAATAATAATAATAAGAGCCTCATATGTTAATATAACATTTCACTACTCTTCTTACCTAAAGTTAAGTCTAGCTGCTAGAATTGAGCACAAAGAGCCTGGCCACATAGTGTTGCATGGTGGGATCACATACAAACATTAGACAGACAAAGGCAGCTTGTCACAAAAAGCCTGGAACAGAGATTTCATAATGCCTCTTACCTTATTATTTGCTGCCCCCATTCAATGATGAAGGATCCATCCTTCTGCTCCAGGCTGGTACAGCCATGCAGGTCTCAACCACAATTATAAAAGACAATAAAGTTTGCCATTGCATTTGGTTTAGCTTTTCCAGGAACACATTATAGTATTAAGTATAAGCATTTGTAATGACAGATTCCTGCTGGGAAAACCCCATTGAATTCAGCAAATTCCATGTAACAAACAAGATGTACTAGCTACAGAGTACAGGTAACAAAGTCAGAAATTCCATTTCAATATGTTCAAGGGAAATGACATGTATCCATGGATCAATCTGGAGGGGCTTACTGAAGGAAGAACACCAGCTGACTATTGCCAAGTGTACATGAGCCATCCTTGAGGGAAAGATCTATTTTAGGTTGCTGAGGTCCATTTTAAAAAGGTGAGGAGACAATGAAATTTGACCACTGATGTGTGACCCAATTCTTTTATTATTATTATTTTTCTTTTTTTTTTTTTTTTTAAACAGAGCCTTGCTCTGTCGCCAGGCTGGAGTGCAGTGGCGCCATCTCGACTCACTGCAACCTCTGCCTCCCAGGTTCAAGCTTCAGCCTCCCGAGTAGCTGGGACTACATGCACGCACCACCATGCCCAGCTAATTTTTGTATTTTTAGTAGAGACGAGGTTTCATCATGTTGGCCAGGATGGTCTCGATCTCTTGACCTCATGATCTGCCCGCCTTGGCCTCCCAAAGGGATTGCAGGTGTGAACCACCATGCCTGGCCTGATGTGACCCAATTTTATACTCAAAAATTGGTAGAGTACGCAGAAGCATGGGTTTCACCTATTGAGGTAATAACAGAATTGGAACTCCAAATGAGGGCTCATGACTCCAAGTGTGATGTACTTGTTCCTGAGTCAGGATCTTCCTCCATATGCCAGAAGTTACAGCTTGGCCCTTATCTTCCAGCAAGAATTAATGACTCCTCTTCTGGATTCTAAGGAATTGACTATACATTCTAACCAAACAAGATGGCCCATGTTATAGCAGCTTGAGAGAAACAGAAGTAGTTTATCTACACCTGAATAAAAATAACTTTTTTATTCACTTTTTTATTCATCATCACAGATTCATCCTGGAGGAAAAAAAAACATGTAGACAAAGAATGTGGAAGCACATATATATTGCTATATATTCAGGTAGAAATGGTGTGTGTATCTGTATCTACAGATATAGACACATGTTGGGTGTGGTGACTCACACCTGTAATCATAACACTTTGGGAGGCCAAGACAAGAGGACTGCTTGAGGTCAGGAGTTTAAGACCAGCCTGAGCAACATAGCAAGACCACATCCCTACAAAAAATAAAAATAAAAAAATTGTCCAGGTGTACTGTTGCAAAACTGTAGTCTCAGCTACTCAGGAGGCTGAGGCGGGAGGAACACTTGAGGCCAGGAGTTTGAGGCCAGCCTGGGCAATGTAGCAAGACCCCATCTCTACAAATAAATAAACTGGCCAGGTGTGGTAATGCATGCCTGTAATCCCAGCTACTCGGGAGGCTGAGGTGAGGGATCACTTGAGGCCAGGAGTTTGAGACCAGCCTGGGCAACATAACAAGACCCCATCTGTAATAAATAAATAAATAAATACACCAGGTGTGGTGATGTGTGCCTGTAGTCCCAGATACTCAGGAGGCTGAGGCAGGAGGATTGCTTGAGCCCAGGAGTCTGAGACTGCAGTCACCTATTACCTCATACATACCACTGCACTCTAATCTGGGCAGCAGAGTGAGACCCTATTTAAAAAAAAAAAAAAAAAGCTATAACATATACACATTAGAGTTCATTTGCTAAGATTATCAAGGGAGGCTTTTAAATTAATATTTTACTTTAATAATCTAATTTGACACTGTAACTTTTTAGAAGGAAATGAACTTTAAAAGGATACAGTTCTTACTAATTTCCATCTCCTCATAAAATTTATAATTACCTTAGAATTATTTTAGTTTTTCCATAAAAGTATGATAAGATGATGTAATGAATATCAGGTAACACTATGTCTGACTATAATGCTATCTGACAACAATAACTGTGTTGTTTTGAAATATATGTGTGCATACTGCATGCCTTGCCTAAGCATAATACTAGTGTCTTAGTCTGTTCAGGCTGTTACAACAAAGCATCAGACTGGGTGGCCCATAAACCACATCTATTTCTCATAGTTCTGAGAGGCTAGGAAGTTCAAGATCAAGGCACTAATAGACTCCGTGTCTGGTGAGGGCCCACTTTCTGATTCATAGACTGCATCTTCTCACTGTGTCCTAACATGGCAAAAAGGGAAAGAGAGCTATCTGGGTTTCTTTTATAAGGGCACTAATCCCATCCATGAGGGCTCCACCATAATGACCTAACCATCTCTCAGAGGTCTCACCACCAAATACTATCACACTGGAAATTAGGTCTTAATATATGAATTTTTGGGGTATACAAGCATTCATCTATAGCAACTAGTGACTTGATATATGTTCAGTTTGTTTGGAAATCTTGTTCTGTGGAGTTCTCTAATCTTTCAAGTGTGCTGATTTATTGTTTCATTTCAATTGTCTTTTAAAACCCAACTCAAAGAAAGAATTTCCTTTTGGTTTGAATGCTATATTTTGATTTTTAGTTTGAGTTATGAATATTTTATTTAATATTAGCTTCTTAAATAATTTTATTGTCATCCTAAAATTCTAACAGAAACAAAAATGAACTTCAAATTTTTTTTAATTGTACAGACTGGAAGTCCTAGCCAGAGCAATCAGGCAAGAGAAAAAAATAAAATACATCCAAATAAAAAAAAAGAAGTCAAACTATCTCTCTTTGCTGACAATATGATTCTATGTCTAAAAAACCCTAAAGACTCCACCAAAAGGCTCCTGGAACTGATAAACAACTTTGGTAAAGTTTCATGATGCAAAAACCAATGTATAAAAATCAGTAAGATTTCTATATACCAGTAATGTTCAAGCTGAGAGCCAAATCAAAATATAATTCCATTTACAATGGCAAAAAAAAAAACATAAAATACCTAGGAATACATTTAACCAAGGAGGTGAAAGATCTCTACAAGGAAAACTACAAAACATTGCTAAAAGAAATCATAGATGACACAAACAAATGGAAAAATATTCCATGCTCATAAATAGGAAGAATCATTATTGTTAAAATGGCCATATTGCCAAAACCAATCTGCAGATTCAATGCTATTTGTATTAAACTACCAACATAATTTTTCACAAAATTAGAGAAAAAATTCTAAAATTCCCATGGAGCCAAATTCATATGGAACCAAAAAGAGCCTGAATAGGCAAACCAATCCTAAGCAAAAAGAACAAAGCTGGAGGCACCACATTACCTGACTTTAAACCATACTATAAGGCTACAGTAACCCAAACACCATGGTACTGACATAAAAACAGACACACAGACCAATGGAACAGAATAGAAAGCCCAGAAATAAAGCTGCGCACCTATAGCCATCTGATCTTAGACAAGGCCAACAAAAATAAGCGAATGGGAAAGGACTCCCTTTTCAATAAATAGTGCTGGGATAGCTGGCTAGCTATATACAGAAGAATGAAAGTGGACCCCTACCCTCCACCAAATAAAAAAAATTATCTCAGATGGATTAAAAGTTTAAACGTTAGACCTCAAACTATAAAAATCCTAGAAGAAAACTTAGGAAACACTATTCTGGAAATTGGCCTTGGAAAAGAATGTATGATTAAGTCTCAAATGCAACCGTAACAAACACAAAAACTGACAAATGGGACCCAATAACTAAAGAGCTTTTCCACAGCAAGCAATCAACAGAGTAACAGACAACCTACAGAATGGGAGAAAATATTCACAAACTGCATTTGACAAAGGTCTAATATCCAGAATCTATAAGGAACTTAAATTAACAAGCAAAAAACAAGCAATCCCATTAAAAAGTGGACCAAGGACAGGGACTGACACTTTTCAAAAGAAGACATAAAAGTGACCAATAAACATATGAAAAAAATGTTCAACATCACTAATAATCAGGAAAATGCAAATCAAATCCACAATGAGATACCATCTTACATGAGTCAGAATGGCTATTACAAAAATGTCAAAAAAACAACAGATGTTGGTAAGGCTACAGAGGAAAGGGAATGCTTATACACTGTTGGTGGGAATGTAAATTAGTTCAAACACTATAAAAAGCAGTTTGGAGATATCTCAAAGAACCTAAAACAGAACTACCATTCAATCCAGAAATCCCATTACTGGGTATATATCCAAAAGAAAATAAATCATTCTACCAAAAAGATACATCCACTCATGTTCACTGCAGCACTATTCACCACAGCAAAGACATGGAATCAACCTAGGTGCCCATCAATGGTGAATTGGATAAAGAAAATGCAGTACAAATACACCATGGAATACAGCACAGCCATAAAAAAGAATGTAATCAAGTTATTTGCAGCAACATGGATGCAGCTAGAGGTCATTATGCTAAGCAAATTAATGCTAGAAAACAAAACCAAGTACTGCTTGTTCTCACTTATAAGCAGAAGCAAAACACTGGGTACTTACGGATATAAAGATGACAACAATAGACACCAGGGACTACTGATGAGGATTGGAGGGGAACAAGGGTTGAAAAATTACCTGTTGGGTACTATGCTTATTAATCAAGTGGCGAGATCATTCATATCCCAAACCTCAGCATCACGCAGAATACCTATGTAACAAACCTGCACATGTACCCCAAATCTAAAATTAAGATTATTTTAAAAATTAATTATGCAGACTGTCAAGTTGAACTTCAAAATTTAGTAAAAAGCAGACAGAAAAGATATATGTGACTGAACTCATTGTAGTTTCCAGACTAGTATTCTGAAAAAGATAAATCCTCACGTGTTTGATACTTTATATCAATTTATTGTATATTATTTTCTGCACAAAGACATTTTGAATCAAATCATAGACCTATCCACCAGAAAAATAAATATGATAAATTGTTTTCTAATATTTAAAAATATATGTAACAGATAAGTTAACATATATAAGCAGTTTAAATTATATATAATAGAGATTTGCTTCGTATCTTTATATTTGAACCTAAAGCAATCACATAATCTCTACAAAGTCTTGATCTTGTTGTTTCCCATCACCTGTGCATACTCATTGTTTGGCCTGGACTATGACACATAGGTACATTTCGTATGTTTGTCAATTACATGGATTAATTTCTGAATGGTGAATTTGTTTTTAAAGTTGTTCTGCTTTTCCAAATTTTGAAACGTAAAGGCCAAAATAACTTTTATATGCATTCATGAATTTAAGCAAGTTGGAATGCAGTTAAAGACCATGCAGTTAAAATTGTAAATTAACCCAGGATGTTACCTACAGATTGTAGGGTGATATCAGTAGGGTCGCTTCCTGTGTTGTCTGTGGGTTATGGTTGCAGTATCTGTACTCTCCAAACTTATAACCTAATACTTTCCATGACTTTTAATGCATATAATTTTTTATTTGATCATTTTTTCCAATAACTAATTTTTCTGAATGTCTGTTCTCTGCTACAAATTGTATCGAGTCAAAAATAATTTTGCTTTGTTCCTGAAAGATGAGAACAATTTCACACAGTAAAACAAATTAAAAATTATGTCATCAATATTGATAAAAGCTTTGTATTGTTTTTATTAGAAACGGTGATGAAAATGTACTTCTATTAAACATTTTACAGTATATTATACTGATTTATTACTTTTACATTCATGGCACATAAAATAGTTAATGAGGACTTTTTTTTTTAGTTTGGCAGGCAACATGAAATCATTTGCCATCTCTGATTAGGAAATTAGTATAGGATAAATTACACATGTGTGCTGAAGGTGGGAAGCCATGCCAACCAACCTATGCCACCCCTCATTTTACCTGGTTTACAGAGCTTTTTATACACCAGAAAACACAGACCAGGAGAAAGCTTTTTAAATCTAAAGAATGAAGGAATCCTTCCAGCCAAAAAAACACAGCTTCTTCTACATCCCCTTGTCTGTGCAAAAGACATTTCTACATCCCCTTGTCTGTGCAAAAAAACATTTCAAGCATCACATCTACAACTAAATCTTGATTTATCCATAAACCTGTTCCTCCCTCATTAGTAATATCATTAGTATTGCTCATACCCCAAAACTGAGGATAATCCTCCACTCCTGTCTTTCTCCTAACCCCCATATCCAACCAACTACAAATCTCATTTGCATTACCTTCTAAATACATTCCAGAATCAACCACTTTTTTTTTCTTCTTCAGCTTTTAAGTTCAGAGGTACACATGCAGAATGTGCAGATTTGTTACATAGGTAAATGTGTGCCATACTGGTTTGCTGCACAAATCAACCCATCACCTAGGTATTAAGACCAGCATCCATTAGCTATTCTCCCTGATGCTATCCATCCCCTGGCTCCTACAACAGGCCCCAGTGTGTGCTGTTCCCCACAATGTGTCCATGTGTTCTCGTCAATCATCTCCCACTTATAAGTGAGAACATGTGGTGCTTGGTTTTCTGTTCCTGCATTAGTTTGCTGAGAATAATGGCTTCCACCTCCACATCTCGTTCCTTTTTATGGCTGCAAAGGACATGATCTTGTTCCTTTTTATGGCTGCATAGTGTTCTGTGGTGTGTATGTACCACAATTTCTTTATCCACTCTATCACTGATGGCCATTTGGATTGATTCCATGTCTTTGCTATTGTGAATAGTGCTTCAGTGAACATATGCATGCATGCATCTCTATAAATGCATATAAATGTCTGAAGTGTGAAGTGTCTGTTCATGTCCTTTGCCCACTTTTTAATGGGGTTGTTTTTCCTCGTTAATTTGTTTAAGTTCCTTATAGATTCTGGATATTAGAGGTTTGTCACATGGATAGATTCCAAAAATTTTCTCCCATTCTGTAGGTAGTCTGTCCTCCACTCTGATGATCATTTCTTTTGTTGTACAGAAGCTCTTTAGTTTAGTTAGATCCCATTTGTCAATTTTTGCTTTTGTTGCAATTGCTTTTGGCATTTCTGTCATTAAATCTTTGCTCATGCCTATAACCCGAATGGTATTGCCTAGATTTTCTTCAAGGATTTTTATAGTCTTGGGTTTTACATTTAAGTCTTTAATCCATCTTGAGTTAATTTTTGTATATGGTGTAAGGAAGTGCTCCAGTTTAATTTTCTGCATATGGATAGCCAGTTCTCCCAAAACCATTTATTAAATAGGGAATCCTTTCCCCATTGCTTATTTTGGTCAGGTTTGTTGAAGATCAGATGGCTGTAGGTGTGTGGTCTTATTTCTGGATTCTCCATTCTGTTCATTGGTCTACATATCTGTTTTTGTACCAGTACTATGCTGTTTTGGTTACTGTAGCCTTGTAGTATAGTTTGAAGTCAGGTAGGGTGATGCCTCCAGCTTTGTTCTTTTTGCTTAGGATTGTCTTGGCTATCTGGGCTCTTTTTTGGTTCCATATAAATTTTAAAGTAGTTTTTCTAATTCTGTGAAGAATGTCAATGGTAGTTTAATGGAAATAGCATTGAATCTATAAATTACTTTGGGTAGTATGGCCATTTCCACAATATTGATTCTTCCTATCCATGAGAATGGAATATTTTTTCCACTTGTTTCTGTCCTCTCTGATTTTCTTGAGCAGTAATTTGTAGTTCTCCTTGAAGAGGTCCTTGACTTCCCTTGTTAGCTGAATTCCTTTAGCTGTATTCCTAGGTATTTTATTCTCTTTGTAGCAATTGTGAATGGGAGTTCATTCATGATTTGGCTTTCTGCTTGCCTGTTGTTGGTGTATAGGAATGCTTGCAATTTTTGTACATTGATTTTGTATCCTGAGACTCTGCTGAAGTTGCTTATCAGCTTAAGAAACTTTGGGGCTGAGACAATGGACTTTTCTAAATATAGGATTATGTCATCTGCAAACAAAGATCATTTGACTTCCTCTCTTCCTATTTGAATACACTTTATTTGAACTTCCAATTCTATGTTGGATAGGAGTGGTGAGAGAGGGCATCCATGTCTTATGCTGGTTTTCAAGGGGACTGCTTCCAGCTTTTGACAAATCAGTATGATATTGGCTGTGGGTTTGTCATATATGGCTCTTATTATTTTGTGGTATCTTCCTTCAATACCTAGCTTATTGAGAGTTTTTAACATGAAAAGATGTTAAATTTTATTGAAGGCATTTTCTGCATCTATCGAGATAATCACGTGGCTTTTGTCTTTAGTTCTGTTTACGTAATGAATTACATTTATTGATTTGTGTTTGTTGAACCAACCTTGCATTATAGGGATGAATCCAACTTGATCATGGTGGATAAGCTTTTCGATGTATTGCTGGATTCGGTTTGCCACTATGTTATTGAGGATTTTTGCATTGATGTTCTTAGAAATGTTGGTCTGAAGTTTTCTCTTTTTTTGTTGTTGTATCTCTGCCAGGTATTGGTATCAGGATGATGCTGGCCTCATAAAATGAGTTAAGGAGGAGACCCTCCTTTTTAATTGTTTGGAATAGTTTCAGAAAAAAAATGGTACCAGCTCCTCTTTGTACCTCTGGTAGAATTCAGCTGTAAATCCATCTGGTCCTGGGCTTTTTTTTTGGTTGGTAGGCTATTTATTACTGTCTCAATTTCAGAATTCATTATTGGTCTATTCAGGGATTCGATTTCTTCCTGGTTCAGTCTTGGAGCATGTATGTGTCCAGAAATTTATCCATTTCTTCTAGATTTTCTAGTTTATGTGCATAGAGGTGTTTATAGTATCCTCTGATGTCAACCACTTCTTATCTCCTCTGTAGCCAATGCCTAGTTCTCTCTTCTCTTCCCTCACCTCACATCACTCATGTGCCCTATTTCAACAGCCTCCTGACTCCAATCCATGCTGATACCAAAGGCTCAATCTCTTCTCCTACTGCAAAGTTATTCCTCCACCAGCTTTTGATCTGACTGAGTCTCAGTAAGAAGGGAGCTTCACTCTTAGTACCTTCATTAATTGCCACATTGCTTATCTATTTTTCCTCCCACATTGTGTTCTCTGACATCTCCAGAACCACTAGTAGTGACAAAGAGAACATGTTAGGAAGTCTTTAAGTGACCCTCAAAAGACCAAAATATTTGATCCAAGAGATATTCAGTCTCCAGCTAGAAACTTAGAAGCAGCTGGCTTATTTTTCATTCTATCCCCTCAGTGTTCCCTCTATATAAATAAAGGTTATAGAAATGGATAAGCTGTAGAAGGAAGGTGATTTTTATAGCAGTCAGAAAAGAAAAATATATAATCATTTCAAGTGGTAATGATTTCTCAAAATATAATAAAACAGAATAAGGGAATAGAGAGTAACTCCGTGGGAGGGAAGGCAATTGAATCAAACACAAAAAAGTGCAAGTTAGGAGAGAAAGATCCCAGGACTGTGTGATTTCAGTCAAGCTTGATCGACACTATCTGAAGTCTGAGATAGGTGGAGACGACTAGGAGATAGGAAACGTTGCTAATCTTGCAGCAAAAGAAATTCAGGAAGATTGCCAAGGAGATTTGCTGCCATACAGTGTTTGAGCAGGAGAGATTAGGAGACAGATTTCAGGAGTTAAAAAGAAATGTTAATTAAGCCTAATTATAGACTTGCTTTCAGTATGATTTGACAGGAAAAAAGAATTAGCACAAATAGGAGGGAGACAAAAGAAACAGCAGTCAAGCAGTTTTCCTATTTTTAATGAACTATAAATTTCTGAATGGGTAAGAAACTAAACCTATAAATATGGGAACCCAGGGACAATATGGAGTGACAGGCAATTCAGGACAGTGAGGGTTTTAATTACACACAGCCGGAAGGGATACAGAGCCCTGGTGAAAAGACCATAAAGGAAGGGGAGGGAAATTACTCTCTGACATCACATGGAAGTGTTAGAAAATAGATTTGGGGAGAGCGTTCTGTGGAGAAAGAAGATGACAAATGATTTGGGTCTTGTGTGGGGAAGGGGATTAATCTTTTAAGGAGGATTAACCTCGTTTGTCTCAGTTTCCTCCTCTCTACAATGGACTCTAAACACTAATCACCTCACAGGGTAGTTGTGATGATTAATGAGTTAATCCGTAAAGACCTAAGAACTGTAACTGTTGCAAAGAATCTCTCAGTGCATATGAGCGGTTATTATTCAATCTCATAGTTTTCCACAACTGCAAAATAATTATTTTTGTCATAACAACTAGATATGACAAAATATTAATGATTATATAAAGCCTTGCCATACACAAATTATTTTAATGAAAAATATCACTTATTTTTCTCTACAATCATTTTTTCCACAATTCATCTAGATACCAAGCAACATTTTCATATTGCACAAATGAGGAAATTAAAGTTCAAGGAGGTTAGTGGCTCGTCCAGTTTTCACATTAGTAAATGATAGAGCCATGGCTCAAACCCAGGAGTTCTAAATCCAAATTCTGTGGTCTTAACATTAAACTGGGTTTCTAAATAGGGGAGAATTTCTTTAAAGGAGATTTCTGAATAGATCTTCACACATCCCAAAAAAATAAATAATCATAGTTACCAACAGACCAAAGATTTTTTAAAAACAACTCAATTTCAACAAATCAATCATACTGTCCTGTCTTTCCCTTTGCTGACAGATAAATGCAAAATGATAGTTCTTCATGTGATCACAAATGACAGTCCAAACTCTTAAGTATCATGTCTACATTCAAGGTAGGAACAAAGAGGGAAAGATACCAGCTCCATCTGTTCTTTCTAACAGCAAAAGAAAAAGTTTTCCAAAAGCTTTCACAGCACTCTTCCTTTATATCAGGATTAGGTCACATGATCTAGTCTAGCTGTGATGGACACCTTGGGCTGGGCACATGGTCACCCTAAACAAAATCAGGGCTATACTGGCAAGTAAGAAGAAGAAATGGATATTAGGCAAACAATTAACAGTGCCAGTTACAAATACTCCCCTAGCTGGCAAAGTAAGTCAAGCCAAGCTCAATAGGAGCAGCATGTAGGAGAACAAAAACCGAGAGCAATAACAGACTAAGGACCAGGTTCCATTACCACTTTCCAGATGCCAGGCAATTAAACACATTCCAAGACCTGAGAATGGTGGCAGAGTTGTCCTCATTGATATTGGGTTTATTGCTAACACAGGCACAGGGCTATACCTAATTTTATTTGTAAAACAGGCTAATATGTTTTTTCCTTGCACCTCAAGTGTGTGGAACAATCTACCAACTACATTTGTCTTCTGAGTTCTCTACTGCTCTGCATCATTCTAAAAACATTAGCATTTTAAAGTAGCCTTCCACAGAACCCAGAAAAGTGACTCATCTGGAATCGTCAAGTCCATCCAAAGCAGAAGCTATGAGGAAGTCAGGAACTAAAAACATGGAGATTGATCTAAAGTTTTTGTTAGGTTGAACTACATGCAATTGCCTATTGTTATGAGTAGAGGTGTCTCCCACAAATATTCATGTGTTGAAATCCTAACTGCTAGTACCTCAGAATGTGACCTTATTTGTAAATAGGTTATGCTAGCCCAAGATATTCAGTGAACAGGACTGCAGAGCGGGATGATGCCTGCAGATATTGCAGAGTCTCAGGGACATAATTCTAAACATCACCTGTCACAGTCTCCCAGGCCTGGACTGTGCTGGGGTTGCTTAAACAGTGAACTGAAGAATCAGATTCTATGAAAAGACAAGACTTAGACTTTGAGAAAAGATTTTCAAATTACATATCTAATAAAGAACTTGTATCCAAGAATATATTAAGAACTCAAAACAATACAAAAACTAACAACTCAATTTTTAAGATTGTCAAAAGATTTGAACAGCCTTTTCACCAAAGATATATGAATTGCAAATAAACACATGAAAAGAAATTCAACATCATTACTCGTTAGGGAAATGCCAACCAAAACTATAATGATACCACTACATACCTGTTAGTGTCACGGGACCCCTGGGGTGTCGCTTCACCAGCTGGAAACATCTGTGGCTGGCAGTGTCTTCTGCCTGAGTGTTGCTCATGCCCACTGGGCTCGTTGGGCCCACTCAGCTTGGCAGGCTGTGCTCAGCTCATGCTACCTGCTCATATCCCACACCTGCCAAGGGTGAGCCAGGTTTGGAGTGGCGAGGGGTGTGTGGGCAAGTGAGCACAGGGCCTGGCCACTGCGTACAGCCAGGCATACAGGCAGCTGCAGCTGGGCAGGCAGCTCCAGCTGCCAGCACAGGTGTTTGCTCCATGTGAGGCTGCAACTGGACCAGATGTACTGCACGTGGCTTCTGCTGCAAGCACCTGCATCTGGATGAGGGGAACGCGGTGGCACCCAGAAGCTTGCAGACACTAGGAACTGCAGAGCCCCAAAAAGGGTATAACAGCCCTGGCTTAGGGACCTCCTAGGCCTGGGCTCCCCAAAGGGCTGAAGCTGTTCTCTCCTTCTCATCACCCACAACATGGTGAGCAGGGAGCGTGTTTCAGCACTTTTTGTGTTACAGCTTTTTAAATTTCACCATTTGGTGGGTCCCTAGTTCTTGTCCCATATCCAGGAAAAATGAGGTATGTGGACAACTGGAGTGTGAGCAAGGCAGAGAGGAGCCTCATTGAGTGACAGAACAGCTCTCAGGAGACCCAAAGTTGGTAGCTCCTATCTATAGGCAGATCCTCCTGATGTCTGAGTCTGGCTGAGTTTGGGGTATTTATGGTCTCAGAAGGTAGGAAGTGCATGGCCAGGCCTGGAAAAAGCACTAAGTTGTCACTCCAGTCTGCGGACTCCACCCAGAATTGACAGCCCAGCCCCCATACTTCAGGCTATCCCTGACTTAAAGGTAGGGCTTCACCAGGGATGTGCCCCTTTCCACCCAGAAGCCTGTCTGCCTCCTGTCACCATCAATCATGTCCATGGCACCCAGGCTATTCCTGCCGAGGGGCACCTGCAGGCCTGTGCTGAGCTGCCCTCAACCCCCACCCTTGGCCTCCCTCCTGTGGTCATGGGTGTCCAAAGCCTGGAGGGGGCCAAGGCAGCAGGGGGCTGGTGTGTCAGCACTGCCCCAAGAATGTACACACCTAGCCAGGTTGTAATATCACCTGGTCTTGGCCTCAGCTTTACTCCACAATCAGAGTGGGTTCTGGGAGTGGGGATAGGCCAGGCAGTGGGGGCAGACACTCCTGAGCCTGTGGAGGCATGGGGGCTTTCCTGGCCCCCAAGAGTGCAGGGATGCCCAGGTCTGCAACCACCACTGGGTGGCTGCAGCTGTGCCCAGGAGGGTGGGACTCCTGCCCCACCAACTCAGTAGCGGGTGGAGTGTGCCTCCCCTACTACTGCCAGCATCTTCACAGTAGATGCTCCAGACAGGCCACCACTGCCATAATTAGGATGGCTAAAATACTATCATACCAATTGTTGTGTGGATGTAAAGCAACTATAACTCTCATACACTGCTGACAGGAATGTCAAATGGTATAACCACTTTGCAAAACACTTTTTCAGTGTCTTAAAAAGCTAAATGTGTACTTACCATACAACCTAGCCATTCTACTTCTAGGTATTTACTCAAGATGAATGAAAATGTATATCCACACAAATAATTGTTCATGAAAGTTTATTGAAACTTTATTTGTAACAGCTAAATCCTGACTGCAATTGCAATGTCCATCAACAGCTAGATAAACAGTGAAATACCACTCAGCAATAAAAAAACTATTTAGACATGCAACAAGATGGATGAATCTCAAAATAATTATGCTGAGTTAAAGAAGTTAGACCAGAAAGCATGCATACTATATGATTCCATTTGTAAAAGAGTCTAGAAAATGCAAACAAATCTGAAGTAACAAAAAGCAGATCAGTAGTTGCCTAGGGATAGGGGATGCAGGGGGTAGTAAGAGAAAGAGATTACAAAGAGGTATGTGGAAATTTTAGGGATGAGACAGAGTAGGGATGGGACTTGGCTTCAGCTCACCCTGACCAGAGCATTATATTTCATGCATTCCCACTGATCACAAGACCTTGCAAGCTGTAAGTTATCTGAAGAAACCAAGATAAGTGACATTCTACCATAAATCTTACTCAAGAAAACTCCCACCACCCTCATGTGCAAAAGACCAGGAGAATGACTGATCCTTAACCTCAGTTTCATGACAATACTAAAAATCACACCCAGGGTTGGAGACTCAACATGCTAATGAGATATGATGCATGAAGAAGCATGTTAACAAACTACATAGGTGCTAAAATTCCCTGCCTTTACTTGCCTAAACGTCACTCCTTTCCCAACATAGCCCCCCCATAAAATTGCCTTTCCAACTCCCCAACAGGAGCCAGCCTAAGAATATTTCCTCTCCCCCTTCCCCTTTCCTCCCTCTTCACCTTTTCTCTCTCTCTCATGTTGCCTCCCTATGCCCAGGTATAAGCTCCAATAAAACCTTCTCTGGGAAAACTATTTTGGCCTTGTGGCAATTTCAGTTGCATTGAGAGCCCAAGAACCTGTGGTAATGGGGAGGTGATAGACCCATTTATTATCTAAATCATGGTGATATTTTATGGTTCCAGGGTAATTACGAGTGGAAAAAGCACAAACAGTTTTTTCTCTGCTCTCATCCCACAATGATCAACACAGAATACTTCAGTGACCAAATGTGTGGGATGTTTTACCCCCATACCAAGCAAGCAAGCAAGCAAACAATACTGCAGCTGTCAGCTGGATGCCCACTAATTCAATTCTGAAACTACCTACTTGGAGATAGCATCAGATCCCACAGGTTGAGGGCTCAGTCCCACAAGACTGCCCCTTATTTCTGATGCCAATCACAAGCCCCAGGTCATTTTACCTGTGCTTCTGTCTGATATGGTTTGGCTGTGTCCCTACCCAAATCTCATCTTAAATTCCCATGTGTTATGGGAAGGACCAGGTGGGAGGTAATTCAATCATGGGGGCAAGTCTTTCCCATGCTGTTCTTATGAAAGTGAATGAGTCTCACAAGATCTGATGGTTTTATAAAGAAAAGTTCCCCTACACAAGTTCTCTCTCTTTGCCTGCTGCCATCCATGTAAGATGTTACTTGCTCCTCCTTGCCTTCCACCATGATTGTGAGGCCTTCCCAGCCATGTGGAACTGTAAGTCCACTAAACCTCTTTCTTTTGTAAATTGCTCAGTCTTGCATATGTCTATCAACAGCATGCAAATGGACTAATACACTCCCTACCAACCTACCCACTATAAATAAAAGTTTCCACAACTCTCTTCTCAGGTTTGATTAATTTGCTAAAGCAGTTCACAGAATTCAGGAAACACTTATGTTTACCAGCTTATTATAAAGGATATTACAAATGATACAGATGAAGAGATGCAAAGAGTGAGTTATAAAGGAAAGGGCATGGAGCTTCCATGTGCTCTCTGGGTACACCAACCTTCAGGAACCTCCATGTATTCAGCTATCTGGAAGCCCTCCTTACCCCGTCCTCTTGGACATCTTATGGAGGCTTCACTGGATATGAATGATTCATTAAGCCATTGGCCATAAGTGATTAACTTAACTTTTAGCTCCTTCCCTTCTCTCCCTTAACCCCAGGTTGGGGAAAGGAGAGTAAGGCTGGAAGTCCCAACCCTCTAATCATGACTTGGTCTTTTTGGTTACCACCCCAATCCGGAAGCTACCTAGGGACTGCCAGACATCAGTCAACACAACATTAGCATACAAAAAGACATCACTTTAGAGATTCTAAGGATTTTAGGAATTCAATGCCAAGAAATAGATGGAAGAACAAATATGTATTTTACAATATCACAGGCATATACATGTCAAAATTTATCAGATATTATATTAATACTTTAAATATGTGTAGTTAATTGTATATATTATACCACAACAAAAGAATTTTAATTGGATTCCATTAAACTGAGATTTTTATTTTCCCTTTGCTTCTTTAAAAAAAATTATTTCAGAGTGGTTTAAAATAAGAGATTAACATGCAAAAAATTATGAGACCACAGCAAACCATAATAGAAAAGAGGATTCAATGTTGTTAACACCAGAGGTTATATTTATTGTAAGAAGCCTATTTGATTTTGAAATTCCTGACTCCTGAGGAGGAGAAGGTATGAAATGTAATGAGTTACACAGATCTTATTATCTCATAAATGGGAGCATGCCAATTATTTAAGATAAGTTCACCCTTGAATTCTGAAAGGAATTCATCACATGGGACTTTATGAGGACCATTGAATGATATAATGAACAATTCCTTTAACAGCAATTCCATAGCAATGGCAAAATCCTCTTTGTGTGGCCATTTCCTCAAGTCAGACAAAAGGCATACCATTAAGTCTAACCATTCTTAAGGGGAACAAAACCAATGTGGTCAGAAAGGTAGCATTCTGATTTTCTAATTTGAAGTAGTATAGTTATATGCTTGCATCCTCAGTTATACAGATAAACTATGCCCTGAGTTCCCAGGCCTAGCCTGCTGGTAAATAGATACAGACATGGAATCCAAGCAAATTTTATCTTCTTGTTGCCTGCTCATGTAGATGACCTCAGAACCCTGACAGATCAGCTGTACTCCCAGCATATCTGTTAGATACCACCCAGGCTCTTGCAGACCCCATAGTGCAGCCCTCTCCACACCACTCTGCCTCTGCTGTCTGTGCTGGAGGTCACTGTGGCTCAATGGACAACTTACAATGCTGCTCTCCAGCCTCTGGGAGGCCTGACTTGTTCCATGGTCTGCAGCAAAGCAGAGAGGAACATTCCTCACTCCAATTATGTCACACACTGTTACTAGTTCTGCTGGGACCCAGTGCTTTAAGCTTTTACTGGAAAACACTTGTCATTTCTGTTCACAGTCCTCTCTCCCCCTAGGTCTAATATTTGCAACTGTGACACTAGGCAGGGGACAGAGTGAAGTGAATACTCCCAAAAGCAGAGCTCATGGCCTTTGTACCTGGGTATGCCTGGCTCCTTCCTCCTTGGGGATGGATTCTTCCCTAAGAAGCTAATCAGCCCCTCCTCCACAAAAATTTTGCTTGTTCATCTGACTCATTCCCCAGAAATGACTGGCCATCTCCAAATCCATGGAGTTAACATAATAAACACAAGTGGTCTCAAAGTTTGTCACATGTTAGAATCACCTGGGCATCTTTGAAAAGTCCCTATGTCCAGGGAGTACCCAAACCAGAAGATCTTAGATGGATCCCAGACATCAGTATTTTTCAAGAGTTTCCAAGTGATTACAATGTGCAACTAAGCTTGAGAACCTGTGATCTAGACAGAAGCTGAAATCCATGCTACAAATACACCTGACAATTCTCTTTTGTCTCCCAAGACAAACGAAAACAAAACTGAGAGATAACTCACTCTGGATAGCCATCTCCTCATTTTCAGATTACAAATTCATAGTCTAGATGCAAGGAAGCTGAGGAATATTTAATAGAAAGAGAAATGCAAGTTAAAAAAACCAAGGAGTGTGAAAAGTCTCAATACAATCAGAAAAACAAATTTTATGCTCAAGTAAAACACATACCGGGAATCACCTACTCCCAACTTTGCTTTCCACCGTTTGTTTTGTGCTGAAATGATAAGTTTTGTAATGAAAGCATATTTCAGACTCAGCCTTCACAGGAAGCCTTCTACACTTTCTGTTTAAATGACAGCACTTAGGATGATGCATGAATTTCAAAGAGGCAATGTCCAAGCTCATCTCGGGTTTACTTGGGCATTATTATTCATGAAGCCCTTTCTGAGCTCTATCTGAGGATATCTGTAAGCTGTTTCAAAAGACCAGGGACCCCTACTGTAATAAACAAGTCATTTACATGGGGGAAATGAAAAACCTGCCATGTCTGCCAAATGAAGGCGGATGTGTCTAAGCAGAGGAGGATTGATGAAGTGAGATTAGAGAAAGCTAAAGGCTGGATTAAAATACATCAAATCTGCCAAGTGATGGAGAATATACTACCAACCAACAGGAATGGATGTTAGTGCCTAGATGATGTTGCCATTGATTTAAAAAAAAAAAAAAAAGCAGTACATATGAAAGCTTCAAAACCTAAGATTTAGCCAAATCATAGCCCAAGGATTTCAGACATCTGCCAGGTGCTGGTGAAGCATAACTGCATTTCTTGATGCTTTCTCCTCCAGCAATCAGAACAGCACAGGTGTCCATCCTGCTTCAATAGATAAAGATTTCTGTACTCTGCATCTGGTCCCTCAGCTTCTGGGAGAACTGCTCTGGCCTGATACATAGGCTGTGGTCACCAGCAGGTAGTAGCAAAGGGTACTCTGCAAGGTTTGTGCATTGCTTCGCCCACCTGCCTGTGTCTCTCTTATGGTAGCCCATCCTGGAACACTTCTCTTGAAACCTTCGGTTTCAAGTTCACTTATTTTGCCAGGCATAGTGGCTCATCTCTGTAATCCCAACATGTTGGGAGGCCAAGGCAGGAGGATCACTTGAGGCTAGGAGTTTAAGACCAGCCTGGTCAGCACAGTAAGACCCCCATCTCTACAAAAGAAAAATGTAAAAATTAGCCAGGTACGATGGTGCATGCCTGTAGTCCCAGATAGTGGAGAGGCTGAGGTCAGAGGATCGCTTGAGCCCGGGAGTTTGAGGCTGCAGTGAGCCATAATTACAGCACTGCACTCGAGCCTAGGCAACAGAGTGAAACCCTGTCTCAAAAAAAAAAAAAAAAAAAAGAGTTTATCACTTACATAGCACTCTTTCTGTGCTGGACATTGTTGTAAGCACTAATGAATAGGAACTCATTCATTCCTTATAACAAACCTCTCTATAAGGTAGGTATGACTCTGTGATCTGAGTGACAGAGATGAGGAATTGAGGAATCAGAACCATGGTGAAACTAAGTACAGTGTTCCAGGTCACAAAACAAGTGAGCAGTGGAGACAGGATGTGAATGCAAGCCAACTCTGGCTTCAAAGCTTGTCTCCTAATGACTCTTCTCCACCTCCTTCCTGGCAGCTATGAGACCTGGTAGTATCTTGCTCTAGCACTGCTGTATGACTGTTAAAGGTCTAAAGCACTGGTTCTCACACGTTGGCATGCAGCAGAATTAATATCCCCTGGAGAGTTTGTTAAAACATAGATGACTGCGGCCCTAGAGTTTCTGAGTCACTGAGTCTGGGGTGAGGCCCAAGAATGTACATCTTTAACAAGTTTCTGGGTAATCCCTATTGCTGCTGCCTTGGGAACCACGCTTTGGGAATCACTGGCCTAAAGCACTATTTTTAACTATTGAGAGACATTGGGCTAATAAACTGATAAGCTTTTGGATGTTAAAGGATTCCATCCTATGTCATTTTTGTATCATTGGAAAGAAGAACAATCTCTCCTAGAAAGAAAAAGAAAAACTAAAGGATACTCATAAGATTGTGTATAGACTGAGAGTGAAGACACATGGTTTTTTTAGCTTTTCTATTTTTAAGAAGGAAAAAAAATTAAAATTAGTGAGTACACCAGAAGGAAATTTCAAGACTTCCTCCTAATTGGCAGGTGCAACTCTCCTGGGTCCTTGGCTGCTGGAGAAAGATTGGACTAATGAGCATCACCTGGTGGCCATGTGGCATTGACTCCACTGAAGGGGAATGAACATGGCCCTTGGTATTTGAGCCTTTCTACATATGTCCACGTGTATGACCTTGTTCATGTAATTAGTACATTATTATTGCTAGTTTGTCACACCCTTATTTTAAAAGAAAACATTATATAGTTCAATATAAGTAATCAGAATATATGCTGCACTTAGTCCTTCATTGATCAAACAATATTTACTGGAATTTTGTTATACACTCAACACTCTAGTAAGGACCAAGTGGGCACCAACCAAGTATAAAACATGGTCCTTGTCCATATAAAACTCACAGCACAGCTGGGAAGGCAAGTCACTCTCATTAAAACAGAAAAAAAGCACACAAGAATCATAAGTCATGTTATCTATTATGTACAAAACAAATCCTTTTTTCTTATAGTTATACTATATTATTGTTTTCCTCATTTATTCAACAAATATGAATAGGGGCAAGTACTGCGCTGGACTCTGGGAATAGAAATAGAGACACGCTCCTTGCCTTTAAGAAGTTCACAGTCTAGAAAAGAAAGCATATACCAAACAAACAGGAGGATACAGCCAATCTGCCTGGACTCAGAGGGCACTGAAAAGTTTCATGGAGAAGGTGACCCTGAACTGAGGTTGGAAAGGTGAGTGGGAAATTGTTCAATGTACAAGCTGTACACTGTAGAGGACTTAGCATTCTACCGAGGAATGGCACATGCAGATGCAGAGAGGCCTCACCAGAAGGGCAGATTCCAGAATGGCCAGTGAAGTTGTGTAGCCAGAACAGGGTGTATTTGAGGGAGCTGCAGTAGAAGCAGTCACCCATCAGCAGGATGGGCTTCATGCCACAGGAAGGCAATTAGACCTTCATCTAAAACAAAATGAGAAGCCATTGAAGAGTGGTAAGCAAATGACGTACTGTTGGGAGTATTCTGGGAGACAGAAGAGGGTGGAGTGAAGAAAGGTAAGATACTGCAATCATTGTGGTGTAGGATGATGAGGGCCTAAACTCAGACAAAAGAAGGCAGATCACAGAGTTTATTAAGAATACAGACTCATTGAAGCTTCTATAAACATAGCTCACAAGGAACAGGGAGAAGTGTAGGACAGCAACGTTAAAAGAAAAACATTAACATAACAATGTGGAATAAATAAAATACACTATTTCTCTAAAATGAAATGCTACAATACCAAGACAGGAATGATGAAGAAAGGAAAGGATAATTAGAAATGAGAAGAGTAAAAATGTTTTAAGATTAATAAATTTATGGGATGCCAATAATCAGTATAAATCAACCTGGGAAAGCATTAGTCAGAAACCATGCTATAACAGTTGAGCACTGCAATGAATTTGGAAATTGTTCTTGTCCTATCCATATCTCTAACTTCACCTATGATACAAAAAGATGCCTTTCATCTTCAAAAGAAAATCGTTTCCTTTCCATTCAGTTTTTTTAAATGACCATCAACAAGTCATTGGCACAGACTTTGGAAAACGTCTACTTACAGATTCTAAAATCTAATTTAGGCATAGACATCTATTCATAGATCTCTCTTCAGAACTTGAATATTAGATTGCTGGGAAGATGGCTGAATAGGAACATAACCAGTCTTCAGCTCCCAGCAAGACTGACACAGAAGGCAGGTGATTTCTGCATTTCCAACTGAAGTACCCAGTTCATCTCATTGGGACTGGTTGGACAGTTGGTGCAGCCCAAGGAAAAATGAAAGAACAAATGTTAAGGGCAGCCAGAGAGAAAGGTTGGGTTACCCAGAAAGGGAAGCCCATCAGACTAATGTTGGATATCTCAGCAGAAACCCTACAAGCCAGAAGTGAGTGGGGGCAATATTCAACATACTTAAGGAAAATAATTTTCAACCCAGAATTTCATATCCAGCCAAACTAAGCTTCATAGGCAAAAAAGAAATAAAATCCTTTTCAGACAAGCAAATGCTGAGAGATTTTGTCACCACTAGGCTTGCCTTACAAGAGCTCCTGAAAGAAGCACCTAAACATGGAAAGAAACAACCGGCACCAGCCACTGCAAAAACAAACCAAATTGTAATGACCATCGACACTATGAAGAAACCACATCAACTTATGGGCAAAGTAACCAGCTAACATCATAATGGCAGGATCAAATTCACACATAACAATACTAACCTTAAATGTAAACTGGCTAAATGCCCCAATTAAAAGACACAGACTGGCAAACTGGATAAAGAGTCAAGACCCATCAGTGTGCTGTATTCAGAAGACCCATCTCACATGCAAAGACACACATAGGCTCAAAATAAAGGGATGGTGTAGTATTTACCAAGCAAATGGAAAGCAGAAGAAAGCAGGAGTTGCAATCCTAGTCACTGATAAAACAGACATTAAACCAATAAAGATCAAAAGAGACAAAGAAGGCCATTACATAATGGTGAAAAGATCAATGCAACAAGAATAGCTAACTATCCTAAATATATACACACACGATACAGGAACACCCAGATTCATAAAGCAAATTCTTAGAGACCTACAAAGAGACTTAGACTCCCACACAATAATAGTGGGAGACTTTAACACCCCACTGTCAATATTAGACAGACAACGAGACAGAAGGTTAACAAGGATATCCAGGACTTGAACTCAGCTCTGGACTAAGTGGACCTCATAGACATCTACAGAACTCTCCACCCCAAATCAACAGAATATACATTCTTCTCAGCACCACATCATACTTATTCTAAAATTGACGACATAATTGGAAGTAAAACACTCCTTAGCAAATGCAAAAGAACAGAAATCATAACAAACAGTCTCTCAGACCACAGTGCAATCGAATTAGAACTCAAGATTAAGAAACTCACTCAAAACCACACAACTACATGGAAACTGAAAAACCTGCTCCTGAATGACTACTGGGTAAATAACAAAATGAAGGAAGAAATAAAGATGTTCTTTGAAACCAATGAGAACAAAGATACAACGTACCAGAATCTCTGGGACACATTTAAAGCAGTGTGTAGAAGGAAATTTATAGCACTAAATGTCCACAAGAGAAAGCAGGAAAGATCCAAAATTGACACCCTAACATCACAATTAAAAGAGCTAGAGAAGCAAGAGCTAATGAATTCAAAAGCCAGCAGAAGGCAAGAAATAACTAAGATCAGAGCAGAACTGAAGGAGATACAGACACTAAAAACCCCACAAAACATCAATGAATCCAGGAGCTGGTTTTTTGAAAAGATCAACAAAATACTTAGACTGCTAGCCAGACTAATAAAGAAGAAAACAGAGAAGAATCAAATTGATGCAATTAAAAAATAATAAAGGGAATATCACCGATCCCACAGAAATATAAACTACCATCAGAGAATACTATAAACACTTCTATGCAAATAAACTAGAAAATCTAGAAGAAATGGAAAAGTCCTGGACACATACACCCTCCCAAGACTAAACCAAGAAGAAGTTGAATTGCTGAATAGACAAATAACAAGTTCTGAAATTGAGGCAGTAATTAATAGCCTACCAACAAAAAAAAGTCCAGGACCAGATGGATTCACAGCCAAATTCTACCAGAGGTACAAAGAGGAGTTGGCACCATTACTTCTGAAACTATTCCAAACTTAGAAAAAGAGGGAATCCTCCCTCACTCATTTCATGAGGATACCATCATCCTAATGCCAAAACGTGGCAGAGACAAACAAAAAAAAGAAAATTTCAGCCCAACATCCCTGATGAACATTGATGCAAAAATCCTCAACAAAATACTGACAAACTGAATCCAGCAGCACATCAAAAAGCTTATCCACCATGATCAAGTCAGTTTCATCCTAGGGATACAAGGCTGGTTCAACATACACAAATCAATAAACATAATCCATCACATAAACAGAACCAACGACAAAAACCACAATTATCTCAATAGATGCAGAAAAGGCCTTCAATAAAATTCAATACCTCTTCATGCTAAAAACTCTCAATAAACTAGGTATTGATGGAACATATCTCAAAATAATAAGAGCTATTTATAACAAACCCACAGCCAATATCATAGTGAATGGGCAAAAACTGGAAGCATTCCCTTTGAAAACTGGCACAAGACAAGGATGCCCTCTCTCACCCCTGCTATTCAACATAGTATTGGAAGTTCTGGCCAGGGCAATGAGGCAAGAGAAAGAAATAAAGGGTAGTCAATTAGGAAAAGAGGAAGTCAAATTGTCTCTGTTTGCAGATGACATGATTGTATATTTAGAAAACCCCATCGTCAGGCAGGGCGTGGTGGCTCATGCCTGTAATCCCAGCACTTTGGGAGGCCGAGGCGGGCGGATCACGAGGCCAAGAGATCAAGACCATCCTGGCTAACACGGTGAAACCCCATCTCTACTAAAAATACAAAAAATTAGCCGGGTGTGGTGGCGGGCGCCTATGGTCCCAGCCGCTCGGGAGGCTGAGGCAGAAGGGCATGAACCTGGGAGGCGGAGCTTGCAGTGAGCGGAGATCATGCTACCGCACTCCATCCAGCCTGGGTGACAGAGTGAGACTGTCTCAGAAAAAAAAAAAAAGAAAAAGAAAACCCCATCGCCTCAGAAGCAACTTCAGCAAAGTCTCAAGATACAAAATCAATGTACAAAAGTCACAACCATTCCTATACACCAATAATAGACAAACAGAGAGCCAAATCATGAGTGAACTCCCATTCACCATTGCTACAAGGAGAATAAAATACCTAGGAATGCAACTTACAGGGGATGTGAAGGACCTCTTCAAGGAGAACTACAAACCACTGCTCAAGGAAATAAGAGAGGACACAAACAAATGGAAAAACATTCCATGTTCATGGATAGGAAGAACAAATATTGTGAAAATGGCCATATTGCTCAAAGTAATTTATAGATCCAGTGCTATCCCCATCAAGTGAACATTGACTTTCTTCACAGAACTGGAAAAATCTACTTTAAATTTCGTATGGAACCAAAAAAGATCCAGCATAGCCAAGACAATCCTAAGCCAAAAGAAAAAAGCTGGAGGCATTACACTACCTGACTTCAAACTGTACTACAAGGCCATAGTAACAAAAACAGCATGGTACTGGTAACAAAACAGATATATGGACCAACGGAACAGAAGAAAGGCCTCAGAAATAACACCACACATCTACAACCATCTGATCTTTAACAAACGTGACAAAAACAAGCAATGGGGAAAGGATTCCCTATTTAATAAACAGTGTTGGAAAAACTTGATGGTCATATGCAGAAAGCTGAAACTGGATCCCTTCCTTACATCTTATACCAAAATTAACTAAAGATGGATTAAAGACTTAAACAGAAGACCTAAAACCATAAAATCCCCAGAAGAAAACCTAGGCAATACCATTCAGGACATAGGCATTGGCAAAGACTTCATGACTAAAACACCAAAAGCAATGGCAACAAAAGCCAAATTGACAAATGGGATCTAATTAAACTAAAGAGCTTCTGCACAGCAAAAGAAACTATCAGAGTGAACAGGCAACCTACAGAATGAGAGAAAAATTTTGCAATCTATCCATCTGACAAAGGGCTAATATCCGGAATCTACAAGGATCTAAACAAATTTACAAGAAAAAAAACAACCCCATCAAAAAGTGAGCAAAGGATATAAACAGACACTTCTCAAAAGAAGACATTTATGCAGCCAACAGACATATGAAAAAAGCTCATCATCACTGTTCATCAGAAAAATGCAAATCAAAGCCACAATGTGATACTATCTCATGCCAGTTAGAATGGCGATGATTAAAGTCAGGAAACAACATATGCTGGAGAGGATGTGGAGAAATAGGAACGCTTTTACACTGTTGGTGGGAGTGTTAATTAGTTCAACCATTCTGGAAGACAGTGTGGCAATTCCTCAAGGATCTAGAACCAGAAATACCATTTGACCCAGCAATCCCATTACTGGGTATATACTCAAAGGATTATATATCATTCTACTATGAAGACACATACACACTTATGTTTATTGCGGCACTGTTCACAGTAGCAAAGACTTGGAACCAACCCAAATGCCCATCAATGATAGACTAGATAAAGAAAATGCGGCACATATACACCATGGAATACTATCCAGCCATAAAAAAGGATGAGTTTTTGTCCTTTGCAGGGACATGGATGACGCTAGAAACCATCATTCTCAGCAAACTAACACAAGAACAGAAAACCAAATACTGCATGTTCTCACTCATAAGTGGGAGATGAACAATGAGAACACACGGACACAGGGAGGGGAACATCACTCACCAGGACCTGTCGGAGGTGGGGACTAGGGGAGGGATAGCATTAGGAGAAATACCTAATGTAGATGACAGGTTGATGAATGCAGCAAACCACCATGGCATGTGTATACCTATGTAACAAACCTGCACGTTCTGCACCAGAACTTAAAGTATAATTTTTAAAAAAGAGTTTGAATATTTTCTCATTAATTATGCCAAAGAATGAGATTATGTGCAAATATGAATACATAAAACACATTAGCACTTTATTACTGTATTACCAGTAGTTTAAATAAAATGTTCATTTTTATTAATGACAAGAACCACTGTAATGGTACAGTTTATCATGAGTACATCTGGTAAAAATATAATTGTGTTTCTCCATAGATTTCTTCACTGGTGGTCAAAGCAGGGTTCATTAGGCTTTGGTAAATAATGTGTAACTGGCTCTGTCCCTCAGATTTCTGTGATGGAAACCTCAAGGAAGGTCCTACTCTACTATAATAATCCCCAACTATTTGGAGACAATTCATCAGGGGTGTTTCTGCTGTGATTAATAAAAATAATCTGATACATAATTATTTTTCACCTCCTCTGCACTCACTCTCAATCTGGTTCTTTGAGGTCCAAGGCAAAGCACTGTGTCATGGTGCATCCCCATCTCCAGCTGACACCCAGCAATGTAGTGTACAGAGGGACCCAAAACACCTGTTGTGTGATGGTCCCACAGGAGGGAAAGACCAGTGACAGTGTCTGTACTATGTCACAGCCACACTGGGGGTGGCCGACTGGACCACATGCAGGCACCCAAGCCAAACCTGTCCAATTAGAGGACTGCTTCTGTGTTTTCTACACTGGAGGTGGAGGAGCAGGGAGCTGTGAGGAATGAACACTGAGAACTTGTGTCTCTCATTGATTTAGACCTTGGCACATGGGTAGGGACTCTCACTGAATTAAAGAAAGAATGAATAAATTGAGGCACTGTCGTTGGCACATCTTGTCAGCCTAAAGTTGTCTCCCCTCAAGGTGAGGGTCTACAGGACTCTCATTTTATCATTCCACAGGTGACACCTACTCTATTAACCATTAATATATTTACATACACAGTCAAATCTATATAAGCATGGTTTAGGTTTCAACTGGGATCCCATTACCTGACAAAATACACCCCAAAATGAAACAGGGTATTGTGTAAGGAAGTGAGTTCCTCAACTCTCAGAATATTTAGGCAGAGGCTGGAAGACCATCTGTCCCTTCCTTAGGAGGGAGGCTGGGTGAAATGACTCCTAAAGACATTTCCATCTCTAATGTTTTATTTTTCTAGTGACAGCAGAGTAATAAGTGTCATATTTCTAGGTCTTCTAGACCTCAACTTAGCTGAGAATCAGGGCTTCCTTTTGGCAATACCAATTCTAGATACGTTTGCTCTGAAAAACCAATCGTAGTCTTCAATTCTAAGACACAAATTTTTTGTACTAATATCTCTAAACTAGTGATGTGTCTTCTAACCAGTGACTTGTCATTGTTAAATTTCCAGCACTTCGCTTTTTATTCCTTAGTGGCATATAAATGATAGCATGCCTAACAATTGATGATGTCTTAGATTCAATTGAATATGTTAGGTCTTTCACAGGTTCCTCTGATGCAAGCATAGTCAATGTGTTCTGTTGCTTTTCTTGTGATTCTCGAATATGTATATATAATCTACTCTTTTAGCTATATACACACACAGGTTTTGCAGGCAAGCCTGCTGGATACTCCAAGTTCTCAGATTAAAATTTTACCCATCTTGAAAAAAGAAAAATTTTTTTACCCATCTTGTTAACAAAGACTCTTCTACTTCTTAAGTAGTAAGGGACCCAAGTCCCATCTAACTCTCTCCTTGAAATTTCTTCTTCACCAGAGAGAAACTAAAATCCAGAGAGACATTCCAAACAATGTGAATCATTAAGCAAGCCACCAATTCCAGACCTTGAGAATTTCTAAACTGCCTAGGACTGGGGGCTTCCTAACCTGAATCTGTGAGCTGTAGGATATTCTGATTTTGAAATGGAGGGTAAATTTCATAAGAAGAAATGCTTGAAAAACAAAATGCCACATCTCTTACTCCCTGTTCATTTATATTCCTTCCTGGATTCCTATGGCAGATATGCCCTAAGGTGCCCCTGGCGAGTCCCACCCTTCTACAATCCCCTCGAGTTGGGGCAGAATCTGTGCCTTGCTTCTCACCAATAAAATACTGCCAAGGTGACAGGATGTCACTTTAATTATGTTACACTATATAAGACCATCTTAGCCTACTAGAATACGCAAACAGCCATGTGTGACTTGCCTGTGGCAGGACCATGTGGCAGAGAATAGCCTCCACTCAACAACAGGTTAAGAAGCTGAGGCCTTCAGTCACACTGCAAGGAAATGAATCCTGCCAACAATCTGAGTGAGCTCAGAAGTGGATATTTTCTCAGATGAGCCTCCAGATGAGAACACAGTCTGGGGAGACCCTGGCAGAGGGACTAGTCAAGCAGTGCCCAGATTCCTGACCCATGCAAACTGTGAGATAATATGTGTTGTTTTAAGTGGCTACATTTGTGGTAATTTGTTATTGCCGTAGTAGAAAACTAACACAATCTCCCTTCTGCTCCTTTACCTCCTTCTTTCCTTTTTGTCATTGTGTCTGCAAACATTCATTCATCCACTAAATTTATATATATATTTAGAATCTACACTGTTTAAACAGAGGACAAAACGGACCAGGCTTCAAGGATACAATAAGGATTAAAACAAAGTATTTGCCTTCTTGGAATTTACATTCTGATGGAGGAAGACAGACAATAGACACATAAGCAACGATTTTTGATGATAGTGGTAGTTTGAGAAATAAAAATAACAGCGGAATGTGGTTTAATCCCCTCTTATGATTTGCTTTTAATTTTTATTCCCCTTTCCTGTCTCTTTTTCAGTATGGATGACAACTCATTGGATAAAATAAAACTCATGCTATCAACATAGTATATGACCCAATAATTATTCATTTACACACAAAGATGAACAAGTAGTTGAAGGATAAATTATCGTGAGAAGAAAATGTTCCAGGGAGGCTGGAAACATAGAAATGAACAAGAGCTGGTACCAGGACTGTTTTTAAATAAGAAGGTTTTTAATTACATACTTCAACCAGCCCTCTTCTGGCTTTGCTTTTCTGCATAAAGATTTATACCAGCACATTCTGCACATGCAGACAACTTGCACAATCCCCACCAAGAATAACTAACTCTTCTCTCCTCCTCACCTCTTTCTCTCTGTCTTTTAACCAGTTGTATGCAGCATTAAGGAATCTGGGAACCATGTTACAGAAGGATCAGGTGGAGGAATTTGAGTTTTTAGCTAAGCAGAAAGCTAAACCAATGTGCTAACAGGGAATTTAAATCAATGGGCTCAAGTTACAAATAGGTTTCAGACAAGTCTAATTTCTTTAATAGTTGGAATTTGTTCAAAATGGAATGAGTTCCCTAAAAAACTTATCCCTGGTGGGATTCAAGCAGAACCTATCCACCTTCCTCTTATGGTTGTGAGAAGCTATTTCTCTATGGGCTAGAAAATAGGTCCTTTAAGGCCCTTAAAGGACTTTAATCATGTAATCTGAGCTGGAATGTTAAAAGCTAGTGATGAATTAATTTGTTATCCCTCTGTATCTGGGTTCAGTTGCAGAAGACAGAATCTTCTCTAGCTACTTGAGACAGAAAAAAAAATTATTCTGTGTAATTAGGTGGCTGGCAGAAATGCCAAAAGAGCAGGCTCAAGGTTGAGATTTCAAGAACAACTTTTAAAACTACCCATCAGAACTTACCCTCCGAGAGAGCATCTGCCACGTCAGAAAGCAAGCCAAGGGATCAGGGAGCCGCACCACAAATGCTTGTTCCAGTACCACACTGCCTCTGCCATAATTGGCAGCAGCAGAATGGAAGCACCTCCCTCCCTGTGTCCATGCCACCTTCCCTATCCCATGGACATGTGTCTGCCTGGTGAAAGAGGGTATTTGCAGAGCCCAAGATATAAGAAACATAGGCTTCTGGTACAAGGGCGACTCAGTAGGATTGAGAGATACAGGGTTCTCCAAATCCTCCCAAATGTGGTAATTCCCAATTTTAGATTCCTACTCCTTCTCATAAATGCTCAACTTTCACAGGTGATCTGGTGAGGCTGTGAGCTCCACCTGTGTTGTAATTAATATACCCCCCTCCCCCAACACACACACAACAGACACTGCAGATGATTTTGATTATATAAACTCTGCATCAACAAGGGATAAGAGATTATTTTAGGGCAGAAGAAACTCACTAGTTCTCTAAGCCTCAAAATAAAAAATTTGAAATGCCAAGTCTTTTTAAGTTTTCAAATGCTGTTGTAAGTAGCCAGCACATCCCCATGGTCCACGTATTGCTATTGCAACTATATTGTCACTCAGTCCATGAGAGCCATGAGTCCAATTGGCACTTTTTCCAGATTACCCTGGAACTTATGTAACAAAGTTTTGTTTCTCCTGGTCATGATCTACCAGTAGCCCCTCCTGTACCGGTTACTGGAACCCAGGGGCCTTCAAACCCAACTAACCCATGGAATCCCCCCGTTTCCCATCCCTGAATGTTTGTTACCTACAATCACTTCTAGCAGCGATTACTCCAGGTTCAGGGCACACAGCAGAATTCATTCTGGCAAGTTTTAGTATAAAGGAACTTAGAATTTATTATTAGGTGACTTATTTAAAAAAACTAGCATAATTGAGCTGAGCTCCCAGGAATGACTCTCAGAACAATGCAGAACTTGCCCACCTAGACAACTGCTGCCTATGCTGTGATCAGGAAACTGGGATCAAGAAGCCACCAATTAGCACCAAAATTGCCTACTTCTGGTGTTATCAGAAATTAGGTATTAATATTTGCTTCTCAATACCCACAAAGCTGAAACCAGACACTAGGCCCTCTGCTACAAGATGCTATAGAATTTTTTAAAGCACCTCCACAACTATATTTGCCTCACAGTGTTCACTTCCTTCTTCTAATCTTGCATGAGCGTATCAGCTAGGAGAAAGCTGGGTCATTTGTAAAACCAAAACACAAGGGAGTCTAAGAAATGCAGCATTATGTTCAGATTTGCAGCCCCTACCTTTCAGTTAGACACGATATCTGAGTCTCATCCTCAAAGAATCAGCAGCCCGGACATCAGGAGTTTTAAAAGCTTCTCAGGTGACTTAATGTTCAACCAGGTGAAAATCATTGACTCATCAGAGCCCTACTCAGCCACACATAGGCTGTCCTGGGCCAGAGACTTAAAACTAAAGTCATCACAAAGACTCCAAACATCTGTGTGATCAAGAAACTCATGGGAAGTGATCAAGAAACTCATGGGAAGTTTGTTTAGTGAAGACAACCCTATATGCAACACACTTGCCTTCTATCTGGCGAAATTAAGGTATACCTTCTAGTTAGAAGGATTTGCCTAACTTTATAAAACAGACTGGTTGGATTCACATTATGCCAATGTGTAGGAATGCTTCATCTAAACAAGGGATGTCCAATCTTTAAAGGCTTCCCTGGGCCACATTGGAAGAAGAAGAATTGTCCTGGGCCAGAAGGATAGCTGATGAGCTTTAAAAAATCACACACACAAAAAAAAAACCTCATAATGTTTTTAAAAAATTTACAAATTTGTGTTGGGCCGCATTCAAAGCCACCACAGGCTGCAAATTGGAGAAACTTGATCTAAACACTTTTTACATCCATTACAAAACAATTTTTAGGAAACAATTCAGTTCCACACATGTTATTAGGATATACTGCAGGGGTTGAGTATAGAAACACCAATAAAATTATTCCTACTGTCACAGACTCTACAACCTAGCCATGTAAAGTATTCAGAGAGCTTATATTTGCTTTTATTATTACCAACAGATACCATTTGTTGACTATTTGCTATGTACTCAGTACAATCATTTTACAAACATTCTTCATTTAATCCTCACAAGAAAATCTAGTGATATATATACGATTCTTTCCATTTGGCAAATAAAGATTTTGAGGCTCAGAGAGTTAAGTGACTTGCCCAGAATCACACATATGGTAAGTATTAATATTGAGAATCAAACCTAGGCCTTCTGATTGCAAATTGAACGACCACCTAGAATCCCAGTTTGAAAGGCCTAAGGCTAGATAAATGTCACTTTTACCTGGTGACAATTCCATTGTAAATATTCTGACTCCCCAAATAATCAAGTTCCAAATCACCTTGGCCCCACAGGCTGCAGACCTCATTTAATCCTGCCTGCTTTGCTGACTAGAGAGTATAGGGAATCAAAGGAGAAACCCCAGGCCCCACTTCTCTTTCAAAGTTTTGCAAGCCACAGGGACTTTGGGGGGTTATTCCTTCCACATTTGTGTATGACAAAAATGGATCATAGCCTGGAGCAAAGCTTCTGTGCTTGAGTTTGTAACAGAAAAATTAGACGAGTTTCAGCAGAGACTCTACAAAAGCATCTCCAGAAGATGCCACAGCCATGTTTGTTTCTCCAAGACAATAGTCTCATCCCTGGCTGCACATTAGAATCACCTGGGAGAATTCAAAACACCTAGTGGCAGACCCACCACCTAGATCATGCTGTAATCGCACTGGTGTGAGGCCCAGGTGTTGGAAGCTTCCCCAGCAGTCTCCTGTGCATAATCTGAGGATCACAGCTTCAGTGTATTAGGTGCTTCTTAGAACTGCCAACAAAATAAACGTGAATTTCTTGCTTCCTCACCAACAAGGACAGGGAAGAAGATACCAAGAATAGCAGGAGCTCATAGATTCTTTCCCTAGCTCAGCTACTAAAGTGGAAAATAAACCATGCATGCCAAAGTAGGTCCTAGACACTTTAGAGCAAATAGTTGGCAAAATCACAACATGTGTACTGCAATAGCACTGGGAGAGCATAAGAGGACTTTTTAAATTGTTACGTCTTTAAGCACTTATCTATGTCTGACACAAATGATAAAAAAACAAAAATAATAAGGTAAAAACATGCAAAATAAAAGCAAACTAAACCATAATGCAATGTGATTTCACTCAGTGCCATGGGAGTATCTGTTCATTTATTCATTAGATATTCAATATGCACATACTGTGTGCCAGGCAGAGTCCACCATGGCCAATGCGGGTGAACAAAACAGTTTATCTCTACTTTCATCAACCTTACAGCTTATGGGAGAGATAGATATTAAACAGATAAGGATGTATATAACTCTGTATTAGTCTGTTCTCACACTGCTATTAAGAACTACCTGAAACTTGGTAATTTATGAAGAAAATAGGTTTAATTGACTCACAGTTCCACAGGCTGTAGACGGAGCACAGACAGGAGGCCTCAGGAAACTTACAATCTTGGCAGAAGGCGAACAGGAAGCAGGCACAATTTACCACGGCAAATCAGGAGAAAGGAGAGAGAGAGAAGGGGAAAATGCCACACACTTTTAAACAGTCAGACCTCATGAGAACTCATTCACTATCATGAGAACTACGAGGAGGAAATCAACCCCCATGATCCAATCACCTCCCACCAGGCCCCTCTCCTGACACGTGGGGATTACAATTCCCAATGAGATTTGGGTGGGGACACAGAGCCAAACCATATCAAACTCTAGGTCAAATATGTATGATAATTGGTAGAGTAGAAATGAGCAGGCTGCTACTCTGAAAGAAAATTAGTAAAGGCAGGGAGAGGGTCAAAATATAGATTTGGAGGATCTGAAAAGACAGACCTAAAGAGTGGCTGGGAAGAAACTCACCAGTCTAATAGCTTATGTAGGCTGAGGAAGAAAAGAGAATAACATATGAGGTATCCCAGAGGAAAACTGCAAAAAAAAAAAAAGGCTAAAAGCTTTTCCTCTAAGATCATAAGCAAGACATGTGTACCTGCTCTTGACTCTTCTATTCAACATACTACAAGAAGTCCTTGCCAGGGCAAATAGGCAAGAAAATGAACAAAAAGTACCCAAATTGAAAAATAAGTTATATTGTCTGCTTGCAGATGACATTATTTTATGTATAGAAAACCCTAAAACCCTAAATACTCCACCAAAAACTGTTAGAGCTAATAAACAAATTCAGTAAAGTTGCAGGATACAAAATCAACGCGCAAAAATCAGTAGCATTTCTCTATATTAATAATGAACAATCTCCCCAAAATTAAGAAAACAAGCTCATTTACAGCAACATCAAAAAGAATAAAATACTTAGAAATAAATTTAACTAATAAGGTAAAAGATCTGAACACTGAAAATTGTAAGGCATTCAGGAAAGAAATTGAAGACGCTAGGCCCAGTGACTCACACCTATAATCCCAGCACTTTGGGAGGCTGCAACAAGAAGATTGCTTGAGGCCAGGAGTTCAAGACCAGCCTGGGTAACCTAGTGGGACCCCGTATCTAAAAAAAAAAAAAATTAAATTAAAATTGAAGAAGACACAAATAAATAGAACAATATCCTGTGTGCATGAATTGAAAGAATTAATATTGTGAAAATGTCCATGTCTCCCAAAGCAATCTACAGATTGATTCAATGTAATCCCTATTAAAATTCCAATGACATTTTTCACATTAATAGAAAAACAATCCTTAAAATGTGTATGAAACTAAAAAGGACCCCTAATAACCAAAGCAATATTGAGCAAAAAGAACTAAGATGGAGTCGGGCACAGTGGCTCACGCCTGTAATCCCAGCACTTTGAGAGGCCAAGGCGGGTGGATTGCTTGAGCCTAAGAGTTCAAGACCAGGCTGGGCAACATAGTGAAACCCTGTTTCTACAAAAAATACAAAAATTAGCTGAGCATGGTGGCATGCACCTGTAGTCCCAGCTACTCAGGAGGCTGAGGTTGGAAGATCACCTGAGCCTAGGAAGTCGAGACTGCAGTGAACTGTGATCACACTGCTGTAATCCAGCCTGGGTGACAGAGTAAGACCCTGTCTCAAAAAGAAAAAAAGAAAAAGGAACTAAGATGGAGGCATCACACTGATTTCAAACTATATTACAAAGGTATATTTATCATAACAGCATGATACTAGCTGGGATTTCAAACTATACTACAAAGGTATAGTTACCAAAACAGCATAGCACTGGCATAAAAATAGACATATAGACTAATGGAACAGAATAGGAGCCCAGAAATTTATCCTCTCATATACAGTCAACTAATCCTGAAAGTCTTCAGAAGTACACAATAGGGAAAGAATAGTGTCTTCAATAAATGATGTTAGGAAATCTGGATAGCCACATGCAAAAGAATGAAATTGGACCCTTATATTACATCAAAATGCATTAAAGTTTCTTTTAGGAGTTTTACAGTTGCCCCTAAAGGAAAATGGGAAAACTCCTTCACATTGGTCTTGGCAATGATTATTTAGACATGACACTAAAAGCATACAGAAGCAAAAATAAACAAGTGGGACTACACCAAACTAAAAAGTTTCTGCACAGCAAAGAAAACAATGAAAATGAAAGGGCAACCTACAAAATGGGAGAAAGCATTTTCAAACCGTGTGTATGACAAAGGTTTGATTAAAATCCAAAATATATAAGGTACTCACACAATTCAATAGCAAAAATCAAATAGCCCAATTAAAAAATGGGAAAAAACCTGAATAGACAATTTTTCAAACAAGACATACAAGTAGCCAACAGGTATATGGAAAGGTGCTCAACATCACTCTACAGCATGGTGACTACAGTTAGTAACACTGTGCTGTTTACTTAAAATTTGATGACAGCATATTTTAAGTGTCTTCACACCACACTCACACACACACACACACATACACACACACAGTAACTATGGGTAGTGATGAATGTGTTAATGAAATATTTTTTTTACAGGAATGCAAGGTGGGGAATGCAGAATCGCCAGGGCCCCTCACAGAGTCTTGGAAGGGCAAGGGCAATAAGAAGCCTTGAGGGTTAAGCTTGAGTGGCTTCATGGTAAGCCTGCCTAGATACCTCTATTTGCATCCTGCTCCTATTGCCTTGAGTTGGGTGAATGCTTCCCAATGGAACTGCCTAATTAAGACCTAACACTCCCTTCTAACCACACTCATTCCCATTTGGGCCAGCATCCAGAAGAAAGCAATAGTGTAGGCAGTCAGGACTCATTTGGTCTTTAACAAATGTACATGTATTTATTAGATTAAATCTTAAAGTATCATCTTCATTGACTATTATAAAGCACTTAGCAGTCTATGGGCATGACCCAAGGAGTATTTCACATCTACTGTGTACCAGATTCTGAGGCTACAGCTATGAATTAGATAGACACACTTGTTGGTCTCAGAAATTGAGCATTTTTCATCTGTCTTAGCAATTTTTGATAAAGAGAAAGCTGAGATTGTGACATCCTATAAAAGCAGGACAATCTCCAAGACTTTCATAGAAAGACTGGCTTGTGAGAGAAATGGGTGCACTTGACCCCTAGGATTCTGCTGCTTGCTGCATCTTTGCAAATTGTGTGTGTGTGTTCATATACACATATATATTATGTACAATAAACAACCATTCCTCTGTGTAAGACAGTTTAGGTGGAGTTAGCAATTAGTTAAGTTTGATTTTATAAGTGGAAATAGAGCCTGGATTAGGAAGTAAAGGGCAGAATTTCTGTAGGTGGGGTTGTGGTCATGTGGTAATGGTCTTTTTCAGCAAAGAAGGCTAGGAGCAGGATTTGGCTATGGCTGGCTGAAAGCTGGATTCCTGTGAGCTGATTCTGAGTAACCAACTGCCCTAAAGTAACTCAGGTGACTAATGACTGTGAGAGAGAAATGGGTCAGCTCTCATTTTTTAAAAAATGCTTTTAGAGGGAGATATATCCTCAATTATTATCATTTATCTACTTACTGCATAAAAGTAAAGTGTAGGTTAATACGAGTTCAGGTTGAAGGTCCAACGTATTGACTTTGAATGCCCCTGCAATGAGGGCAAGTTGAAGAGTTTATAAGTTTAAATACCTTGGACACAGAATATGAATCATTTAAAATCTACTGTTTTCTCCCTTTCCTCTTCTCCTACTGTATAGTAGTATCTCAAATGGCATCTGTTCAATGACCTCCAAATAGTGCCTGGACCAGAATGATATATAGTAGTTTCTCCCAGAGTAATCCTAATCATCATTGTCTCAACTGGCTGAAGTACATTCAACGCACCCAAAATTCCTGTTGCTTCCTTCCAGTATGAATTAACTTTATAGTGCCTAATTACCTGGTGCAAGGTAAATGCCTTTAATAAAATGCTCTGGCATGATCTGTCTTTGAGATTACTCTGACAGATTTTGGTATACGACTCTAGGTGACCGGGGCTCTGTATCCTTACATGTCACCTCCTATTTTTAGATAAAACAGAAATATAAGGTAATTTGGAATATATTAGGGGCATAAAGAATCTAGAAAACCACACCTTAGAGACTTCATCAAAATGAAGAATGCAAAAGAAAGTGATTTTGCTGGAGTTTGGCTTTTTATTTCTTAACTTTGTGCATAAAACATTCCTTTGAGCCTGCAGAGTTGGGTCTAAAAAGTACCATTTATTCTTTAATATTTATTGAACACCACATAGGTATAGGGCATGACTCTGAGAGACACACAGAAACATAAAATGCAGGCTCTGCCCTTGAGAAACATAGTCTGCTTTGGAAGCACAAGACAGGTAGATGTAAGAAATATAAATTGCAGGCCCAGCTGAACACCAGGAGGAGCACAGATAATTTGGGTCACAGGAATTCAAACACCAATCATAGTCCCTAAGAGCTTTTGGGTGGACATTGGGGTTGGAAAATATTGATGGAAAGGAAGGGGGGTATTTGGGTTAAAGTATAGACTTATAAGAAGATGGATTTTAAGCAGTTGAGGTGGTCAAGGGAAGGACAAAACATACATGGTTTGTGTTAGGGTTTGGCCAACAATATAACACCAGGCTTGGATGATATTTGAGGATGACTCTCCTGTGGGTACCTCCTTCACTTCATCCCATCACTGGAAACCTGTCACCAGCAGATGCCTGGTTGGAGGAGACATACTCTTCTCTGAGCCACTGCTTAACCTTCCCCAGCTGCTAGGAATTGCCAGAAACAAACCAGATAGTATTGCAGAGGCCTTCCCTACCCTGTTTTGAAATTAAAGTTCTCAAATATTGAAACGTCATTAATTCAGCCATTATGAAGATGCCTTACTTTCCATAATATCAGAATACTAATGATCTAAAAAGTTATTAAAAGGTAGAACTCCTTTATTTGAATAAAAGTTATGGGTGGCAGGAAGGGAGAGCATCAGGAAGAATAGCTAATGGATTCCGGGCTTAATACCTAGGTAATGGGTTGATCTGTGCAGCAAACCACCATGGCATAGGTTTGTTACCTATGTAACAAACCTGCACATCCTGTACATGTACCATAGAAATTCAGATAAAAGTTGAAGGAAAAAAGATTCAAAACAAAATAAACGAAAATAAAAACTAAAAGAAAAAGAAAAAGAAAAAGAAAACCCAATCAGAGACCAGCCTAGGACCAAAAAACTTACAACCGCACAATTACCATCAGGACTCTGGGAAACTATACAGTGTGAGTCCTGGACTCTCCAGGGACGCTGCATTGGTCCAGCCTCCTGACCTCTCCCCTCTCAGGTCCCAGGCCCTTCACATCCTGGGCTCCAGGGTGCTCATCTGCAGCTGCAACCCTCACTTCCTGAACAGTCCTAAAGCTATCTTTACTTGTCTCATGGGTCACTCAAGAAACCTAATACCATGGTATACTTCCCTGCAAATGCCCTTTTATCTTCTGAGAGCACAGCAAATATTAACATTTTTTTTTTCCTGGAGAATACCCCTTAGTATAGGGTGTAATGCCAAATTCCACCAAGAACTTCCATGGAGGCATCAGGTATTGTCCCAAATGTGCCCCACACTAACCTCCCACAGTATCTAACATCTAGTTTCTCCCCAAATTCCCCCAAAAATGGACCTGCTGCTACACTGGCCATGATGTTGGCCAAGTGTGAGAGTCAGGGTAGATGACTTGCAATTGGGATTTTTCCAGTCAGCCCTCTGGATCCATTTTCCACCCTTCTCTGCCCTGCCATGTACCCCCAGAAGACGGCTCTTTGCATGGCATGATCGGCACTTGCCCTCTCTCTGCCTTCCAGTTGAGTTCAGCCAATCCTCCTACTGACAGGAGCTGTGAGAGGTGTGAGGCATTTATTCCCTTCACCCCTCCATGTCTGGTTTGGCTTGGGTAGTGGTTGCTTTCCTCTACACAGGGCCACAGCTTTTGCCTGAGGCCTCTAATCAGCTTTAGGAATAGTTCCCACTCCTTGACAATTCAGGTCTAAAGACAGTAACGATGTCTCACTGTTGCTGACCCCAGGGAGCTTCACCTTTGGGTGTGCCATCGGATACCTACCAGGGACAATTCAGGGTGGTGAAAACTAAAGGGTCACCCAAGCCAAAATCCACTGAGGAAAGCCAACTTTCAACTACATGGGAGAATAGGTCCTAATGTCCATACCAAGAGTCAGACCAGGAATCAAAGTAGGAGATGCAAAGCCAGAAGGCCAGAACCTAGAAAAGATAGGACCAAACACACCCAGTCAGAAACAAGCAAAAGTGCTGCCAAAAGGATTGACAATGGGAAATTATCCTCAACTTTCTAGCAGCAGGTATAAATTGCCTGAATAATACAGACTAGCTTCAAGGATGAGGGACACAATGAATCCTGTAATTCCCATGTAAGATTTAGTTTTTCCTTCTCCAAGAGCTGAATATTATGATACACATGCCTCAGGGAAGAGCTTTAAGTCAAGGGATCTAACCCTAATGCCCAAGATGTGCAAGGGTATGCACTTCTGGGCAAAGAGTCCATAGCATTCATTGAATTTGAAAAGGGATCTGGGGACAAAAATGATAATCATTTCCAGTTAAACCTATTTTACCACTCAGCGTTATTTTTTCTTGGAAAATATCTCAGCTCCTGTCTACTATCTCAGCACCAACACTGTGTACCAGAAGGATGGTACACCTCAACTCTGCATAGACAGAAGGTCCTCCTGACCTTGCCTTTCTCTTTCATTTGGCTGTTCGAGTTGTATTCTTTATGATAAAACTGTAACCATCATAAGCATGGTGGCTTCAGAGAGCTCTGAATTATCCTAGCAAATTATTGAATCTTAAGGGGATTATGGGAAGCCCCAGATTCATAACCAAATAAGACAAAAGCATGGGTGGCAAAGGCACGACCAGTACTTTTGGCTGGTATTGGAAGTGGGAACAGCCTTGTGGGGCTGAGCGCCTTAACCCATGAAGTCTGTGTTAACTTCAGGTAGTTAGTGTCAGAATTGAATTGAACTGTAGAACACCTAATTGGTGTTGGAATGTAACACTGAACTGGAATCAGCCAGATTACAGGTTGGAGTCTGGGGAAACAGGACAAAAAGAGAGAGTCCTATTTTGTACTGTATTTTGTATTTTTGTCCCCCCAGGGGGACACCTGTAATTGTGATTGTTGAGTGTTAATGTGTTTAATTTTGAAGATCAGGATGTCTTGAAAAGCTGGGACATGCTGGGGCAAAGATGCAGTAAGTGCTAAAGGCTCTACCGAGGAAATAAAAGTGATTTTCAGAGTTGGCAATGGCTGGCACTGGAGCAGCGTGGAGATGCAGAGCTGTGGCAGGGGAGCTTGGGGAGGCTGAGACAGGAGAAGGCTTGCAACAGGAGCTGCAGGAGAAGAGTTCCTGGAAAGGATCTCTCTGTGGCCTTGGTATGACTCAAGAAAGGTATGACTGATACTCCCAGCTTGAGCACACCCTGCTGCTTCTCTTGACAAAACTCGACCACAAACTAAGCTTCTAGAATGGGTTGTGGAGAATTCAAGAAGGGGCTACATTCTGCGCTGGGGAAGTGTAGACCTAGGGAGATGGAAAATGTGTGAGATATTCAAAGCAGTAAAGCAGTAGCAATATAACACCAGACAAGAAGTGACCAAGAGAGCTTTAGACTACAGAAATCTATTAAAATATTGGTCTTGGACTTCATCCATGATGTGGATGTATCTGAAAGCCATTGCATGTGACTTTCACAGGACAGGGTGAAATCTGACACCCTCAGTGAAATAACTTGAAAAATCTGATTACATGTGAGAATGACATGCCTTGCCCTGTTCACTGCTACTCATTCCAGGGGAGTAGCAGTGCTGGCCAAGAAGAGGGGCTTTTCATTTCTGTTAAAAGATGCAGTAGAGTTCCAGCTTCTGGCAATGATGGAATAGTTTGATCCATCCTTAACCTTCCTGCAGATAGCAATTATTAAATCTGGACAAATTATTTATAAGACAACAATTACCTGAAAGCATTGTGGAGTGACCAAATCATGCAGGCAGTGAAGGAGATTACCTGTGCAGGGGGCACCACAATGGGTGAGATTTCTGAGTTTGTAGCTTTTCACTTAAAGGCCTTCTCCAATAAGCAGTAGGTAGTAAAAACCAAAAATTGGTACAAGGTCAAATAGGAAATCTGAAAGGCCCTTTATCTATCAAAGAAATTGAATTTATAATCAAAAGCTTTCACAAAGTAAATTTCAAGCTCAGATGGTTTTACTAGCGAATTCTATTAAATCTAAGGAAGAAACTATCAACCTTACACCAACTCTTTCAGAAAGCAGAAGAAAAAAGAACACTTCCCAAATTATTGTATAAAGCCAATAAAACCCTGATACCAAACTTGGCAAGGACGTGTATGAAATTTATTACAAGAAGATAAAGATCAATACCCCTCATGATCATGTTCATAAAAATTCTTAACAAACTATTAGCAAGTTGATCCATCAATGTACGACAAGGATAAGATCATGACCAAGTGGCAATTACAAACAGGAATGCAAGCTAACATTTAAAAATCAAACATTTAAATTGACCATATTAACAAAATAAAGTAAAAACTATACATGGTCATCTCAATAGACTCAGAAAAATCACTGGAAAAAATTCATCAGCCATTCATGATTTTAAAAGTAAACAAGGCTGTGCATAGTGGCTCATGCCTGTACTTTCGGAGGCCAAGGTAGGAGGATCACTTGAGCCAGGAGTTTGGGACTAGCCTGGGAAGCATAGTGAAACCCCTTCCCCATAAAAAAGAAAAAGAAAAGGAAACAACAACAAAAAAGCCCCACAACAACAACAAGGACATTTAGTTAACTTAGAATAAAGGGGGATTTACCTCACATGTTAAAGGACATCTATGAACATCTTTAAGCTAGCAGCTTCTAGCAATCTTCAAAACAGGCATGAAGATTGGAAAATAAGTAAAACTTACCCTATTCATAGATGACAAATTTCTATATAAAAAATACCCTAGGGAATCTAATTTTTAAAACTATTAGATCTAATAAATGCTATTAGCAAAGCTTTAGATTCAATGTAAAAATCAATGCATATTTGTGTATTTCTGCAGCAAAAAAGAACACGGAAAACTATTGTTAAATGAAAATTTTTCTCAAAATAATATACAGAATTCAACTCAATCACAATCATAATTCCATAGAAATTGATGAACTTATTCTAAAATTTATATTAAATTACAAAAGGCCTAATACAGTCCAGAAACAGACCCATATATACATGGTCAATGGACCTTTCTACTATAAATGAAAGCAGTTAATGGCCAAAGATCAGATTTTTCAACAGATATTGCCAGACCCACTTGAATATCCATAAAGAAAGAACTCAATCTTGACCTCTACTTCACTCAATAAACAAAAACTAATTCAAAGTTGATATAAGAATTAAATAATGAATAATATAGGTTTTACAAGAAAGCAGAATAGCGTCATGAACTTGGGGTAGAAAACCATTTCTTAGGAGGAGAAAGCAGTAAACAAAAAAGAAAAAAAAATGATCAGTTGCTCTTTATCAAAATTTAAAATCTTAGTTCACCAAAAGACACCAGTAAGAAAATGAATGGGGCAAGGCATAGATTGTGAGAAAATGTTCTTAAAATATAGATCTGAGAAAGGTCTTGTATTCAGAATATAGGAAGAATTGTTGGAACTTCAGTCCTAAAAAGACAAAGAAATAAAAGATAGGCAAAGGCACTTCTCAAGGAAAAAAATACCAAAGACCAAAAAGCACACTTGAAAGTGCTCAACTTTAGGCTGGACCTGATGGCTTAAATCCCAGCAACTTGGGAGGCTGAGGTGGAAGGGCAGCTTGAGGCCAGGAGTTTGAGGCCAGCCTGGGCAACACAGCAAGACCCCATCTCTAAAAAAAAAAAAAAAGCTCTCAGCCTCTCTGCGCAATTATTATTCAGGGAAATACTAATTTAAGCATGAGATATCACTGACATCCCCACTAGAATGAAATTAACAAGAACAAAAATACCAAATCTCAGAGAAGGTAGGGAAAAACAGACACTCATATTTTCTTGGGATAGAATATGAATAGTACAATCACTCTGGAAAAAAGACAGTTAAATGTACACATGCTATTACATCTAGCTATTCTATTCCTCCGTATGTCTAAGAAAAAAAATGTATGTTCACAAAAAGATTTACACACAAGGATCATAGCAGCTTTATTTACTAACAGCCAAAAGCTGGAAACAACAAAAAAGCCAACAACTGGAGAATGGAAAGACATAACGTGGAGTATCCGCACAATGGAATAGTACTCAGCAATAAAAAGGAATGAACTACTTACACAATGACATGGGTGAACATCACAGATATTATGCTGAGTGAAAGAAGCCAGATCTAAAAGACGACATACTATATGATTCCCTTCATATATATTTCTAAAACAGACAAAACTAATTTCAGGTGAAAAAGAATACAGGTAACCTATAGAGAGGATGCAATTAGGTAGGATATGATGGAACTTTCTGAGATAATGAAATGGTCTATATTACGAGGAAGATGTTGTTACATGGGTTCATCCATTTCTCTAATGTATATGGCTGAGATTTATGCATTTCAAAGTATGTAAAATTTACCTTAACAAAAGAACTCTTTTAACAACATCACTGCTATGGGACGTGGATTGGAGATTACTTACCGATCATACAATAATGGTAGAATGTTGATAATTTTCAAAGCTAGGTGATGGGTACATGGGAGTACATTATGCTATCACAATTCTTTTGTAAATGTCTTAAAGTTTGCATAACCAAAGTTTTTCAAATTTACTGGAGTTGTGAGTAGCCCTTTCACTTTTTTGTTAATAAAACTGAAATAGGAAACACCACAACCTAAAATTCCAACCACTGCTGTCTGAGCTCTCAGATCAGAGGTAGTGATGGTGTTGTAGGAGGGAAGAGAGGTGAGAGAGGTGGTTAGGAGAAGGTGGACTCACAGGATCCTAGGAGGAGTGGAGAGGGTGGGTGGGAAAAGGAAGATGAAAGGGAATGGGAAAATGGAGGTGGTGGTGGAAGAAGATGAAAGAGTCATGGGGACACTGAGCTCCCTGGTTTAGGCAACAGGAGCAGAGGAGTGAAAAGAGAGATGTAGTCTTGGGACACATGCTCAGAGGACAGGGCAGGGTGCTGAGGCAATCCCAGAGCAGTCCTGGGTCAGGGTGGACCCTGAAAAGGATACCTTCTGTTAGGGTCGTGCAGTGGACTGAATGTTTATGTCCCCCAAATTTGCGTGTTGAAACCCTAATCAGAATGTGATGGTATTGTGAGGTGGGGCTTTTAGGATGTAATTGTCATGAGGGTGGAGCCCTCCTGAATGGGATTAATGCCCTTATAAATGACCAGCAAGCTAGCTAGCTCTTTCCACCTTGTGAGGATACAACATTGCTGTCTGTAGACCAGGGTGAGACCCTTACCAAGAACCCAACCCTGCTGGACCTTGATAGTGGACTTCCCAGCCTCTGGAACTGTGAGAAATAAACGTTTAAGCCATCTGGTTTATGGTATTTTGTTATAGCAGTCTGAGCTAAGACAGGTCACCTACCTATCATCTGAGTTGTGTCCCTGTCACAAAACCCCATTGAGTTCAACTAAGACATTTTCCCTATAGGGTCCTTGGTTTAGAGGAAAGAGGAAATGCCTTCCTTCCTGGGCCAGTAGTGTCACCCTGGATGTCCTAAGCACAAGAGCAGAGTACACTCAAGTTTATGGAGAAATGCCAAGCCCTAGCCAAGCCTGCCCTGTGATGAGCACCCTCACACACCACATAACGTATACCCAGGTACCCTCTGGCATGGAAGCCATTATCCACATTTTCAAGCTGAGGAAACAAGCAGAAACTAAAGTCTACTTGATCTGAAAGTCAATCACCATGTGTCCCTTGGTCTGGGCAGAATTCCTTGGTCTGTGACACTTAACACCTGCTTTTTGTGTTCTCAGCAGCAGCCTGGGCATGGCCATGCGAGCTCCCAAAACACAGTTCCTCAGGCCCATCAAACCTCCCCAAACCCATCTCAAATCCCCCAGTATTCCTTCACCTCCTCAAAATGAGCCCTTCCCCCTCCCTGACTTTGCACAGGCTGTTCCCTTACCTGAGTGTTCACACTCCCTTTTTGCATGGCTGGTACCTTCTCAGTCCTCAGGTCCCAACTCACATCCCCTCCCCAGGGAGAATTCCCGTCTGCGTTTCTTCAGGGGCTTCTCCCTAATATTATTTTTTTTTTTTGAAGCTCTTACTTGTTTCCTTCAGGACAGTTACACTATCTGATAATATTTTGTTCCAGAATGTAAGTTCCTGATGACAGGCACCACCTCTGTCTTGTTTAGTGGGAATTACCCACTGGGATTACTTCTTGTTAAGAAGTTCTTTTAAACACAAAACAGGATGGCTAACAGCTTTCCAGTTTTCTTGCAGTGAAATGTCTTAAACCTCAAAGAATGTGGGCTCTGGATGGGCCCTCTGCAGAACCACAGAAAAGCATGGCATTGGTGAAGATTCTCCATTTCCCAATGAGGCAGAAACTGAAATATAAATGAGCTTCTGCCTCTAATCCTGATGATGATAATGATGATGGTGTGGTGGGGATGGTAGTGATGATAGAGGCACTGATGACAATTAAGTTGCCTTATTACATGCCAGGGACTTCACACATTATCTCCAACCCTTTGAACTACCCTGCATGATGGAGATATATACATACATTAGAAAACTATAATTCAAAAGATACCTGAAGTCATTCTATGTCTAAGATAGACAAATGTCACGTTGACACTGTTACAGCCTCATTCTCCCAGAGGTTTCGGTTACAATGTTCTCTAAAGAACCCATTAAAGGCCCAGCGCGGTGCCTCATGCCTGTAATCCCAGCACCTTGGGAGGCCGAGGCAGGTGGATCACAAGGTCAGGAGTTCAAGACCAGCCTGGCCAACTTGGTGAAACCCCGTCTCTACTAAAAATACAAAAAAAATATATTAGCCGGGTGTGGCGGCAGGTGCCTGTAATCCCGGCTACTCGGGAAGCTGAGGCAGAGAGAACTGTTTGAACCCCGGGAAGCGGAGGTTGCAGTGAGCCAAGATCACACTACTGCACTCCAGCCTGGGTGACAGAACAAGACTCTGTCTCCAAGAAAAACAAACAAACAAACAAACAAACAAAAAGAACATATTAAAACATACACACACATAAATACACCTCCATTTCTCCCACTCTCCTCATCCTTCACACTGGAACAATAATAAGCCTCCAAAACCATATTGAAATCAAATAGTAGATTTATTGGCTGTCTCTGTAATACAATGTGGTGAAAACATCTTAATTCAGGACATCTTCCACCTTGTTTTGGCTTCCAGTTGTACTGCAAGACCAGTGTCAGGCACATAGGCTGATTAATCAGTGGACAACAGAAGCAAACTGCTGCTGGGTTACATGTCTACGTGATCCATTCCACAGTTTTAGGAATTTTTTTTTTCTTTCATAGCATCTTCCTCTTTTCAAATTCCTTCAGAAACAGAAGAGAGAGAGAAGAGAGATGGAATGAATAAAGATAAAAGATCCAAATCACATTTAGGATCAAAATGATTTTGAAACCTATTATCTTTAGGATCCCCTGAACAATCAAATTACAGAAGAAAAATGTACCAGGATGAGGGTGTTTGAACACAGAATAACAGCTTTCAAAATCAGTCTGTGTCAGCCTGAATTTCACGAAACAGATGCAGAGCTTCAACTTTACATTTCCTAAATCCAGAAGCAGAGAGGGAGGTTTTGAATAATATTTATTTTTTCACAGCAGTATAATAACAATAATTTTGGGAGCTGAGAAACTTCATTATGCTTCTGTAGTGCTATATACATGAACCCTTCTAAGAAGGCAATGGAAACAGGTTTGCTCAGTTTCTCAGAGAATAAAGCTAAAGACAGATTGTTACAAGGATTTGAACAAAATGTCAAGAACCTTAGAAATACCTGAAACAAACAAATATCTTAAGCAAAGTAGTGTTTAAGGAAACAATACCAAAAATCATATTTTTCTAGATTGTAACAATTAGGATAAAATGTGTAGATCCCTGCTGCCACTTACTGGAAGAAAATGGTAACACACATCTCCAATGTGAATTTAAGCATTTGCTTTTCTCCTTACCCCACCTTCAAATAAAATTATTTCTCACTCTCACTAAGCACCTAGATTTCTTTCAAACACTTTGGCACATAGTGTTATATTCCAAGAGCAGGATCATGCAAAGATCAATAAAAAAAGGAGTCCACTTTATTTATCTCTAAGACAAGGGCAAAGAAGACCACCAAATCAGGATTTTGAAATTCTCTCTGAATGCTGTTCCCTTCTAGGAAACCAACTGGTACCTATTTTCAGCATGCTTAAGAGGAGATTTTTTGTTGTTTTTTGCTTTTTGTGTGTGTGTGGCAGGGGTATACCATCATAAAAATAATGAGGGAGAGAGAGCCTTAAATGATCACTCAAAGAGACAAGCTGAAAATCAGTGCAAAGAGATTACAAAAGACATCAAATTACTTAGAATATTTAAACCCATAATGTCCTATTAAAAAAGGAAAAGCAAAACAAACAAACAAAAAACCAAAAACAAACCAAAAAAATGGTTAACAATGGTATCACAACATAGCCAGGGCCAATCTCCCCATCCTCTTTAGATCTCCCTCCACCCAAACTCCTTCTTCATCCAATTTCCATTTCTTGTTACTCAGCCTCCAACCTCCTCTCCCTAGAAACAGAAACCCATGGGGTCAGGGTGGCTATATCCCAAAGGAAAAAACAAGTAACAAAACATAAAGCAGTTCTCTGCACAGCTACCTTCCAAACTCTCAAAATGGAAATCATGACACTTACGATCTTCAAGATGCTTTTTGTGTATGTTGTATCTTGCCACTTACAAAAATAAAAATCCCAATGTTTAAAGAAGAAAGCTTTAAAATAAGAACATTATTCCTGGTCATGCCTAATTAGGGCACTAGGACATCAATAGAGTTGATACAAACTATTAAGCTGCACATCAGAAAACCAATTAAGTCCCAGAAGCAAAGGCCATGATTTCCAGGTATCCAGTGTGGCCACACACAGAGAAAGCCTGCAACCTCAGAGCACCTGGGCCACTGTTGGAGCTCACCTTGTAGATCGTGGTTCCCAGCTGTGCAGGAGACATACTGACCACAACTCCTGCACTCTGAAGGGCAGAGATCTTCTCTTTAGCTCCACCTTTTCCTCCAGCAATAATTGCCCCGGCATGACCCATTCTTCTCCCAGGAGGAGCAGTTAAACCAGCAATGAAGGACACTACAGGCTTGGAATTTGGACCCTAGAAAGAAAGTAATATTTTAAATGCTCTAATGAAGAAGTCAATCAAAACGGGACCTCAAATTCATGACTCTGCTGGTAAATGGTAAATGGCTTGGGCAGGGGAAAGCCCACCATTCATCTTAGGAAAACCAACACAAATATTAAACCATGATTGAAACCACTGCATTCTCCTTTGAGTTAACTTTCCATACAAACTCAGGAATACAACACTGTGCCAATGTCCGTATCTGTTCAATATAAAACTTCCACTTCACAAATACACATGACGCTATCATTTGAAAAGTAAAAGAGCATACTGGAAAATATGATTTGCGATAATAATAATTTAAGACACAAGACTGGGTTGCTTTACTTCAACCTAATATTATGCCTTAATTCATTATTAGTTCACCCTTAATAAATGTGCTAAAAGAAAAAGATGAGGTGGGAAGTATACTGGAAAGGACCTAGGACTTAATTTTCTAGTAACAAAAGCTGCACGACCTTGGACAAGGCTTCTTGAGAACCAGACTTCTGCTTCCTCATCTATGAAATGAAATGGCCAAACTGGATTGATGCCCAAAAGCCCTTTCCACTCTGGAATTCTGTGTCTAAGAGGGAAGATCAGAATTGGTTTTATTCAGCAAAAATCCATTCTAATGTACAATCTCTATATACTAGATTCTGAGGTTTAAAAAAAAAAAAAAAGAAAATATAAAAATGTCTGTACTCTAGACATGCAAAGTAGTTGAAGAAATAATATAAAATATGTATATACCTCAATCCATTAAGAGATACCATAGGCCAGGCATGGTGGCTCAGGCCTGTAATCCCAGCATTTTGGGAGGCCGAGGCGGGCAGATCACGAGGTCAAGAGATCGAGACCATCCTGGCCAACATGGTGAAACCCCATCTCTACTAAAAATACAAAAATTAGCTGGGCATGGTGGCTCGCGCCTGTAGTCCCAGCTACTCGGGAGGCTGAGGCAGGAGAATCGCTTGAACCCGGGAGGCGGAGGTTGCAGTGAGCTGAGATCATGCCACCGCACTCCAGCCTGGCGACAGAGCAAGACTCTGTCTTAAAAAAAAAAAGATACCATAAACTAATATATGAATATATGATTAAGTTTCATAATTAATGGTAATATCATGTTCATAACAGAAGTCCAGAGATAATAAGGAACCAGGTAAAACAGAGAGGACTGAAAAGGCAGAACTTGAGCACAAGTGGAACCTGAGAGCTTTCACTTAGGTACCATCATCTTCCCCTAGACCAGCAGTTCTCAGATCATTTGGTCTAGGGATCCCTTATACTTAAAAGAATTATTGACGATCTCAAAGAGCTTTTGTTGATATGTATTATATCTAATGATATTTAGTATATTAGAAATTAAAACAAATTTTATAAATATTTGTTAATTCACTTAAAAATAACATTTTAACACTTTAAAAACCATTCTAGTGAGAAGAGTTGCGTTATTTTACCACTTATATTTTCAACTCTTGAATGTTTAACTTAATGAAAGACAAATGGATTCTGATAAATGCTTTTGCATTCAATCTGTTGTAGTGTGTTATTTAAGCTGAAGTATAAAAGGAAAATCCAGCCTCACACAGATATGTAACTGGAAAAGGCAGAAGTATTTTAAATGACTGCCTTACAGATAATTGGGAGTATTCTTCTTTGATACTAACCAAATCTCTCAAGTGGTAATTTCTTACAGGTTAGGTGCAATGTTGGAATCTGAAACCATAGCAGTGAACTTTCTGTCCCTTGTTAATTTAAAACTCATTAATCTGTCTTGCACTTTGAGTGATCTTTTAACCACAGTGATTTTGTAACATGCATTCCTCAGTTAGGAAATATGTATGGGTTCACTGAGTTATGCAGATCTTCCAAATGCTGACATGTTTCATCATTTAATAACAACAAATCAGTTATCAGTATCACCATCAAGCTCATTAGAAAAGCCTCTAGGTAGGAGGAAGCTGTCAAGCTCACAGTTGCAGATGCAAATTTTCTAAAATTTTAAATATTCACTTGAAAGTTCAAATGTTATTATTAGCAACAAATACTATCAACTGTTTCCCTTGACACAGCAGGTTTACTTTGTTCATTATTGAGAAGAGATCTGTCTGAATTACCAGTTCGTCTGCCAGTCATTCTTTCAAGTAAAATTGGTGTCCCATGAAAAGGGCAGCTAGTTCAGCTCACAACTCAATTGTGACAATGCTTTACTTCCCATTTTATCACAAAATACTGACTCCAGGGTCATAATTTAATAAAATTAATAATTTGCATTGCTTCATCAAGGACACTCATAAGTGAAACTGGCTTTTTTTTTCTTTGCACTGTGAGTAGTACATGGCAGTGAATGACTGCTACTCTGGTTCGACTGACTGCCCTGATTCCCACTAAGATGCAGCATGCAAGGAGCTACATGGTCAGACACTGCTTACTCCTGCCTCATCTGCCACCTTTCCTCCCTTTCTCCTTATCTTCCAGTAACCCCAGAATGCTCTAGCTCTGTGCCTTTGCTGAGAATGCTCTCCACCCTCCTTGGATGCTTGGCAAACTCCTACTTAACTTTTAAGATCTGACTCTAGCTTCCTCTTCCCCATAAGCCTTTTCTATCTCTCCCTCCCACCCTCCCCACAAATGCCCTCATAGGTGATCATCTCATCAGTGACCCTGTTGTGCCTTTTACACCCTTCTACTATTAAATTCAGCACACTGGCTATAACCTATTCCCCGTGTGTTCTTCTACTAAACTATGAATTCCCTGAACACAGAGGTTATATTTTCACTAACTTCGGTATGCCTGGCACCTACTGTAGTACCTATGGTATAGAATTAAAAAGAAAAGACTCCACAAATTATTTACTCATTCACTCATAAGATCTACATAGAATATGAGAATCTCATGTTTGAGTGGCATTAATTTGTATTTGATTCCACTCCCCTGTTCCCCAAAAAGTGGGAATATTGTTGCACTAGAAAGGATCAAGACTTTGTTGAGCCTAGAATGGCAAACAAATTTGCATCTGTCCCATTAACAAAGAGCCATTGGAGGCTTATTTGTTTTTGTTTTTTAAGTGGAGAGAACTACAACTAAAAGACTATGGGGAAGTGTAGTCTGAAAATAGGACACAAAAATGATGAAAGGTATGTCTAAAAACAGAAAGGCCAGTTAGAATGCTATCAGTGTAGTCTGAGCCTATGCCCAGGATTGATGACTCTTTGTCCTTAACTCCTTCAATCTGACACCTCATCCTTCCATGGTGAAATGGAGAAGTCAGACAAACCTGGGTATGAATCTCACCCCAGTTCGTTTGCTGTATACCTACCATTGTCAAGTTACTAATCTTCCTGTACCAGTTTTCTCATTCATAAAGAAAGAACAAAAACAACTTACCAAAGCATCAGGATAAAAGTTAAACACCAGAACGTTTGCAAATAATTATCATCATTGTAATGATAACAAGAAAGGCAGCAGCAGATCATGTTTATCGAGTGTTTACACCAAGTATTACACTAGGCATTTTATATAATGCAGCATCTGAACTGCTTAACTTACAATCTTGTACACATTAGGTTCTCAATAAAAATTAATTCCATAACAACTAACCAGGAATAGGAAACATGTTGCCAAATGAAACAAAATGTCTATGTTTCATTTTTCCCACTAAATACTAGGCTATTCCAGGGATTCAGAATTGGGCCCAAATACATTTTAAATTCAACTTAACACAGCACAATGCTGTATTAACCGAAACTTTTTTTTTTAAAGAAGTCAGTTTTTACTTATATTTCAAACTGTACAACTTTCTGAACACAAGGGAATCTAACATTTTACTCCAATCCTTAACAATCTACTCTTCCATTTACATGACCTGTATTGGTGCCCACTGTGCCAGGGGACTGGGCAGGGCACTGAAGTTAACAGTTCCCTGCAGTCCATAACACAGTCTAGAGTGAAAGTCAGATACTAAGCATTCCTTGCAGAAGGAACAAGCAAAGGCAAGTGAGAATGAAAACTGGCATGTCAGATGGAAAACTGATCTAAAAGGGAAGGTTTGGATGGTATGTGAAGGACTGGAATACCATGCTAAATCTGCCTTTAGCTGACATGTAATGGGAAACATTACATGGGAAACACTGTCTGATGTGAACCAAGGACAAACAGCACCAATACCCATGTTTCAGAAGGGCAGATAATTTGGGTGGCCATAAACAGAATGGCCTAAGAGTAAAGGGGGGTGGTTGGAGAAAATAAGAGAGATCAAGAAGGAAACCACTGAGATGGTCCAGATGAGATGGGATGAGGACCCAAACCAAAGTAGATGGACTAAGTACAGACAAGGCTCTGAATCCAGACAAACCTCTGATGTCTCAGAGACAGATCTTGGTAACTGAGTAGAAACAGGATAAGAGAGAAATAAAAGTTAGTTCTCAGGTTTCTGCCATAGAAATAGGCACAGAAAATAGATCCAGGGAATGATAAAGAGGAGGAAAACCAGAAAGAAACCAAGAGGATGGAGAGGATGACGAATGAATCAAGGCCACTGGTGACCTCTGTGCAAACACAATGTCAGGAGAGTAAGAAGATTCCACAGCAGCCAGTGGCTCAGTAAGAGTGCTTACTAAGTGCCGGGCACTACTTTGCTATACGTTACTAAGTCATTTAAACTTCGCAGTCCTTACAATAACTCTAGGAGGCAGGCACTACTATATCGTCATTTTTCCAATAAGGAACCTGAGGCAACGAGAGATTAAGCATTCCCAAGGTCATATAGCTTCTAAGTGACAGACAGGAGCCTGATTGCTGAGGATTCAAGAATGAATGAAAAGTAAGGAAAGAGAATGAGAGAATGAGGGTAAACCTGAGTCATATCTAATATGGGAGTTAGGGCTTAAAATCACCACAAAAGAAAATCAAGTATATTCAAAATAGCCCTTGAAAATTCCTTAAAACACAAATAAATATGCCTTGTTTTGTGTAAACCACCCTGTACATGATATTATTGGTTCCTTTAACTCTCCAGTATTATTTTATGTGGCATTTAATTCATTCACTGGTGGATTTTTTTCATACATATAGAGAGAAAGTGATCTCCACTCTCTTGCCTGGTCCCCTGAAGAAAAATTTTCACTCATTCCTCAGTATAAGAGAAATTCTGAAAATCAGTTGCTTGATTTTTTTCCCACAGTTCTCTGACACAACAATGGCCACAGCACAAATTCACTGAGTGGGGGCTGGTGGCCACCACACTGCTTCAGTCACTACCGCACCCCCATCTCTCCTTTCACCACAGGAACAGGGCTTAACTCCCTCAAGCTGAATGAAATGATGACATAACTCAACACTACTCCTTTACATTTAATTCTAAGTGAGAAGCAACAAGGAAAGCCTCCCCAGGACATAGACAGTAAAGCTTTTCTACTTGATCTCTGAAGGGAAGTGCCATTCCACAAGGAAAGTCTAAAACTGGAAGGAAGCCAGAGCCTGAAAAAAAGCACAAGGGATAGGATCTTTAGGTCAGCCTTGAAAAAGAGAAAAAACCACTTATTTCCCTCTGAGATCGGGAGAAAGAATACTGGTCACAGGTGAAAACCAAGTCTGCAGGTCAAGTGCGGGCTCTCGGGCTGATGGCCTGAATGTATCTGTTCAGCAGGAGAACGACTTACCTACCACAAAGTGTGGGGTGATGCCTGGGGAGGAGAGTTCAGAATAGAGAAGCAGAGAATCAACCCAGAAATAATACAGAATTGTCTGAGTGTCCAGTATAGAAGGCCCTGCTCAGAAAGTTTTATCTTTCATGTTTTCTCAAAAAATTCACCTTTGAAAAAATAAAAATAACTTCTGAAACAAGCCTCTGATATTAAGAGCAAAGAGCTATGTTTTTCCAAACCCAAACTTACTGAATTATGTTGCTTCAAAAATTCTGCAGCATTCTCTTCTGCATTACCACCAATTTCACCAATCAATATGATGCCTTCTGTGGCAGAATCGTTCAAAAAGATTTCGAGGCAGTCAATAAAATCTGTTCCATTAAAAGGATCACCTCCAATGCCTGAAAAAGTTGAAAAATATCAATAGCTGGAAATTTAAGGGTGAACCATGGAATTTAGGTCAATAAATGTTTTTAACTAGTTTGTCATTTTTCTTACCCTTCTCTCTTATATTTTTAAATGTATCATTGCTCTTGCATTTAATATTTAAAAAATCACAAAATGCTACATTTATTTCTGTTGGTAATATTATATAAATGCTAAATGGTGGTTGGTTCCTGATATTCTAGGAATATTCTAGGGCTGTAACGAAGACAACCCTCTTTTTGTTTTAGCTCCTTTATCAAGCCTCTTCTGTCCCACAAAATTATTCCCAGATAACTCCTTAGAAATGAACATTTTAAGAAAATGTGTATCTGTGTTGCATGCTGATGTTACACCAGAGGAAAGAATAAACATTTAACAAATTTCTTTGAGTAAAGAAACTATTTGATGAAGTATGCTGCAGATAAATCACCCACAAGTTTTAAGACACAAGTGCCAGTGAGTGACAGTGAGTACCCTGACTGCTCGTGTTCTGGATCCAGAGTGGATGATGACAGAGCATGCATATCAGAGCCATACTACACACCACATTTAAGAACAAATTCATGGACAGGGTTAAAGTAAATGTTCCCTACAGACAGGCTGCCGTTTTTTATTTTTAAATTACAAACTTACTGAGGGCAGGATTGATTTCTTTCTTTTCACTGCATCTCTGAAAAATGGAGTGGAAGAAGAGAACCGGCATTTATTAAGTGCCAACCGTGTGTCAAGTCCTATGCTTTGGCACACGTTAGATCTGTCATTTCCTAATTTTCTCAACTTCTCTGTGAGATAGGCATTATTATCCTCCACTTACAAATTCAAAACTGAAGCTGGAAAAGAAGGAATCGGTAAGCCTGTTTCAAACCTTTTCTTATTCTCTGTCACACTAAAAAGTATCTTCCACTTATATTGTGCTTTGCATGTACAAATGCTCAATTAATGTTTTCAATATTTAATTTATGAATTTGAATCTTAATAAAAACACTCCAGAGCTATATGTTACTTTTTCGTAAAGATAATTCTAAAACATTAACAGGTATTCTAAGAACTTGAAAGAATATTTATTAATATGAAAAGGAGGAATTTGCCTTGGCTTTTGGCAACAAATAATGAAATTATTTTAAAATGTAAAAATTTGTAATTTTTACTTTTTCAAATGGGAGGCAGTATAGTGTGATAAAAAGAGAGGTTCTGAGGAAATGAACCTTCCTCAACCTTGACTTTCTCACCAATAAGGCTCTAACAGTACAATTTTCCAGCTCAGAGGCACCTGAGAGGCTTCCCTCAAGAATGAGACACTGAATGGCAAAGAATTCAGTAACTATAAAGCACTGATGAACATAATGGCAATGATAACAAAAGTCCTAATATAAGGAACCATTTCTTCAGAGCAATCAAACCAAGTGATGTTTTCAGGCACCAAGGTGCTTCGGGAGCCACGTGTTCCAAGATGTTAGTTCTTCAACCTAGAAATGAAATCTTGGACCATGAATCTTGAAACAACTACAGAATAACTTTACACTTAAGCAAATTAAATTTGAGATCGTAACATCCTTTTCATAAGAGTATCAAAATCTTTTGCAAATAATAAAATCAATAATTATTATTATACTCATCCAATGAAGACACCACACTCCAATAAAATGATTTTAGCAAAAGTCCCTCACCAACGCACAAAGACTGCCCCAATCCAACTTGCGTTGTTTGGTGAACTGCTTCATAAGTCAGGGTGCCAGATCTGGACACAATGCCTTAACGAAAGAGAATTCAAAAATATTAGATTGTGTTTCTATGTTAGACTAAAACATGGTAAACTAAATTACCAAACACTTCGAGTGACTAACATAGGTATAAAATTCATTCCATGATTTGCCATCAAAATCAATAGTATCTTCAAACGATGAAATGAAAAGGAAAGGCTTAAATTCAAGCAGGGGGGTTTTTTAATTTAGACAAAGGAGAAAGTATATTATTAGTTAAGGTTATTTTATGACTATAAAAACAATGCAAGAAAGACTTAAATTACCTCTTCTGAGAATCTTTATGAAGAAGCTAGTATCAGTATAAATTTGGTAGGTACTAATCATACCTACAGTGGCAGAATGTAATAGATTAGACTTATACTACCTTATGTAGTCTGGGTATTTGTCCCCTCCAAATCTCAGGTTGAAATGTGATGCCCAGTGTTGGAGGTGGGGCCCGGTGGGAGGTGTTTGGGTCATGGGGATAGATCCTTCATGAATGGCTTAGTGACCTCTCCATGGTAATGAGTGAGTTCTCACTCTGTTCCTTTACATGAGAGCTGGTTCTTGAAAAGATCCTGGCCTCTCTCATTCCCTCTCTCACCATGTGACACGTCTACTCCCCCTTCACCTTCTGCCATGAGTAAAAGATTCCTGAGGCCTCACCAGAAGCTGAACAGATGCTAGCACCATGCATGTATAGCCTGCAGAATCATAAGCCAAACAAATCTCTTTTACTTATAAATCATCCAGGCTCAGATATTCCTTTGTAGCAATATAAAACAGAATAATACAGTACCCAAACTATTAAACCATCAAAACTAGCATTAGTCACATTTTAAAATACTACCTATCTTCTCCACAACTATTTTCCCAATGATTTTCAACCAATATATAGGCTTTAAAATCAATATAAAGAAAACTGGGGAATAAGGTCAAGATCCCTCTGGAATCAAGTCTCCCACCTAATTTCCTTTATAAATGGACCTGTGTGAAAGCACTTAATTTCACATCTGGATTAGGTGTGCGCCGAGGGAGGAGAGCCAGTGGGGGCCAGGGAGGAGTGACAGTTAGATGTCTTCTCTTGTAGTTTACTATGCTTGGCTGAGCTTCCAGAAAGGTAATTTATTCAAAGCCACAATCTATGTAATACTTTAGACAAACAAAAAAATTAATCCAGGGTGTCCATGGTTTACTTTCCTTAAACTCCTGCCTTGGAGCAACTCTGAAGAACTCAGAAGACCCTTTTCTAACAATATGATCACCCTACCAGGGCAGGTAGAATTCTTGTCAACCTGAGACAAAAACCATAACTATAAGTTACCTCAACTTCCGTGCTACATGTTTACACTCTTAAACAAAGTGCTATGTCACCATTATTGTATACTAATGCGTACTAAGTGTGTGACCTATGCATAAACACATCTTCTCACTATGAATTTGGGCACACAATAACTTCAGGTTCTACATACCAAATTCAAAGTCAAATTCAAAGAATGGTGTGTACGTAACTTAGTCATTGCTAAGCAGACCCTACAGAACACTGTCAGATTGCTCTTTTAGATGCATTTCACTAGACAGTGACAACTAAATCCTCGACGATGCCTCACTTCACGTGGAACTCTGCTCTAACTCGCCAGCCCAGCAGAGTCCCAGCTTCCCTCTCCAGACTTGTTTCTTACTATTTCCCTACCTAGTGAAACTGGGTTATTCCTCATTGATATTTCATGCTCTCCTATCTTTTCATATTTGTTCTGCTTAAGATGGAGTGTTTCACCTCCACCATCTGACAAAACTTCTAATCATCCTTCAAGGTCCACATTAAATGCTACTTTCTCTTTGAGGTCTTTCCTGATCACCCCCAAAGAGAAGTGAGATATAATTTCCTTCTCTAAATCTCCTCAATGCTTTCATATTTCCTACTGCCCTCATTACTAAGAAATAAGCAGAAGTTATATCTTCCCTACCACTGTGAGAGTATTTCTGGGGTAGAAACAACGTCATTCATTGAATGGTTCACTATTAGCCCTAATGTTACCATAAGACACGTAAGAATGTTAGGCAGATGGCCAGAAACAAGCAAGCAGGGGAGCCCTGGGAAAAGTCCTGGAGGCGCTGCCTGCTGACCGTCTGCAAGAAGGCAATGACTACACAGTAGGCTTTTGTTCATTATAATAGTAAAAACCACATCCCTGTGTGGAGATTTTAAATGCTAATGAGACATGCGAGGTGTATACTAGCATGTACAACTACAGAGCATGTAGCATGTACACACAAGGAGACTGCTTAAAACATGGTTGCAACTGATACCCTCTCATGCCCCCCTCATGAATAATCATGCAATATTCTCATAAAGAGGGTCCCCCAGCATTAGCTGCTGCTAGCTCATCCTCTCTTTCCAGCAGCCTGTTCTGAATCATCTCTCAGGGTGTGCTGTCTCTTTAAATAAACACTGCCACTACTGTTTTCCAGGAGGTCAGCCAGCCAGTCAGCCGTTCCTCTCTTTGAATGCATTTTATCTTCCTTCAATAAACTCTGCTACTTAACCCTTGTTGTGCATCTCTTGGTTGAATTTTTTCTTCTAAGAAAACAAGAACAGCAGTTCTTGCAGTACAATTCCAGTACCTTCCGGTAACAAGAGGGCTCATTTCTTGTCAACTCTTCTTGCTCCTGAGGTCAAGGCAGGTACTGATGGCAAATACTGAGGACAGAGGGAGGATCAAGAAGAGAACACTGAATGGCCTACAGCAACCTACAGGTAATTATTTTTTTCTAGTGTTACAGCAAACACTACTAAGTTTGAGGTCACTTTTAGGTAATGCTAACTTTCAGCACTGTTAAGAATTATATTAAAATCATAATAATGCTTTTTAAAAAACAAAAATTTTATCAAGAGCAGAAATCCTGAAAAGCTGATCTAAAATACTGATTCTACCTAGCTTTAACAGGCAGATATTTATATTTGCCTTACAGAAAGACTGCCTTGGGATGGAACGAACACAAACTTTTTATTCAGAAGGCAAGACAGTGCCTCCGATCAACAGCTTAACATCTCTAAGGAGACTACCTGCTGGCCTGAGCCCTGCCCTCGAATCTGCCACATAACATGGCCTCCTACTGCTGACACAGTAAAATGGAATGATCCATCTGTAAAAGGTCCATAAGGAAAAAAGGGAAGGATAAATTTCAAGTTTTAATTTTTATCTAATAATCTTGGCTTGGCAAAATAAATTCATAGTCAGGCTTGATCAACCAGCCTGAAATTTGAATATCCTGACCACACACTGATTCTCCAATTAAGAACAATGTTCTCCTACCACCTGGTTCAGTAAAAGACCACCAATGGTGCTTGAGATTCTATAGCAGCTACCTTCTTCACTAGACTATAATTTTCAATGGGTCAATAAATAAGAGTCTTCACAACCCCTATATTCCCAGCTTAAAGCACAGTTCCAGGCACAGAAGGTAAACATATATGTTTACTAAGTGAGTTGAAACTGAAAACTCATCAATGGAGTAAGACCACCCTCTTAAGTGAAATTTAATTTTAATAGTTTTAAGATTATTCACTTACTGAACCCTAATGCATAACAAATGACAACCACCACAACTTCCACCCCACGTATGTCTCATTTATCACTTTTCCCCTATTCTCAGTGCCTTTGTCCCATCCACATCCTCTGTCTTCAACACGGTCCCTCCCCTCTATGGGACATTTCATCATTGAGAAGATTAGGTGGATAATGCCTACCTACTTATGTAATGGTGTATTCCTATCAAAATCCCAAGAAGAGTTTTTATAGATACAAACAAGATACTTTTAAATAAATATGAAAAAGTAAACTGGATATCCAGCAAAGTATTAGTATCTAGAACATACAAAGAACTGTAAAAAATAAACCATAAAAATGTAAACAATCCAATTAGAACATGGGCAAAACCCAAGGAGGGGCATTTCACTGAAAAAGATAACAAATGGCAAATAAATTTATTTTAAAAATCTATAAAAAGATAATCAATATCATTAGCCATTAGGCGAATACAAATTAAAACTACAGTGAGCTATCACTAAACACTTACCAGAATGGCTAAAATAAAAACACAGTGACACCACCAAATGCTGGCAAGGCTGTAGAGAAACTGGATCATACATTGCTGGTAGACATGGAAAATGGCACAGCTACACTGGATAGCAATTTAGCAGTTTCTTAAACTGGATAGCAATTCAGCAGTTTCTTAAAAAACTAACATGCAAGTATCATACAACCCAGCAACCATGCTCCTGGACATTTATTCCAAAAAAATGAAGACAATGTTCACACAAAAACCAGTATACAAATGTTTATAGCAGCTGTAATTGTAATAGGCCAAACTGAAAACAACCCAGATGTCTCTCAACAGGTGAATGGTTAAACAAACTGAAGTACATTCATACCATGAATACTCCTCAGTAATAAAAAGAAACAAACCATTGATACACAACAAGCTGGATGAATCTCTAGAGACTTATTCTGACTATAAATAGGCAATCCCAGAAGGCTACATTCTGTATGATTCCACTTATATAACATTCTTGACATGACAAAATTATACAATTGGAGAGTAGATTACTGGTTGTCAGGAACTGAGAAGGGGGTGGAAGCAGGAGGCACGTGACTAGAAAAGGGTAACATGAAGGATACTTGTGGTTATAGAAAAGTTCTCTATATTGACTGTATCAATGTCAATATCCTGTTTATGAAATTATACTACAGTTTTGCAAGATGTTAACCATTGGGCTAACTGGATAAAGGGTGATCTGTCTGTATTATTTCTTACAACTACACATGAATTTATAGTTATCTCAATATAGGCAGTTTAAAATTTTAAAAGAGGCCAGAAGAGTCAAGTATGTGACATGTGGTTGAGAGTAACAAACTGTCTATCATAAGAGAAATAAATAACATGGTGCAGTTAAATATCATCAATTTGGAATCCAATCACTTTCTTCGATAACACTCAATTAGCAGATATGCAATTATATTAGCTGTTATTAACAAAAACTGGAAATCCATTACACTATTATACTGCTATTACATTACATTATATTCCATTCAGAAATATCCAAGGGACTGAAAAGTCCTTCCTTTCCCTTAACTCTCAACCTAAGGATCTGAAGTCAAGGAGGCTATTGAGACTATTAGCAATGGTACCAAAATAGGAAGAGTTGGCACAAATAACCATCTTTCTCTCCTCACCCCCTCAAAAATCTTGTAGTGTTGAAAGTGAAGCCAGCTGGACTTCCTGGGTTGAGTGGGGACTTGGAGAAATTTTCTGTCTTACAAGAGGATTATAAAATGCACCAATCAGCACTCTGTAGCTAGGATTGTAAAACGCACCAATCAGCGCTCTGTAGCTAGCTAGAAGTTTGTAAAATGCACTAACCAGTGCTCTATAAAAACCCACCAATCAGCGCTCTGTAGCTAGAGGTTTGTAAAATGGACCAATCAGCAGGACACGGGCAGGGGACAAATAAGGGAATAAAAGCTGGCCACTCCAGTCAGCAGCTGCAACCCACTCAGGTCCTGTTCCATGCCATGGAAGGTTTGCTCTTTCACTCTTCACAATAAATCTTGCTGCTGCTCACTCTTCAGGTCCATGCCACCTTTAAGAGCTGTAACACTCACTGCGAAGGTCCGCGGCTTCATTGAAGTCAGCGAGACCAAGAACCCACTGGAAGGAACCAACTCTGGACACAGTGTCACATATTTTCTTCTTTTTTTTAAAAAAAAAAAAAAAGTCCTTTTTCAAAGGAATTAAAAGCAGTCTCCCAGACGACTGTCTCATCAATGGGTTATGACCATTCACAAAGGCAAGGTCTAAAGGACTTCCCTGAACTTCTCTTGATTTTCATTTTTTAGGTTTATGCTCACCTTAGAAAGCAGAGCAGTGATCAGAAAGGCAACTCAGCACAGAGCATTCCTTCCATGCTCACCTTAAGACCACAGCCTTCAAAACAGACCCAAGAATATAAGAAATATTCAAATATGTACAAGAGCATCAGTGATACATGGATCTGGCCCCACTGGAACTCAGATGGCCTATGGAGCTCCCTGAAATCTCTCTTGTAAATGAAATTATCAAGTACTGCCACTGGCAGCAGGGCTGACAGCTCCAAGAGACATTGGTAATAAAGAAAAATCATGATCTTTAACCCAATTCTGTAAACTGCACAGCCGACACCCACTGTGACAATTAATTACCCTTATTAGTAGCCATGGTTTATAGATAGAGAAAAATATGGTCAATCATCTTTCATGACTGAAAAACAGTATAGTTTAGAGAAATTTTGGTGTAAAGCCTAAACACAAGCCTAATGTGGCTAACTTTGAAATGTTACTTTGGCTATTTCCTCAAGGAACTAACCAAGTAGCAGGGCAATTTTCCTGACAGGCCATCTGAGTTCCCTTTCTGATCACTGCCCTGCTTTCTAAGGTGCCTACAAACCTAAAACATTTTGAGAAAGTTTGTGATATCTAAAAGAACAAGGTAATTATTGAGCAGGTATGTGAATGGCCTTATAAGCACATGAAAAGGTGCTCTACATTATTAGTCATCAGGGACACTCAAAACCACAAGAGATACCATTTTACTCTCAGTAGAATGGCTACATTTAAAAAGGCTAATAGCCGGGCATGGTAGCTCACGCCTGTAATCCCAGCACTTTGAGAGGCCGAGGCCAGCAGATCACCTGAGGTCGGGAGTTCGAGGCCAGCCTGACCAACATGGAGAAACCCGTCTCTACTAAAAATACAAAATTAGCTGGGCGTGGTGGCGCATGCCTGTAATCCCAGCTACTCGGGAGGCTAAGGCAGGAGAATCACTTGAACCTGGGAGGCGGAGGTGGGGGTAAGCCGAGATCGAGCCATTGCACTCCAGCCTGGGCGACAGAGCAAAACTCTGTCTCAAAAAAATGAAGACTAACAATACCAAATCTTTGTGAAGATATGGAGCAAGTGGAACTCTCCTACATTAATGGTGAAAATATAAAATGATATAGCCACTTTGCAGAACTATTTGGCAGTTTCTTATAAAGTTAAATATACTTGACTTATGTTCATATGAACATGACTTAGCAATTCCATTCCTACACATTTTGCCCAAGAGAAACGAAAATGTTTCCACAAAAAGACCTGTACACAAATGTTGACCTAAGCCTTGTTTGTAAGGCTCAAACATGAAAACAACCCAAATGTTCATTAATGGGAGAATGAATAAACAAACTGTGGTATAATTATACAACAGAATACTCCTTAGCAATAACTAAGTTATAACAGTTAATGAAATTAACTACTGATATATGCAAACACATGGAGTAATCCACAGAGTGCTGAGCAGAAAAAAATCTTTAAACTCCCACCACCAAAAAAATCTTCACTGATTCTGCAGAATTGTAACGGCTTCTCAAATAAACTCATTATATTCAAGATACAGAATTGATAGACTACAAAACTTCCCTGGTAAATTCTACTCAAGTCAAATTAATTAAACTTGATTTGCAAAGTCAAAAATTCTTTGTGAGTTTTGAGGGTTTAAGGCAAATAACGTTTTAATCTATAAGAATGTAACAAACAAACTCACCAATCCTTCCTTTTTTGTGAATATGGCCAGGCATGATGCCAATTTTACATTCTCCAGGCTGAAAGTAATCATAGTTTTCAGAAATGTTAAAAAAAAAAGTCACTCACAGGTCATACACACAAATACACTCGCATTCACTCAAAGCTGTTTAGCCTTGTGAGAGGCTTAATCTGAGTTTCTTTTTGTTTTTTTGCACTCACATTGATGACTCCAGGGCAGTTGGGCCCAATTAGCCTTGTCTTTTCCTGGCGCAGCAGTTTGTGCTTGACTCGTACCATGTCCTGCTGGGGAATTCCTTCAGTGATACACACAACCAAGGGAATTTCTGCCTCAATAGCTTCATTAATGGCAGCAGCAGCAAAAGGCGGAGGAACATAAATGACAGAAGCCGTTGCTCCTGTCTGTTCTTTGGCCTGAAACATTAACGACGAAGCACCTTATTATTTGTTAAATCATAAACATTGTAAAATAAATTCAATACCATCATTTTAATAATGTCTTGGGGTAAGAAAAGGACACTACCCAGAGACATAGCATTCTTCCCATTCTCAAATTTGCTACACTGTCAGAGTAGAACAGAATCAAGCATAGCCCTTTCTCAGCCCATTTGAATGCCACTGTGAATTGAAAGCTTCTGTGACATCTCACTCTCTATGGCATGTCAGTAAATCTGAAAGCAGCCTGACAGTGAACAGAGTCAAAGAATGCCAACATATCATCCACAAATGATGCCGGGGGTTAAAAATAATTTTTTAAAACTCTGTTCAAGATGATAACAGAGGGGGAGACACAAAAAACATTAAAACTAGTATGGAATCAAAAAAAGTCACATCATGGGGATGTAGGTACTTTAATGAAAAGTACCTACATTACATAGTTTTCTACCTCTAAAGTCTACAAATACTGCCAGAAGCTATACTGTGACAACAGCAAATATTGTGCTGGGACGTCATATGGATGAAAGGTACCAACCCTACTCATTCAAAAAGCCCTTTGTAAGAGCAGAACGGGTGAAAAATAAACAATATCTGTCAAAAAACTTATAGAATATTCCAAATGTCACAACTATTTGTGTCACTATAAATTATAAATGGATTGCTTAGCAAGAAGAACTTTCTTTAAAAAAAAAAAAAAAGCAAAAAGAGGCTCATGACAAAAGAAAAGTCAACCTAGAGGAATTGTAAAAAAACATCTCCTCTCTATATTTTGAGGTTATAAAATCAGCCATAATAGAATTTAAGGCAGGAAGGACTTTAAATTTGTGCTTTAAAAAATGTAATGCTTTAAAACATACCTTAAAAATATGCAAAAGAAGAGAGGAAGAATACATTTAAGGCTGATCAACACATCATCCCAAAGAACTAAGTTTATTTCCTAGATTTTTAAAATTAAATACCCAAGAATTTACACTATAGTTTCTTTTAAATACTATTAGTTTTGTATATATTCATATAAGAGTCAAAAGAGAATGAAAGACTACACACTGAGCTTAAATTAGCTCCCTACAGAGGCAAAATCTGAGATTTCGAAAACACTGTAAAATTTAACTTTACTTACTTTTTGTATCGTCTGAATTTTTACAAAAAGTACCTATCAGTTTTGTAACAAATAATAAAATTTAATTTAAAAATCATTTTAAAAGGTAACTATTAAGAAATCAGCAGTTTGCGGAGAATCTAGGACACTGTGATTTGTAAATCTGACTCTACAATTTAGTTTCTTCACACGGGACCACTCTACTCCAAGCCATCCTAAGCCTGCCACTTAATCAGTTGTGAGACCATGGGCAAGATCTCTAACCTCTTTGCACTAGTAACATCGTTATCTTTAAAATGAGGATGATAACAGCACCTACCTCCGAGGGTTGTAGTGAGGCCTGAACAGGGCAATTTGAATGAAACACCTAGCACAGTGCCTACTGCATAGTCCCCACTCAGGAAGAATTAAGGGGTGGTTGCTGACATTTGTACTACTAACATACTGGAAGAAGAAAGGTAAGGAAAGCGTAAAAAGCCCAACAGAAGCCTGGCCACAGTACTTCCTCCCTTAATAGCTGATTCATACCTAGAAACAAAAATAACACACTGGTTTTGATGGCAATTCAAATTTCTCTAGGTTACTGAATTTTCAAATAGCAAGTGACTCTACCAAAAAAACATAATTAAGATCTCTACCCAAAGAATGCTCGCTCTTCCCTTGCTTTTCTTGTCTTGCCAAACTCAGGTACCACTAATTACCTCCTTCACAGTATTAAAGACAGGTAAGCCCAGATGTGTCTGGCCTCCTTTCCCTGGAGTGGTTCCTCCAACGAGTTTGGTGCCATATTCCAATGCCTGCTGGCTGTGAAAGGTGCCCTGAGGGGAAAAAGCACAAGATCCATGAGAAACAGCAGACTGGTAAGCCCAAGAGAAGCAAAAGCAATCTTAGCAACTTAGGAAAAGAAAAACAAATAGGTTAACTATTCCCAGACAATAACATATATTTACTAAACATAGCTTTGAATCTTGAAGCAAAACAAGCCTCTGAAAAGCCAAAATAGCTATAAACAAGGCCTCTTTGATTCCCTGTTTTCAAACTTGGCTGATAACCAGAAACTCCCTGTTTCTCAACTCCTCATGTGCTCACACTCCTCAGTTTAAAATTCATGGTAGATCATTACCCTCCCACAACAATCTTGGCTTTCTCTCACTTCAACTTAAATATCTGGCAAAACCACAACCTGGGTCAAATCCAATTTTTCCCCTACTTCTAAGCCTATACATGTGCAGCCAAAAAGTGGCTAAGGGAAAAAAAAACAAAAAAACATGTCAACTGGTCTCATTTTAAATTAATGATCACTCACCTTAAGTAAGCCTTCAATACTGCCCACCCACCAACCTGTATTTCTCTATCCATTCACTTTTCCTCCTCAACCTCAGCATTATTGACATTTTGGACAGGATGATTCTTTCTTATGAGAGGTCATCCAGTGCCTAGTGGGACATTTAGCAGCATCCATGGGCTCCACTCATTAGATGCCAGTAGCACACCCTCCTAACTCTCATAATTCCATCCAGTTAATGACAACCAAAAACAGCTCCAAGGACTGATTCATTTTCACTAGGCTTCTGGGGCTTGACTTCCCCTGGTTTTCCTCTTCTCTTTCTCTCTCCTTAGTATTGGGGGAAATTCAGCCAGATATTGGGCAAAATTCACCCCCGATATTTCACTTAGGTTCTTTTCCATATTCCCTAAGTGTCAGCTGGTCTGAGAAATAAAGGGACAGAGTACAAAAGAGAGAAATTTTAAAGCTGGGTGTCCGGGGAAGACATCACATGTCGGCAGGTTCCATGATGCCCCCTAAGCCGTAAAACCAGCAAGTTTTTATTAGTGATTTTCAAAAGGGGAGGGAGTGTACAAATAGGGTGTGGGTCACAGAGATCATGTGCTTCACAAGGTAATAGAATATCACAAGGCAAATGGAGGCAGGGTGAGATCACAGGACCACAGGACCACA